>NC_000019.10:39059055-39362086 GCF_000001405.40 Homo sapiens | reverse complement strand
GTCTCCCTGGAGAACTGGAGGAAGTACTAAGGTTGGTTCGGTGGGACATGGAGATACAACCCACAAAAAAGCAGGGGATCTACCTCACTGTTCAGCTCTCCAGGTTTGAAGGGACCAAGCTAAAGAAGGGCTTGGAGACAGGCAACTTTTTTTTTTCTTTGAGACGGAGTCTGGCTCTGTCGCCCAGGCTGGAGTGCAGTGGTGCGATCTCGGATCATTGCAAGCTCCTGTGCCTCCTGGGTTCACGCCATTCTCCTGCCTCAGCCTCCTGAGTAGCTGGGACTACAGGCGCCCACCACCATGTCCGGTTAATTTTTTTGTATTTTTAGTAGAGATGGGGTTTCACCGTGTTAGCCAGGATGGTCTCCATCTCCTGACCTCGTGATCCGCCCACCTCGGCCTCCGAAAGTGCTGGGATTACAGGCGTGAGCCACCGCGCCCGGCCGGGAAGACAGGCAACTCTTTTTTTTTTAGATGGAGTCTCACTCTGTTGCCCAGGCTGGAGTACAGTGGCGCAATCTCGGCTCACTGCAAACTCCGCCTCCTGGGTTCACACCATTCTCCTGCCTCAGCCTCCCAAGTAGCTGGGACTACAGGTACCCACTACCACGTCTGGCTAATTTTTTGTATTTTTAGTAGAGACGGGGTTTCACCATTTTAGCCAGGATGGTCTCAATCTCCTGACCTCATGATCCGCCTGCCTCGGCCTCCCAAAGTGCTGGGATTACAGGTGTGAGCCATGGCGCCCGGCCAGGGAACTCTTAACTGGGGACTAGTGAACCAACTGAACTCAAGAGTTGGTTTGTGGAGTAGGTGTGCATCTTTTTGGGGAGGGTGGGGAGGAGGGGAAGATTTTCTAACTGGTCCATCCCGCTAAATATTAAGAACTCTTGCCCTAGAATAATGTGCTGGGCCTCTCCCAAAAGAAAGTAGTATGCTTGGCTGTGGCTCTGTCTTCTTTGGCACATTATTTCAGAGCCCAAGAAGTACCTGGAAAGTACCAGAACAACCCCCTCACTGTCCAAATGGGGATCCTGAGGCCCGAGAGGGTCAGGCAGGACTGACCCAGGTCACAAGAGGTGTTAGTGGAGAGCTGGATCTACAACTCTTGGGTGTCTCATGTCTCACAACAAATGAATCATCCAGCAGGGCATCACCTCTCACACTGCCTGGTGAGCAGAAGAACCTGGGTACTCGTTCCCAGGCCCATACCCTCAGGATTCTGATTTAGTAGGTCTATGGGGGGCAGAAATCTGGATTGTAACAGTCACCTAACCCCAGTGATTCTGATGATGATGCAAGTTTGAGAAACACCAGGGAATGGGAAGGCCATAATAACCAGAGGAGAAACAAGAGTATGAACAGCTCCTTCTTTGAGGCAGGTCTCCAGGCCCAGAAAGTAGCACCTTCCTTTACAAATAAGGCAGGTGGGGTTCTACTTGAGGGTAGGAGTGAAACAGGAGGCACCTGCTTCTTAGTCTTAGAGCCCTCAGGTCTACTAGAAAACAGGCATTCAAGACTCTACCAGAATTTACCTCTGTGATCACTTCTCTTTCAAGTCATGCTTTGCTCCAGTCCTGGCAGGCTTCCTGCTGACTCTGGAACACACCATGGCCTTCCCTCATTCTAAGTTTTCCTTTCCTCTCCACCCATTTAAGTACCAGCTTGTTATTCTCACCATCTGATATGGGGCTATGGATAAAAACCTTGATTCATATATTCATTCATCATTCAATTCATTTCACAGCACTTCTCAACCCTGGCTAGGCATTACCACCAATATCCCACTGCAAACCATCTGGGAACGGGCCTCAGGTTATTTGTATAAAATGCAGCATGTCTTTCAAGGGCAATGTGGTGAGAACAAATATTTTATTTTATTTTTTTATTTTTTTTTTTTTGAGACGGAGTCTTGCTCTGTCGCCCAGGCTGGAGTGCAGTGGTACAATCTTGGCTCACTGCAAGCTCCGCCTCCCGGGTTGACACCATTCTCCTGCCTCAGCCTCCCGAGTAGCTAGGACTACAGGCACCCGCCACGACGCCCGGCTAATTTTTTTGTATTTTTAGTAGAGACGGGGTTTCACCGTGTTAGCCAGGATGGTCTCGATCTCCTGACCTCGTGATCCGCCTGCCTCGGCCTCCCAAAGTGCTGGGATTACAGGCTTGAGCCACCGCGCCTGGCCTGGAGAACAAATATTTTAATTGCATACACCTTTAAACTAGCAGTTCTGCAGAATCTGAGGAGTTCATCCTAGAGATGTTTAAAGGGTACTCATTACATCACTGTTTGTAAGATGAAGACCACATGTACCATGTGGAAGAGTCTATTGGTCAAGAGCTCTAAAGAACTCTGAAGTCAAATTTGAACTCTACCTCTTATCAATTGTGTGACCCACAGCAAGTCATTTAATATCTCCAGACCTACAGTCTCCTCTGTAAAATGGGGGAGTAACAGGGGAGTACAGAGTTGTTGTGAGGTGTAAATAAATACTTAACGAGAAACAGACGTATGTGCTGAATACGGAATGATCTTCAAATCATATTGGTAAGTGAAAAAACCAAACTGGTTAATATGCATGTTTGGCCATATGTATTAAGACAAAACAATGACAAAGTTGGAAGGAAAATATATATGCATTCATATATGCAGGGAATTTATCTCATAAAACATAAGGAAATGAGAACGTGAAGTCTGGAAGAAAAACCTCACTTTCACCTTTTGTACTATCTGATTTTACTGCAAGTTCTGAAAACAAAAGCAAAAACTAAAAGCACTGAAATTACTAAGTACTACTGGTGATTCTGATATACAGCTAAGAGTGGCACCCAGAGGTAATCCAACTGCCTGCTCAGGATGGGACAGTGGGGATGTGTGACGAAGCTGTGTAAGACACTGGCCTGCCCCACAGGAGCCCCCACTATAAAGGCAGAGTCATATCACAAACAGAACTCCTGCCTTTAGTGTTAGAGTGGTGGGGAGTGTGGCAGGGGTGAGAAATGGCTGAGCTCCGAGCCTGCTGCAGCTGAGCTGGGTTCTTATTGCTCTTTGTCTAGGACTAAGAACTTACTGCCAGACTAGGAACTAAGCTGATGTGACCCCTGGCCTGAGTAACCGTCTCCCGCTACAATCATGCTGCTTCTGTGACTTCCACACAAAAACTCAGTAAAATAAGGGTGACTGTTGCTAAGGCAGGTGGGCCTGGGGAGATGAGGGAGGCCAGGCAGCTGTGTGGCTCCCCAAAACCCAATCCTAGCAGTCCATGCTTGTTTCCTGACTTGTAAAATGGGGCTAATGACAGGACCTACCTCATGGGGTTGTTGTGAGGACTAAGTGAGTTATTGACAATTAACAACTGACAGTTATTGTTTACTACATGTCAGGCATGTAGGAAGCCACACGTGTTAATTCACTGAATCCTCACAACTACCCTAGAAGGTAGATATAATTATCATCTTTTTTCTTTCCTTTTCTTTTTTTTTTTTTACTGAGGTTACATACTTCTCAGGATATCATGTTGAATTTAAGATGAGGAAACTGGCTGGGTGCGGTGGCTCATGCCTGTAATCCCAGCACTTTGGGAGGCTGAGGTGGGCAGATCATGAGGTCAGGAGTTTGAGACCAGACTCACCAACATGGTGAAGCCCCGTCTCTACTAAACATACAAAAATTAGCCAGGCGTGGTGGCGCGCAGGAAAGTGAGGCACAGAGAGGTTAAGTTACTTGGTTATATGGCAAGTAACAGAACTGGGATTTAAACTTAGACAGTCTGACTTGAGAGCCACGTAAGAACACTGCTTTTTTTGTTTGTTTGTTTGAGATAGAGTTTCGCTCTCATAGCCCAGGCTGGAGTGCAATGGCACGATTTTGGCTCACTGCAACCTCCGCCTCCCGGGTTCAAGCGATTCTCTTGCCTCAGCCTCCCGAGTAGCTGGGATTACAGGCACCTGCCACCATGCCCAGCTAATTTTTGTACTTTTAATAGACACGGGGTTTTGCCACGTTAGCCAGGCTGGTCTCGAACTCCCGACCTCAGGTGATCTGCCTGCCTCAGCCTCCTAAAGTGCTGGGATTACAGGCGTGAGCCACTGCATCTGGCCAAGAACACTGCTTTTAAAGTTAATATACAAGTAAAGACAGTACTTGGCTTGCTGTAAAGGCTCAATATGAACTATTATTCTGAAGAAGAAGGTGCAAAGAGTTAGGGTGACTAATTTGGACAAACTGCATGGAGCCCCTTGATGCCCTTCCCAGCTAGCTTTCGGGTATCCACTACCCTCCCTCTTCTTTGGCCTCCATCTCTCCCATCTGTCACTGGGGCCAACAGCTCTCCATCCAGCCCTGTGGAGGCCCAGACAGCTAGAGTAGCTTCAGCAGTAGCCCCTGATTCTAGCCTGACTCCTGTCTACAACTGGGGCCTAAGGGACAGGTCTTAAGAGAAGCCTGGCTCACCCATCCCAATGCCAATCTCACAGGACACAGAGTGCCTAATAAGTACTTAGGGAACTGACAGGATGAACTGTATCTAAATTCAAAACTTTCTGGAAGCTGCTTATGCTTTAAGTCCAACCTACCTTTGAGGGTAAAGAATAGTATAGGATGACATGAATTTTGGAAGAGTTCTCAAATTCCCTCCTAGCCCTGATATCCTGAAGCTTAAGAAATTAATTACTGCTCACCTTCTATACGCCTTTCATAATGACTTTAGTCTGTTCCTTTCAGCAGCCCACATAAGCCACTCTACATGATCTTCCTGTTATGGGGAGTTTCCAGTTTGCATTGCCTTCTCCCATAAGTCCACCATACCATGCCTGAGGATTTATGGCAACACAGTCCCAGAAGACCCATGATGACAACTTAGAAGGTAAGGAACTCCCCACCCACCAAGCCTAGAACCCACGTTTTTTAGTCCCATTGTTGGGTTGACCTTCTTAGCCATGTGACATCTGTTCCAGGTCTCCCTCCTGCTGTGCTCCCATCTCTAAGGGTGGAAACTCACCAGCACTGTTGGCCTCCGACTCCAGCAGGTGGATGTCATTGCAGTCCGCCAGTGAGTGCTCCAGGCAGAGCTGCAGGAAGCGGGCCTGGGTACGGGTGACCCGTTTCAGAAGTGACAGGAGGGCCACTGTCTGCTCACACTCATTCCAGCCTTTGAACCAGCCAGCGAGGATGCCCACCTGGTCTCGGAACATCATGGTGCCGGGCCTGGGGCCAGGGTCGGGGGACGGCGGTGGCGAGGGCCAGCGCCGTCACATGGTCCCGGCTCTGGCCTCCTGTTACCTTTCCCCTGAGGGCCAGGGCTTAAGGACGTTTCTGGGCGTGGTGGCAACGGTTGTTGGGGGAGGAGGAAGCCTGCTCACATGGGGGGAGGTCTTGGTCCAGCCACGCCTCTCCAGTTTCCTGAAAAAGGAAGCAAAGGGGTCAAACAGAAAGAAGGGGCTGAAACTTGCCTGGTGAGTGTGGGTTGAGGGGGCATGAAGGCCTCATGCCTTTCTCTTTCAGGGTACTTGCTCTGCTGAGCTCCTGGAAGAAACATGAAGCCAACACCAGATATTAAAGCTACTTTCACCCAAATCTTCAGATCCAGAGAAAAGGCGTGACTGGGACTTAGATGCCTATCCCAGAGACCAAGGAGATGTTGGCCCTCACACCTGGCTGTCATAGTGTCAAAGGAAGCGGATTTAACACAGAAAATATATTGGAAAAATTTTTCAGAAGTGGGAAATAGTAGGCTGCAAATTATGAGAAAAGATATGAATTGATGGCGATCTGGCCCAAGGTGACATGACTAAGCACAGCACATCTCTGACCTTGCTGGTTTCTGGCCACCTTCTCTGAGAGCTGGGCAGTGTGACTCCTAACCTACTGATAGGACTCCAAGGGCTCTTTAAATTACTTCAAGCTAGACCCACAATGCTGGGTAGAGGATGGATGGTCGGGTAGTGACCCTGGTGGAGATCTCAGGTATGCAGCCAGCCATCTGATTAGTAACTGGCTGGGTATCTATCAGGTGTGGGCATGGACAAAGGGCTTTTCAAAGATCACCAACAGGCTGAGGGAATCTCACCCTCTCTAACCCAGCTTCCCTGACTCTGGAAAAGGCACAACTCTGATTTATCAGATTTTACCCATCTCTATTCTGAGGTGAATCGCTCCCTGCCCTCTTAATTCCCCTGAAGACTCCAAACCTAAACTCTCTGGTTGGGAAGTCCCCGACTTCCAGAGATGCCAGCTTGTCTCAGGCTCCTCCTGGAAGCAAAGAAAATGCCAACCTGAGGGGAAGGGGACAGATCAAAAGTCAAAAACTCACAAGCTACAAAGTGTCCAAATTCCCCTCTTAGGCAGGAACTAAAGAAAAGTTATTTCAACTGGGCAAACAACAGACCTATTTTTCAGGTGGTTGGTTTCTGGACACCACTCCGAAGGCTTTTTCTAAGTGTCTCGAGCTCCAGATCTCCACTCAACATTTCTTCCATCTGTCTCTCTTGCAACCAGTGCCCTTGGCTCTATCCTCAAACCACATTCAGCTCCATCCCCCTCTGGCTGCCAAAGGACTAAGGTTCCCCGGACTGAGAACTTCATACAAAGACCCATTGAACCTACTGGGCTCAGGTCTAAGGGAGCTACTCACATCTCTCTGAACTTCCGTGCGCTTGCTGAGGAGGGCTGTGGGGTGCATTAGGCAACAGCTGTGACTTGCCTCACAGATCCCCTGTGGGACCCCTAAACAGACTGAACTGGCCTGGTTGCCAATCCCTTTGGATGTAAGAAGCAGGAAAGGTATGAGGGAAAATGAAACCTTGCTCCAAGTTAAACAAGCGTCCAGCAATTTTTTTTAAAGGGGAAATCAGATGTCACCTCCCTGGCCTAAAATTCTCCAATGACTTCCCATTGCACTTAAATAAAATCTAAATAAGGTCAAGCATGGTGGCTCTCACCTGTAATCCCAGCACTTTGGGAGGCTAAGGCAGGTGGATCACTTGAGGTCAGGAGTTCAAGATCAGACTGGCCAAAGTGGCGAAATCCCGTCTCTACTAAAAATACAAAAATTAGCCGGGCGTGCTACTGCACGCCTGTAATCCCAGTGACTTGGGGGGCTGAGGGACGATAATCGCTTGAAGCTGGGAGGCGGAGGTTGCAGTGAGCTGAGATCATGCCACTGCACTCCAGCCTGGGTGACAGGGAAACTCTGCCTCAGAAAAAAAGAAAAAAAAATTTTAAACAAATTCCAAACATCTTATCTTGAACTACCGAGCCCTATAGGACTCCTGTGGCCACTCCAACCTCATCTTGTACCAAATTATTTCTTATTCAGTGGAACTGTCTTCCCCTAGAAGCTGGCTCCTGTCATTCAGGTCTCAGCTCATTGTCATTTCTTCAGAGAGAGCTTCCCTGACCATCCAATCTCAGGAGTTACTCCTCCAATTATATTAACACTATTTCATTCCTATATAATTTGGCACTCTCAGGTATCATCTTATTTGTTTCTCTCTACTGACCAAAACGCAAGCCATACAGTCAGCCAGTGCCTACAACAGTGCCTGGCACGTAGAAGGTGCTCAATATATATTTATTGAATAAATAAATAGCTATAGAAGGTGAATGTGGAAGCCACACTTGGGATTTCTATAGCCCTAGGGGGGAAGAAGATAGAAGGAACAGCTCATAGGATGGTAAAGGGATTTGAAAACCTTGTTTTAAGAAAAAAAAATTGAAGGCACTGAGATTTTCCTCTGGGGAAGAGAAGACTCAAGGGGAATGGCATAACTGACTTTGAATATCTGAAGAGGTAGCACGCAGAAAAGAAATTATATTTGTTCTTTTACTCTAGAGGAGAAAAGCAGGGTAGATGACTCCAAGGGAGTGACAACATGGGATAGAGGAAATGCTGAAAGTCAAGAAAATTCAGTTCTAGTCCTGCCCAAGCCACTGATTCACTTTGATCACGGAGCTAGTCTGTTCTCTTCTCTAGAATGTAGGATAAGGAGCGGGACTGGGTGAGACATGACAAATAGGTTTTACCTCACAGGCTAACTCCAATCGATTGGTAGTGGCTGCCTGGAGCACTGCGATGAGAAGAATCCTGAAGAAATGAATGGGAATATCCATTAATGGGGAATGATTAATAAACTGGGGCAGATCCCACATTGTATGATATAACGTATCTATTAAAAACATGCCTAATCTGGCCAGGTGTGGTGGCTCACTCCTATAATTCTAGCACTTTGGGAGGCTGAGGCAGGCAGATCACTTGAGGTCAGGAGTTTGAGACCAGCCTGGCCAACATGGCGAAACTCCATCTCTACTAAAAATATAAAAATTAGCCGGGTGTGGTGGCGGGCGCCTGTAGTCCGAGCTACTTGGGAAGCTGAGGCAGGAGAAACGCTTGAACCCGGGAGGTGGAGGCTGCAGTGAGCCGAGATTATGCCACTGCACTCCAGCCTGGGTGACAGAGCGGGATTCCATCTCAAAAAGAAAACAAGAAAACAAAAAAACAAAGCTATATACAATGTTTGATCTGTAACTACTTGGAGGGGTGTCCATAAGCTACACAGTAATATGTACAATATAATGCCATTTTTTAAATTAAAAAAAAGCCACATACAAAACCCCTTATATATCTTATATATGAATATTTATGTCTATATGTGTATAAATGTATAGAAGAATACACCCTCGGCTGCTAACACTATCTTGGAGAAACAGGGGGATTATTAACACTATCTTTATATAACTTTGTACTACTTCACTAGTTGCAAGTGAATACATATTACTTTTGTAATTTTTAAAAAAGAATTTAATTAAAAACAATTTTAAGGCAGCATACTTCCTGACTCAGTGAGAAAGAGTGCTGTGATTAATTATCAATGTTTGCCCTGGATGCAGGGTGGATGAGTGGTAGCTCACGCGCCTAAAAAAATCGGTTTTCCTTCCCAGCTCCAGCATTTTGTGGCTTTCAGTCCCAAAGAGGCAGCAGCTGCTTCAACATAAGGAAGAATTTTAAAATAACGCATCTGTCCAAGAATGGAACTGGCTGCCATGTGAGGAGGTAATAAGCTCCCTGGCTGCTGGAAGTGGTCAAGCGGAGGCTGGATGAACATCCCTCGGGAGTGGGAGGGATTCCTTCACTGGGTGGCAACTCATAAGATAGAAGGACATGTTACTATTTCAGAGGGAACATTTGTGACAGGAGGTTTGATATACCAACAGCATTTACAGCAAAAAAACGACCAAATCCACAAACAGACCAAAGTTGTGCACACTCTTTCCCATAAATTCTTTTACTGGGTTGTTACTTTTCCTAAGCAACAGCACTGTTCCCCCCCTCCACCCACCCAATAAGCTGCTGACTAAACATTAATCCAGCTTTTCCCCCCAGGCCAAACGATAGAAGCAAAGCTTTCGGACATAATAGGGTCTCAAACATGATGCTTACAAGGCCAGGCTTTGAACAAAGCAGGCCAACTGGGACTATGGTGAGTTGGAAAGTCCACACCCGGTCAAAAGGGAGAAGTCACTATCCACCTCTTATCAACTGCTACCATGAAGGAATGTGGGTCCAGTATTGTTACGTCTTAGGTTTTTTTTTTTTTTTTTTTCCCCTAAAGAGGAGCCAGATATCTGAATTTTAAAGTAAAATCCCCCCCTATTTTCAAATGTGGGAAACGAATCACATTGAAACAATAGTGAACAACTACACAGAAGAAGACATACCTGTGGTCCTTGGAACAGAAGAGCACAAACTAGAAAAAGACCAGAAGTCTGCTAACTATCCCTCCCTTGGGCCTCTCTGGTTTATACCTTCAAGCCACCCCACTGCTCAGGGAACATGACTGGTGGAGAAGATCTAGTGATGGAGGATGATTCTGACAGTCTTCAGTAAATACTGGAGGCTTTAGTGAAACAGTTACTTTTAAGATTTCACTGTTAAAAAAAAATCATCCCTGAAGGTAGGGTTCCTATGTCTTCTGGATGAGAGAAGGATGCTTTGTGTTCGGTCTAGATGTTAACTGGAGAGGACTGGATGGCCCTCTTCCATTAAAGGGCCAGAGGCCGCCTGCTACTTTCTATCCCATGTGCTTGGCTGAAGTGACAGAGGGAGACCTGGGTGAGGCATCTCACTGTGGCAGCATCTTACTGTATCCATTTCCATCTTCTAGTATCAACACCCTGGGTTCCCCTTGGAGAAGGAACTGTCTTTCTTGGCTCCAGAAGTGGACATGGGGTAAAGCCTGGCCAAGGATAGTCCTCTCTGGATTTTTGCTGGAACTACTAAGGAAAATAAGTTCTTGGTTAGGGTTGCTCAGATTACACATCGTCTCATGATGTCACCAGTTGCCACCTCTTCTATTTCACGGTGGAAGCCTGCTTCAGAATGAAACTAACAGATGACAGCAAAGTCAAGAGATGGGGGAGGGGGAAAGGGAGATCTGTTCACATGATTTAAAACCTAGATGCAGCTAGCCTGAAGCCTCCCCCTTGTGGCCCACTCTTTTCAGTTACATAGATGAATAAATTCGTTTTTGACTTAGGCCAGTTTGAGTTGGGTTTCAGTTAAAACTGAAAGAGCCTTGACAATTCCCATGCAAAACAGAATGCACTACTGGTCTGGTCTCTTTGTCCTCATGTGACCAAAAATGACTCCTTGCCTTTGAGGAAAAACACAAGAGGGGAGCCTCTATAACAGAAGTCTCTCCAACAGCCCAGCAATATTGCCACCATACTTGAAGAGGTCCAAGTGATCTTCTTGGGAAGCCCCTACCACCTCCAGAGGTGGGAAATGAGGTTAACAAAATGGCTAAGAGGGCTGGGTGCAGTGGCTCACGCCTGTAATCCCAGCACTCTGGGAGGCATGGGCGGGTGGATCGCTTGAGCTCAGGAGCTCGAGACCAGCCTGGGCAACACAGTGAAACCCCGTCTCTACAAAAATTACAAAAAAATTAGCCAGGCGTGGTGGCGTGCACCTGTAACCCCAGCTACTTGGGAGACTGAGGCGGGAGAATCACTTGAGCCCGGGAGGCAGAGGTTGCAGTGAGCCAAGATCGTGCCACTGCACTCCAGCCTGGGCAACAGAGTGAGACCCTGTCTCAAAAAACAAAAACAAAACAAAACAAAAGCCAAAGGTTCCAGATCAGCAGCCTGGGCAACATGGCAAAACCGTTTCTACAAAAAATCCAAAAATTAGCTGGGCGTGGTGGTGTGCACCTGCAGTCCCAGCTACTTTGGGAGGATCACTTGAGTTCTGGAGGTCGAGGCTTCAGTGAGCTGAGATCATGCCACTGCACTCCCACCTGGAGAAAGGCTGGGCACGGTGGCTCACGCCTGTAATCCCAGCACTTTGGGGGGCCGAGACGGGCGGATCACCTGAGGTCAGGAGTTCGAGACCAGCCTGGCCAACACGGTGAAACCCTGTCTCTACTAAAAATACAAAAAATCAGCTGGGCGTGGTGGCAGGCGCCTGTAATCCCAGCTACTCAGGAGGCTGAGGCAGCAGAATCGCTTCAACCTGGGAGGTGGAGGTTGCAGTGAGCTGAGATTGCGCCACTGCACTCCAGCCTGGGGGACTGGAGACTTTGTCTCAAAACAAAAACAAAAACAAAAACAAAAAAATGCTGAGATGTTCCAGGACAAACTGCCCTCTGGGCTTCTTCTCTGGCCCCAAACAGTGAGAAAAGGCCCATATGCCCATAAACAGTGCCTCTGGAGTCCAGCTCTCTTCATTCAGAAGCAGGATGGTGGAGTTAGTCAGACCTGGCTTAAATCCTGGCTCTCCTGTTATACTTACTTGCTGTATTGACTATGACAAGTAACTCTGTTTCTTCCTCAATGAAGCTTGTTAGAAGAATTAAATGAAACAATGTATTTAAAAATACCGCGCATGATGCTTTTTTCCTCCTCTATACTTCATTTCAATAGCAAGCATGATGCTTAGCATGTCTTCATACATCATACATTGTCAGGCCCTTTGCCAACAGCTTTCCACAGATAAGCACATTTGATCCCCAAAACTCTATTTCAAAAATATATAACATACATATATGAATATATTATCATTTTACAGATGGAGCAACTGAGGCACAGAGAAGTTAAGTCACTTTGCCCAAGACTGTACACCAAGCTGAGATTTTCAAGGCCAGGCAGTCTGGCTTCAGAGCTCTTGCTTGCTCTTAACAATGCAAGAAAGCTGGGCATGGTGGCTCACATCTGTAATCCCAGCACTTCGGGAGACTGAGGTGGGCAGATCGCTTGAGCCCAGGAGTTTGAGACCAGCCTGGGCAACAAGGTGAAAGTTGGGCCTAAGGGCCCTTTAATACCAACATCTCTGGATGAATAAGGGGATCCTATCTGCCTTCTTACCCATTCCTAGTTCTTTTTACAGCACGACCTAGGCCTTTGAGAACTTACACTTCATGAACAAGGTAACAGGCTAGTTACCTAGGGTTAACTCACTTTCATAACCTGAGAAGAGACTGTCAGAAGCCAAGGGAGCACAACTTCTCTTATAAGAATCAACCATTATTTCCAGAAACTCCTGAAATACGTACACAAAACATGTACACCACTGCATTAGCAAAGAATGAGCTTTTTGTATGAATGGTGCTGGGGAAGGGAGGGAGAGGAGAGGAGAAGCCAGGCAGGGCCTCCTGGAAGATAAGTACAGTATGGGGAGCTCCGGTAAACTCTGGAATAGAGAGGAAGCTAGCATTCTTCCTCCCACTCCTAAATGTCTTGACACCCCTTCCCCCCGAAAAGTTTATTCTCTGCTTCCTTTCCCTTCTTTACACTTGTTTTCTCTCACTTAGGCATGTAATTAACTCCTGTAGATTCAATCATCACCTCTCTGTGGACAACTGAGACATTTTTTTGAGTCATCTTTGACTTCTTCCATTTCCCAAAGACCCAGTCATTAGGTCTTGATATTTCTTTTTTCTTAATGTCAGCTACACATGCCTTGCTTATCTTTCCCCAAACCTAAGTGGCTCTAGAACCAGACTGCCGGGTTGGAAATATAAGCCTGCCACTTACTACCTGTGTAATTTTGGGCAAGTGATTTCACCTTGCCATGCCTGTTTTGTCATCTGTAATGTGGGTGTAATAATAGTACCTACTGAGAAGGAAGACAGAAAATAATAATAGTGCCTACTCTCATAGAGTTGTGAGGCATAAATGACTTGGCTATTATCATTATTCTAGATTCCTCTCTTTCTCTAATCCCATCATCAAGTCCTGTTTTCTGTACACCCAAAATATATCTGCTTCTCTACATCTTCACTACCACCACCACCACCACATTCATGTCACCATTTCTCATCTGGACAAATGGATTGTCTCCTAACTTTCCTTCCTGATTCTGTCCTGACCCTCTGTTTTCCTCCCAGAAACCAAAGTGAGCTTTCTAAAAAAATTAATCAGATCATGTCGCTGTCTTGCTTTTAAAAACTCCCTTCTAATAGTTTCCCAATCCCCTTAAATGAAAATAGAAACTCCTTACTGTGGCCCTTAGGCTGCAAGTAATCTGGCTTCTGTCAGCCTTTCCAACCCTCACCCCTCTCCCTCACTTAGGCTTTAGCCACACTGGTCCTTGCGATTCCCTGAACATATGGCAGGGCTTTTGCACCTGCTGACCTCTCTGCCTGAAATGCTCTTCCCCGGACCGTCACAAGGTTGGTTCCTTCTCATCAATCAGATCTGGGCTCACCTGTGCCCCATTCTGCCTCATCTGCCCAGTAGGAAGGAGTCTATGATATCATCATCAAGAGATGTTTCTTCAAAGGCTGCAGCTCTTCCAAAAACACCTAGACTGTAAGATCCATGAGAGAAGGGAAGACTGTAGCTATATTATTCATTGCTACATCTCCAATTCCTAGCATAGCACCTGGTACATAGCAGGCCCTCAATAAATATCTGTGATAAATTTCCCCACCTTGCAGAGGTCCTTTTTCTGCATGTAACAATGCTTAGATTAGAATGTTCCACTCCCAGATCTTCCCACAACTGGTGCCTTCTCATCTTTCTGGTTATCAGGCTCAACTGTCACCTCCCAAAAGAGGCCTCTTCTGATCCCCCTGTCTACTACAGTGGCCACTCCCACCCTCTCTTTCACACTGTTTTATTTCCTTCACAGCATGAATCACACTCTGATTTTTTTGTTTCCTCCCCCCATCAGAATATAAATTCCATGAATTTCAGGACCTTGAATGTTTTATTCACTGCTCTGTCTCCAGTACCTAGAATAGTGCCTCCATGCATTAATGAATGAGTGCAGGCTGGAGATATTTGAGACTTGCATACTCCATACACTGCTGTTCTGTAACTTGCCCTGAACCCGCTTCTATTCAACAAGTTTACACTAAAACAAACAAAACAAAACTCCACTCACAGCAATCCTACTTAACTCTCTTCCAAAGTTCTGTGTCTTGGAAACCTTAAACTGTGGTGAGGGTATTGCCATTACTCCTGGATTCTGCTCCCCTGAGGCCACCATCAAGCCAGGCTGATCACCTCATATCACCCGTGATATCCCAAAGCAAAGTGTGGTTGAGTCAGACCAGCCACAAGCTCTCTCTAGACCCAAACAATCACAGAGCAGAGAATGACTGCGGCTGGGGGACAGTGGGGAGGGAGATTGCCATCACTGCTCAGAAAGTTCATCGGATGGAATCACAGGCCTATTTGGCTCAGCAAGCCAGAGACTGAGTTGCAGGGTACAGAACCCAAAATATGTTTCTAAGGATCTTCTGGCATAATCTCACATCTATTCAAGGAAGAAACTATTTTCAAACTGGGACTCTCAAGAAAGAGTTCTCTTTCCACTAAGGCTTTCCAAGGAGGTAGGGTTAAAACCTGGGGCTGCTGAGGACCATATTTGTCATCCAAAGCAGAAGCTTGTTGAGGATGAAGCTAACTCAGTGGAGAAATGGGAGGAGATGACTGAGAAAATTATTTGAACACCTGGATGCAGCTAGGTCTGAAGCCAACCTAGCTCTGGACTTTCCAGTAACAAAAGCCAATTAATCCCCCACTTTTTTCATTAAACCACTTTGAGCTAAGGTTCTATCACTTTATGTTTTTAGAGTTCTGGCTGATATGAGCTTTTTTTTTATTTTATTGTTTTTCTAACATTGCAATTATGGGCAAGACATTGTTCTAAGTACTTTACATGTATTAACTTATTTAATCCTCGTAACAATTCTATGAAGTAAAGTATCATTATTTCCTTCATATTTTTAGCTGTGGAAACTAAAAGACCAGGGAAGTAACTCGTCCTAGGGTACAAAACTGGTGAGTGGTAATGTGGGATACAAATCCTGTCCAGACCCAGGGTCTGCATACCTAACAACTACTGCCCCATTGCAGCCAAACCTATCTTAACTAAAAATCAAACTTTTTGACCCAAGGCACTACCATCTTGGAATGGACAGTGCCCACAGACCCTCTATTAGTCCTACCTGTTCTTAATCTCATCATATGCAAAATGAGGATAATGGTAGTTTACTTACCTCATAGGGTAGGTAAACTCCTACCTCCTATGAATACATGTAAAGCACTTAAACAGTGCCTGGCAGTTAGAAAGCATTCAAAAACCAGTGGTCATTATTATTATTACTCTGTAGGTCACTAAAGTGCAGCTGGCAAATACAATGCAAATGGAGGAAATCTGTCTTCTTTCATCTCTATCTTTTGGGTGAAGAGAAGAGATACCATGGGTGAGAGATGAGGAGGCTTTGTCTTTGACCCATTGCTTAAGCTGTTTCCTCTGCCTGGGGGCACCATCATTGTCCCAACTCCCATGGAACACTATCCAGCCCAAATACCACCTTTTCTGTGAAGTCTTTCCAAATAAAAGGCTCCCTCTCACTGCTGAATTTCTACAGCATATAATTTGTACCTCATTTTCTGCTCTGTACATGCCCAAGCCCCCTACTGGTATTGTGAGCTCCCTGAAGGCAGGCCCCAATATTTACCCTGGGGTCTCTGTTTCCCCTTCTGGGCCCTAGAAACAGAATCCCTTGAAAAAATGCCAAGAGCTCTGTGGAGGCTCCAGACTTAGCAGCTGAGAGGGGCTGCTAAGAGAAGCCAACCAGGACGGGTGAGGCAGGTCACCAGGCAAAGGACTTGGGGTAGCTCAGAATCAGGAAACAGCACAAAGAAAGTCCCTAAGACAGGAGCAAGTAGGGCAGGAGTAAAGGCAAAGGGTGCTGTGTGGAGAAAAAAAAGGGAGGTGAGAGGAGAGGAGGGGGCAGGGAAGGTGTACTAAACCTGAATGAGGAGTGAGATCTGAGGAACTTGGAGATTTCTGGCCAAATGCAGAAGGAAGAGCTGCTTATTCTCCAGTGATTTCCAATAACTTACAAAGAGTAGATCCCACCTTGTGGGATTCAGAGAAGAACAAGACACATCCCGTACTTTCAGAGTTCCTAGTCCAGTGAGGGTGAGTGGACAAGTACATTAAAATCTACAAGGTTGAAGGTGAGTGGTGTTCTAAGAGGTACAATGGAGGTGGAGGGGTCTTGGCAGTAAGACACAGAATGAAAAGACCTCCTGAGGGTGCCTCAAGGGGAGGGTGCCTATGTGAAGAAACAGATGGACAAGAAGAGATGGATATGTGTGTTCAAAGAAGCAGCAATTTAAAGAAGCACCAAAGGCTGGTAGTGGGCTGGAGGGGTAGCCAGAAAGAGAAAGCACTGAGGAAGATCTGAAAAGAAACCATTCAAAAGTAGAATCGGAAATAACTGCTCAGAGGATGGAGTAACCTTGTGGAGAAGCCAAGATCCTTTCAAGGTAGGTAAGAAATCTTTCTGGAGGATGGGTACTTCATAAAGGGGATTCCTAGGAAACAGGAAAGCAGCAGTGGGCAGTAGGGCACAGAGGCATACCCTGAGGCATCTTTCAGGGGGCTTTTAGTGAGGAAAAGGAAATCCTCCTAAAGGGCACAGGTTCTCAAACTTGCGTGTGCATCAAAATGACCAGGAGGGTTTGTTAAAAACTCTTGATTGCTGGGCCCTGCTCCCAGGTTTTCAGTTTCAGTAGATCTGAGTGGGATTCAAGAATGTGTATTTCTAACAAATGTGGCTGCTGCTGGGCCAGGAACCACACTGAGAACCACTGCTATAGGGGAAGGGATTATTTGGTGAGGAGGTCCTCAAAGGGGAGAAGGAAGAAGGCTTCTGAAAGGGAAATGGGGAGAATCCTAAGTCTCTAAGGAGGGTGTTAAGGGTCTCTTGATCTCTGAAGGGAAGAGGGGTCTATGAGCATGGCACCTAAGAAAAATGGTCTGAAAGAAAGATCTCGGAGCACTGGGATTTCAAGGGGGCGGGGAAAGGTGTCTCTCAAGAATCTTTACAAGGAAACATAGAGGCTCTTGGGCAACGAGTCTGGAGAATGTTGGGGACCTCTGAAGGGATAATGGGAAAAGGGGGCCCCCTGAGAAAGGTCTCTGAGTTGACTTCAGAGGAAAGAGAATGGGGAAATGAGAGGGTGTAAATAGCAATTCTAAAGTTAGTGGGTAAATCTGATAGGGTCCTAAATAATGTTTCTTGGGGATGTCAGAAGTGGAATCTGAGGGAAAGTTCTGAGGAAGTCTCAGGAAGCGCTGGGAGTGGGTGGCTGATGGAGGGCAATTTGGGAGAAAATTCTCTAAAAAGTGTCTGAGGAAGGTGTGGTCTTCTGAGACTGGTCCTGGAGTGGGATGACAGAGGGATGTTTTTAGGAAAAACTCTTCAGAGATCTCAGTTGAGGAGAAAGCTGAGTAAAGTCTCCAAAAGAGTATATGGGGAAGGCGGGGTCTTCTGAGAGAGTGTCAGAGGAGAGGGTTTTTCAGAAAGAATTATAGGACTTTCTCAGAGCAAGAGCTCGGGTTATTTTGGGGGAAAATTAGGTGTGTGTGAGGGTCTTCTTCAAGGGATTCTAGAGGATTTAGGGGACCTGTGTGAGCAAGTTCAGGGAGGGATATCTCTAGAAAAGTCCCTTAGTAAGGCAGAAGTATTGATTCAAGGGGTTCTGGTGGTGTCAGGAAGGTCTTGGAGGGATTTCAAGAACATACGTCAGGAGGGCTCCAGGGGGTCGCTGGGGTCTCTAAGCTGTGTGTGTGTGTGGGGGGGGGGGGTCCTGAAAACCTGCATATCAGAGGGGTCACCAAGAGAATCTTACGGTCTTACAGGGGTTGTGAGGAGGATCTTCAGAAAATTCCTCTAAAACCGGTCTGCAAGGGGGGATTCTGAGGTGTTAGTGAAGGGGAGTTCTACGGGATCTGAGAGAAAAACCATGAGGAAAGTTTTCAGGATCCTTAAACAATTTTTGGAGCGTGTGATGTGGGGGACTGGAAAAGATGTGGAGTATGTAAAAGGGATTTTGGAAGAAGCTTTTGGAATATGATGCTGAGAGTCCTCTGGAGATTTCAGGCAATTGCTGGAGATTTTTAGAATGAGTGGGGGTGGGGAAGGGGATCCCGGTGAAGATCACTGGGCTACATGAGGGTGATCTCTAGGGCATTTTAGGGTGGTGAGACCAGGGGGAGACAGGAGGCCTCTGGGGGAGACTTTTGGGATCTGTGGAAAGGTCCAGAGGGATACGTGAAGGGGGAGTGTGTATGAGAGATGGTTGCAATACGGTGGGGAGGGGGATGGAGTCTTCTAGGTGAGTTTTTGGGATCTGGGGGCATTTCACAAAGTCTGTGAGGAAGATTTATTTTGGGGATATGGGAAGGAGATCTTCAGGGAAGATGATCACGGTCCGTCGGGGGCATTCTGAAGGACTTCTGGGAGGGGGAATCAGAAATGCAGGGGGTATGAGCGGAAAATCTCCAAGGAGGTTTCTGGAATGGGGTAAGTGGGAGGGAAAATTCTTAGGATCCGGGAGGGGGAAGTCGGGTGAGCCTGTTGGGCTGTGAGAGGCAGGGCTCCGGGGGAGAGTTCTGGAATGGACAGGGGTCCGGAGGGAGCCTTGGGGAGGTGTGCAGGGCTCGTGAGGGAGGCTCCTGGAGCAGCTATGAGAGCCACGCTGTGGAATGGACGAGGAGTGGCCTCCGAGGACTATTTCTGGAGACAGGAGGAGGACGGGGGCTTCGGGGCCAAAGGGCGGGGGTCTGCGAGGAAAGCTGCTGGGACCCATGAAGGGCTCGAGGAGGCGACTCCACGGGAGGGGTGGGTTTTGCGGGGACCTTTCAGGGCGCACACGGGGGATCGGCAGGCTTTCCGGGGCTCTCCGAGGGGGATGTGCGGGGGGTCCTGAGGAGAGGCCCCCGGCCCGGCCCCTCGGCAATCCCGAGGGCATGAGAAAGATTTCGGAGGGAAGCTTCGGCCAGGGCCCAGGAGGGAGACTGGGGACGGGCGCGGGGCTTCTCCCGTGGGGCCCGGCCCCCCGAGGCCCGCGTTCCGCACCCGCCCGCCGCCGCCGCCCGCGGTTCGGGGTCCCTGAGGGGGCGGGGCCGCCCGCGCGGCCTGGGTCGCCCTGAGGGGAGCCCCGCGCGCCCCGACTCGCCGCCGCCCCGCGCCGGCCCGGCCCGAGACTCACCGCCTCGGCCTTCGCCGCCACCGCCGCCGCTCGGGCCTCCTCAGGCCACCGCCGCCGCCGTCGCCCCCTCTCGGGCCCGCAAGCTCCCCTCCCTCCTCCCGCACCGACCACCGCCGCCGCCGCCGCCGCCGCCGTCGCGCTGCGTCACCGCGCCGTGCGTCACCGCCCCTGGCCCCGCCCCGACGGGGGCCGCCGCGCGCCGGCATTAGCTCACGCCCGGGTGACGAACGGCGCGCCAGCCAACGGGCGGCGAGGGCAGCCCGAAGGGCGGGAGGTGTGAGCCGAGTAAGGCGGGGTCGCGGCGAGGGGGGAGCGACGGTGGTGGAACGGGGCCCAAGAGGCCCGCCCCCTCCTCGGCGGGATTGGTCGGACGTGGGGGTGACGGGCAGTCGGCCAGGCCTGGGGTTTGGGGCTGGGGGGCGGGGAAGGGGCGGGGCGCGCGGGGCGTTGCCCAGGGCAACGGGCCCGGCGGAGTCTGAGGTTGGGCCTCCAGGCCCGCAGGGGGCAGGCTCGCGCGCGTCCACCCCAGCTGCCCCGAGCGAAGTCACAGTTCCTGATTCAGGCGTTCCAGGCCTCCTCTTCCCCGCCCCTTGGGTGGCCCGCCTCACCCAAGGCTGTCCTCAGTGGGCGTCTGCACTCGGGCTTCTGGGCGCTCGGCTTTCTCATCGCGCTGTTCTCAGCCTTGCCGCTTGCTCTCTCCGATGGGAATGGCGAGGCGAGATCTAGCCTTTAGGGTGGGAAGAGAATGCACAGAAAGCGCTAAGGATCAAGGAGGCTGTCAATAAACGGGAGTTGTTGCTGTGACTTTGGTTGTGATCTGTGCGTTCCACAAACTGTATTGGGTCCGGGTGAACTAATCAGAGGGACCTGTGTTCAGAAGGCTCTCGGTGACAGAGATCTGGCTTGTTACAGGCACTTAGAGAGGCAGTCGGGATGGAGGGTCGAGTTGAAGACAGGGAGGGGTGAGGAACGAGCAGAGGCCAGTTGTTTGGCCACTTGAGGGAGTTTGGACTTGTCCCGAGGGCACTAGGGAGCCGTGAAGGGCTTCAAGCCGGGGAGGATCATGGTGAGTCTGGGGTTTTGGAGAGATGTCTCTCTGGCTTATACATGGAGGGCGGATTGGAGGGAATGAAACGGGATCGGGAGTCCAGGGAGGCAGCTGGGGGAGGGGGTGGGGAAGAAAGAGGGGGTTTGCACGAGGGAGGGACTGTGGGGAGGGAAGGAGGTGCAGGTGGGAGGGACGCCCTGGAGGCAGAGCGAACGGGCCCTGACACTGGCTGGCTATGGAGTGGAAGGGGGAGAAAAGTTTAGGACCAGGCCCCTCTAGCCGGGAGACTGGGCGCCAGAAGCAGGTTGGGAAGATACTAAGCCCAATGTGGATGCCTAGTAGCGAGGTCCAGGAGGTGCACAAACCCTGGGTCTGGAGCTTAAGGGAGAAATTGAGGCTGGAGACCAAGATTTAAGGATCGTCAAAGATGGTAATTGAGGCTGTGGGAGTTAGGGGTCTAGCCCGGGGAGGGTATGAAGGGTCACTGGAGACAGGGACTGAACAGAACCCTGAAACAGAGAGGCAGGATTTGAGCAAAGGAATTGACGCTGTCGATGAATATTGCAAAAGGCAGCCAGAGAGAGGAAAACCAGGAGAGTGTGGCATTATAGACGCTTTGAGGAAAGGCTGTTTCACCAGGGTGGGGCCATGTCACAAACCCCATCCACTACCTCCTGCATTTAAGCAACAGCCTTCACACTGCATAGAATTATTGTGCTCATTAACTGCTGGTTCATTAATTCATTCAATAATATTTCTTGACTATCTAATATGTGCCAGGCTCTGCTTAAGGTGCTAGAAACACAACAATAGGATGAGCGCGGTGGCTCACACCTGTAATCCCAGCATTTTGGGAGGCCGAGGCAGGTGTTCGAGACCAGCCTGACCAACATGGTGAAATCCCATCTCTACTAAAAATACAAAATTAGCGGGGCGTGGTGGCACATGCCTGTAGTCCCAGCTACTTGGGAGGCTGAGGCAAGAGAATCGCTTGAACCCGGGTGGCGGAGGTTGCAGTGAGCCAAGATCGTGCCATTGCACTCCAGCCTGGGCAACAACAGTGAAACTCCGTCTCAAAAAAAAAACAAAAAAAAAACAAAAAGACTTACATTCTAGTTCTTGGGGACACAAACAATAAGGAAATACAGTGTAACTTCGTGATAAGTACCAAGGAGAAAAAGAAAGCAGTGGCTGGGCATGGTGACTCATGCCTGTAATCCCAGCACTTTGGGAGGCTGAGGCTGGTGGATCACTTGAGGCCAGGAGTTTGAGACCAGCCTGGCCAAAGTGGCAAAACCCTGTCTCTACTAAAAATGCCAAAAATTAACTGGGCATAGTGATGCGTGCCTGTAGTTCCAGCTACTCAGGAGGGTGAGGCAGGAGAATCACTTGAACCCAGGAGTCGGAGGTTGCAATAAGCCGAGATTTGCCATTGCACTCTAGCCCAGGTGACAGAGCGAGACTATGTCTCTAAATAAATAAACAAATAAATAACAAGAAAGCAGCTAAGGGAATGGAGTAATGCAGCCAGAATTAATTTACATGGGGAAAGGCCTCTTTCATTAGGTGAGACTGAAACAGAAATCTGAAGGAATGAAGGAGAAAGTGGGTTCCAGAAAGAGAAAACAGCAAGTGCAAAGGCCATGTAGTAGGATCATTCACAGAACCACAAAGGGGCCAGCATTGCTGGAGTGGAGTGAGCAAAAGAGGGCAGTGAAGGACAAGGTCCAAGAGGCAATGGGGTAGGGGTGGTGACAGATAACTTAGTATTTTAGTCATTGTTGGTGTGTGTGTGTGTGTGTGTGTGTGTGTGTGTGGGGGGGGGGGGCAGGGTCTCACTCTGTTGCCCAGACTGGATTGTAGTGGTGCGATCGCGGCTCACTGCAACCTCGGCTCACTGCAACCCCTGCCTCCTGGGTTCAAGTGATTCTCCTGCCTCAGCCTCTGGAGTAGCTGGAACTACAGCCGTATGCCATCAAACCTGGCTAAGTTTTGTATTTTTAGTAGAGATGGGGTTTCACCATGTTGCCCAGGCTGGTCTTGAACTCCTGGACTCAAGTGATCTGCCTGCCTCGGCCTCCCAAAGTGTTGGGATTACAGGCGTGAGCCACTGCGCCTGGCCTGCTGTTTGGTTTTTAGAGATAGGATCTTACTCTGTCACCTGGGCTGGAGTGCAGTGGTGTGATCCTAGCTCACTGCAGCCTCAAACTCCTGGGCTCAAGTGATCCTCCCAACCTCAGCCTCCCAAGTAGCTGGTACCTGGGATTACAGACACATGCCACCATGCCCGGCTACTTTTAAAATTTTTTTGTAGAGACAAGGTCTTGCTATGTTGCCCAGGCTGGTCTTGAACTCCTGGTCTCAAGCAATTCTCCTGCCTTGGCCTCCCAAAGTGCTGGGATTACAGGCATGAGCCACTGTGTCTGGCCCATGGGAGGGTTTGAGACCAGCCTGGCCAACATGGTAAAACCCTGTCTCTACTAAAAATACAAAAATATGGCTAGGCGCGGTGGCTCACACCTGTAATCCCAGCACTTTGGGAAGCTGAGGTGGGCTGATCACGAGGTCAGGAGTTCGAGACTAGCCTGACCAACATGGTGAAACCCCGTCTCTACTAGAAATACAAAAATTAGCTGGTTGTGGTGGCGCACACCTGTAATCCCAGCTACTCATGAGGCTGAGGCAGGAGAACTGCTTGAACCTGGGAGGTGGAGGTTGCAGTGAGCCGAGATTGTGCCACTGCACTCCAGCCTGGGTGACAGAGAGACACTCCATCTCAAGAAAAAAAAAAAAAAATTAGCCGGGTGTGGTGGCTCACGCCTGTAATCCCAGCTACTTGGGAGGCTGAAGTGAGAGAATCGCTTGAACCCAGGAGGCGGAGGTTGCGGTGAGCTGAGATGGTGCCACTGTACTCCAGCCTGGGTGACAGAGCGAGACCCCTGTCTCAAAAAAAAAAAAAAAGAAAAGAAAAAAAGAAAACCAGGCAAGTGTGGTGTCATGAAGACGATGTTTCAGGGAACAGGGAGTGATGGGCTGTGTCAGATGTGGCTGAGGAGGAGTGAGAATTGACCATTAGATCCAGCACCGTGGAGTGCATGGGTGACCTTGACAAGGGCATGTCAGCTGAGAGGAATACAGGTGAAAGGCTGATTGGAGAAGGCAGAAGAGAAAACTGGGAGGAGAAATTGGAGGCAGCAATGTAGATTATTCTTTTGAGAAATCTTTTTTTTTTTTTTGAGAAGGAGTCTCACTCTGTCACCCAGGCTAGAGTGCAGTGGCGCAATCTTGGCTCACTGCAAGCTCCGCCTCCTGGGTTCACGCCATTCTCCTGCCTCATCCTCCTGAGTAACTGGGACTACAGGCACCTGCCACCACGCCCGGCTAATTTTTTGTATTTTTAGTAGAGACGGGGTTTCACCTTGTTAGCCAGGATGGTCTCGATCTCCTGACCTCGTGATCCACCCGCCTTGGCCTCCCAAAGTGCTGGGATTACAGGCATGAGCCACCACGCCCGGCCTCTTTTGAGAAATCTTGCAGAAAAGGGAAGGAAATGAGTGAGCAGCAGCTGGACAGGAGATACAGTTTTATGTTTTTAAGATGGAAGAGGCCAGACACAGTGACTCACGCCTGTAATCCCTGCACACCAGGAGGCTGAGGCAGGAGGATCGCTTGAGGCCAGGAGTTTGAGGCCAGCCTGGGCCACATAGCGAGATCCTGTCTCTATAAAAATCAAAAGTAAAATTGGCCAGGCATGGTGTTGCGTGCCTATAGTCCCAGCTACCTAGGAGGCCAAGGTGGGAAGGTGGCTTGAGCCCAGGAGTTGGAGACTGCAGTGAGCCATGATTACACCGCTGCACTCCAGCCTGGGTAACAGAATGAGACCCTGTCTCAAAATAAAAGAAAAAAAGAAAAGAAAAAAATTAAGATGGAAGAAGTAACACTGCATGGAGGCTAAGGAGAAAGATCCAGGAGGCATGGGGACGTTGGTGAGACAAGAGGGAGAGAGAGGACAGCTGCAGAGATGTAGGTGAAGGGGTAGAGTCCAGTGTAGGGTCCGGGGTTTGCCCACCATGGAGGGAAGTGGGCCAGTCACAGTTGGCCTAGGACCCTGTGGAAATTGTCTTTTGTTTGCTTTTATCTTCTCACTGAAATACATATGGTTTTTGTGTGAACTACATTCCTTTTATTTCTTCTTTATATGACAGTCAGGACATTATATTGATTTTTTTTTGAATTTATGTGTGTAAGTAGGTTATATTATCTAGGAATTTTATTTCGGGATGGGAAAAGGGGGCAGTGCAAAAATACTCAATAAAAAAAATAGCCGGGCATGGTGGCTCACAGTGGCTCACACCTGGAATCCCAGCACTTTCGGAGGCTGAGGCAGGTGGATCATTTGAGGTCAGGAGTTCGAGACCAACATGGCCAACATGGTGAAACCCCATCTCTACTAAAAATACAAAAATTAGCCGGGCGTAGTGGCACGTGCCTGTAGTCCCAGCTACTTGGGAGGCTGAGGCCGGAGAATGGCTTGAACCTGGGAGGCGGAGGTTGCAGTGAGCTGAGATCGCACCACTGCACTCCAGCCTGGGCGACAGAGTGAGACCCTGTCTCAAAAAAAAAAAATTGGGTACCGGTCTGACGGGATTGAACTCCCTTGTTGTAGGGCCTCATAGGTCATTGCAAGGCTAGTGAGGTTGGAAAAGTGCAGGAAAAAAGTCACCATTACCCAGGCACTGTGGGGTTGCCCCTCTGGTCCCCATTTTGCCATTGACATAATGGGCGTCAGTCTGACCAGCAAAAGACTAAACTCCCCTTTTCCAGCCCTGCAATTCAAATATCCCAGATGGGGGTAAATCTAGGAAGGCCACCTGGAGGAGGGGAGGAGCAAAATAGTTCGTTTTTAGTACCTATTGTGTCTGCCATGCTGGCAGCTATGTGAAGCTATTTATTTATTTATTTTTATTTATTTGTATTTTTATTGCCTGGGATAGAGTGCAATGATGTGATCTTGGCTCACTGCAACCTCTGCTGCTCGGATTCAAGCAATTCTTGTGCCTCAGACTCCCGAGTAGCTGGGATCACAGGCGTGCACCACCATGCCAGGCTAATATTTTGTATTTTTAGTAGAGATGGGGTTTTGCCATGTTGGTCAGGCTGGTCTCCAACTCCTGACCTCAGGTGATCCGCCCGCCTCGGCCTCCCAAAGTGCTGGCATTACAGGTGTGAGCCACCATGCCCGGCCGATGTGAAGCTATTTATATCCTCACCACAATCTCAAATCAGAGGGGTGAAGTTACTTAGCTAGGGTCACACAGCAAGGAAGCTTTGGAACCCTGGTCTGAGCGATTTCCTGACAGGTCCTGGCAGATGAGGGGAAGGAAGGAGGGGGAGGAGCCCTCTGTGACAGTTGTCCCAGAAAGGGCATAAACAGGATGTGGTGTTGGATGAAACCTTCCTCCTACTGCACAGCCCGCCCCCCTACAGCCCCGGTCCCCACGCCTAGAAGACAGCGGAACTAAGAAAAGAAGAGGCCTGTGGACAGAACAATCATGGTCAGGGGCCAGGGGTTCTATGGGAAGAGCTGGGGCTGGGGTTGGGGCTGGGGCTTGGAGGACACCTGGGCGAAGGTCAGGCTATGGGATGGAGGTCACGGGCCGGGAAGGGGGCCCAACTGTGGTGAACAGCCCGGCTGGAAGAACAGAGAGACAGTGGCTCTGGGTTTAGGCTCAGGAAGTGGATCTCTGCACCTCCTTGAGTGTCCCCCAAGAGTCCCCGTGGAGAAGGCGGGAACCCAGCCTCTGCTCCGCCCCCCAAGCTGAGTGCCCTGGTGAGGGGTATCTACTCTGTGGGAAGGGTGCCTTTTCTCAATGTTCACAAAGGCATCAGATGGGCCGGCGCGATGCTCCTCTTCATTAGTGGATGGAGAAACAGGTTTGGGGAAGGGGTGAGGGCTGAGGCCAGGCCATTTCAGCTCTTCCTGGGTCCCTCCGGCAGTCTGACTCCCTGGTGGTGTGCGAGGTAGACCCAGAGCTAACAGAAAAGCTGAGGAAATTCCGCTTCCGAAAAGAGACAGACAATGCAGCCATCATAAGTGAGTGACATCTTCCCCCACAGAAGGATGGGAGGGCGGTGGTGAGGGCAGATAGGGAGGGCTGGGCTTGTGTCCCCCATGGATCAGGGGGAGTGTCTAATCCCTGTGTGCCACCCCTCCCCAGTGAAGGTGGACAAAGACCGGCAGATGGTGGTGCTGGAGGAAGAATTTCAGGTGATGGGCTGGGGTGATTGGGACTGGGAGGTACAGGGTGAGACTGGGAGAACCAAGTGGTTGGAACTGATATGAAGAGCCTGGCATGGGGGTAGAAAGACCTGGAGATTGGCCGAGCACAGTGGCTCATGCCTGTAATCCCAGCACTTTGGGAGGCCGAGGCAGGTGGATCACCTGAGGTTGGGAGTTCAAGACCAGCCTGGCAAACATGGTGAAACCCCATCTGTACTAAAAATATAAAAAGTTAGCTAGGCATGGTGGTGGGCACCTGTAATCACAGCTACTTGGGAGGCCGAGGCAGGAGAATCGCTGGAACCCGGGAGATGGAGGCTGTAGTGAGCCGAGATTGTGCCACTACACTTCAGTCTGAACCACAGAGCAAGACTCTGTCTCAAAAACAAAAACAAAAAACAAAAAAACAAAAAACCCTGGAGATCAAGTTCTAGCTCACTCATGACCCCCAGCAAGAGACTTTGCCTGTTTGTGTCTCTATTTCCTCATCTGTGAAATGGGGAGAATAGTACTTATCTCATAGGCTTGTTTTTACATCCAGTGATTTAATTCTTGTAATGGGTTTAGAACAAGGCCTGGCACTTAGTATGTGCTCAATAAGGTGATGATGATCTTAATAATGATGATAATAATGCTTTATTGGCATTTAAATGAAAGAGTTTCCATATAAGTTAAAAAGCTAGCCAGGCATGGTGGCTCATGCCTGTAATCCCAGCGCTTTGGGAGGCTGAGGCAGGAGGATCACTTGAGCCCAGGAGTTTAAGACCAGCCTGGGCAACATGGTAACACCCTAACTCTACTAAAAATACAAAAATTAGCCAAGCACAGTGGTGTGCACCTGTGATCTCAGCTACACAGGAGGCTGAGGTGGGAGGGTTGCTTGAGGCTGGGAGTTTTGAGACCAACCTGGGCAACAAAGCAAGACCCCATCTCGGCTGGGTGCCGTGGCTCACGCCTGTAATCTCAGCACTTTGGGAGGCTGAGGCGGGCGGATCACAAGGTCAGGAGATCGAGACCATCCTGGCTAACATGGTGAAACCCCGTCTCTACTAAAAATTCAAAAAATTAGCTGGGTGTGGTGGCGGGTGCCTGTAGTCCCAGCTACTCGGGAGGCTGAGGCAGGAGAATGGCGTGAACCCCGGAGGCGGAGCTTGCAGTGAGCCAAGATCGTGCCACTGCACTCCAGCCTGGGCGACAGACTCTGTCTCAAAAAAAAAAAAAAAAAAAAAAAGACTCCATCTCTACAAAAAAAAAAAAGGGGGTAGACCTCACCCCCCTGGTGGCCTCACTGTCTTTATCAATAACAAGAATGATAATAAGGCTTATTTCTCTAGTGTTGCGATAAGGATTTATAAGGGAATCCATGGAGACTGGGGGCTGGGGCTCTCTCAGGCCCTCTGAAAGGCAGTATAGTGAAGCAGTTATGATTCGAACCCAGATTCAAATCTCAACTCTGCTGCTTTCTATCTGTGCAATCTTGGGCAAATGCCTTAACACCTCTGGGCCTCAGTTTTCTCAGCTGTATAGTGGGCATAATGATGGGACCTACCCCACAGACTTACGGGATAGTTGCATGAATTAATCCATGTGTGTTTCATAGAACGATGCCTTGGCACATGGTAAGTGCTCACCTAAAGGTGGTCATTCTTTTTTTTTTTTTTTTTTTTGAGACGGAGTTTCGATCTTTTTTGCTCAGGCTGGAGTGCTATGGCACAATCTTGATTCACTGCAACCTCCGCCTCCCGGGTTCAAGCAATTCTCCTGCCTCAGCCTCCTGAACACGCCTGGCTAATTTTTTTGTTGGAAATGGAGTCTCACTCTGTCTCCCAGGCTGGAGTGCAGTGGCGCGATCTCGGCTCACTGCAACCTCTGCATCCCGGATTCAAGCAATTCTCCTGCCTCAGCCTCTCGAGTAGCTGGGACTACAGGTGCATGCCACCATGCCTGGCTAATTTTCTGTATTTTTAGTAGAGACGGGTTTCACCCTGTTAGCCAGGATGGTCTGAATGATTTCCTGACCTTGTGATCCGCCTGCCTCGGCCTCCCAAAGTGCTGGGATTACAGGTGTGAGCCACTGCGCCCTGCCTCATTCTTTGTCTTTTCTTCTGTTTTCTTGCCTCAGAACATTTCCCCAGAGGAGCTCAAAATGGAGTTGCCGGAGAGACAGCCCAGGTATCCTGGGGGAAGAAAGGGTTGGATCAGGCCATGAGGGGAGGGGTGATGTTGGAGGTATAGGCTAAGGGACTGCTGGAGTTCCAGCCCTATTCATGGACTTTGAATCTCTGTGTTTGGCCGAGTGAGGTGGCTCATCCCTGTAATCCCAGCACTTTGGGAGGTCAAGGAGGGTGGATCACTTGAGGTCAGGAGTTCAAGACTAGCCTGACCAACATGGTGAAATCCCGTCTCTACTAAAAATACAAAAATTAACTGGGCGTGGTGGCATGTGACTGTAATCCCAGCTACTTGGGAGGCTGAGGCACGAGAATCGCTTGAACCTGGCAGGCAGAGGCTGCAGTGAGCTGAGATCACACCACTGCACTCCAGCCTGGGTGACACAGCGAGACTCTATCTCAAAAAAAAAAAAAAAAAAAAGAATCTCTGTGTTTGAGGCCAAGAGTTCATACTCTAGAACTTTTTGTTTGTATAGCAATATTTTATTGCAGAATTTTATACCGATTATTTATGATACCGGTTTAAGAGTCTTTTTTTTTTTTTTGTACAAACTTTGTTGAGTTTTTGTTTCAACATTACGCTGGCATCATTTTTTAAAAATGAAATTTTGGCCAGGTACTATGACTCCCACCTGTAATCTCAGCCCTTTGGGAGCCTGAGGCGGGAGGATCACCTGAGGCCAGGAGTTCGAGACTAGCCTGGGCAACATAGCAAGACCTTGTCTCTATTTTTTTTTTTTTTTTGTTAGAGACAGAGTCTCGCTCTGTTGCCCAGGTTGGAGTGCAGTGGCGCGATCTTGACTCACTGCAACCTCCGCCTCCTGGGTTCAAGCGATTCTCTGGCCTCAGCCTCCTGAGTAGCTGGGATTACAGGGGCCCACCACCATGTCTGGATAATTTTTGTATTTTTAGTAGAGACATGTTGGCCAGGCTGGTCTCGAACTCCTAACCTCAGGTGATCCCTGCTTCGGCCTCCCAAAGTGCTGGGATTACAGGCGTGAGCCACCGCGCCTGGTGGAGGACCTTGTCTCTATTAAAAAAAAAAAAAATTAGCCAGGCATGGTGGCATGTGCCTGTGGTTCCAGCTACTTGGGAGGCTGATGTCGGGGGTCAGTTGAGTTCAGGAAGCTGAGGCTGCAAGTGAGCCAAGATAGCACCCCTGTACTCCAGCCTGGGTGACAGAGCAAGACCCTGTCTCAAAAAAACAAAAAAAGAAATTTTCCTTCTTTTTCAATGTTTGGGAACACTTTAGGTAGCAAACAAATTAATTATTATTATTGTTATTTTATTAAAAAAATTTTTAGAGACAGGGTCTCACTGTGTCACCCAGGCTATTGGGCAGTGCTGTGATCCTGGCTCACTGTAGCCTCTAACTCCTGGGCTCAAGCCATCCTCCTGCCTCAGCCTCCCAAGTAACTGGGACTACAGGCACTGCCACTGCACCCTGCTAAAGGAATGACTCGACTTTTAACTATCAGGTAGAATCCTGGGCGAAGTCACATGAGCCTGGTGCTTTTTTTGGTGGAAGAGCTCTTTGACTATTTCTGTGAAAACTGGTCTGCTAAGATTTTTCATCTTGACTGAATTCATTTTGGGTCTCTAGGATTAGAGGCTGTAGGACTCAACAAGGACCAGCTTCATGGGCATATGATAATTGCACAGGGCCCCGCACCCAGGAGGGGGCCTCACACATGGGGGTTAACGGTCACCTTCTTTATAGTTTTATCTTTGAATTTCTGTTTTGTATGAAGTCAGATGGGACAATGGACTTCACACAAATGTGCTGGGGTTTGGAGCTAGGTTCACAGGCAGTCCACCACCTGGCTGCCTCCCTGAACAGGTTCTCAGCCACCCACTCTCTGCACCCACCCAGTGACCGCTGCTGTCCTTGGGTTTCCTGCTGGTGTAGGGAGGGTCAGGGTCCAGAAGGCACCCCTTGCCTGACAAGTTACAGGGTGTTCCTGTGAGCATCTGCACTCTGCCTGCGCATATCCTCATGCCCGAGGGAGCACGACTTTAAATAGCAAACTAAAAAAGACAGGCTGAGCGCAGTGGCTCACACCTGTAATCTCAGCACTTTGGGAGTCTGAGGTGGGAGTACTGCTTGTGGCCAGGAGTTCAAGACCAGCCTGGGCAACATAACAAGACCCCCATTTCTACTAAAATTTTTTAAAAAAAGGCCAGGCGCAGTGGCTCATGCCTGTAATCCCAGCACTTTGGGAGGCTGAGGTGGACAGATCACTTGAGCTCAGGAGTTCGAGACCAGCCTGGGCAACATGGTGAAACTCTGTCTCTGCAAAAAACACAAAAAACATTAGCTGGATGTGGTGGCACGCCCCTGTAATCTCAGCTACTTGGGGGGCTGAGGCAGGAGGATCACCTGAACCTGGGAGGTCGAGGCTGCAATGAGCTGAGACCACGTCCCTGTACTCCAACCTGGGTGACAAAGTGAGACCCTGTCTCAAAAAAAAAAAAAAAAAAATTAGCTGGGCATGGTGGTGTGCACCTATACTCCCAGCTACTCTGGAGGCTGAGATAGGAGGATTGCTTGAGCCCAGGAGTTCAAGACTGCAGTGAGCTAGGATCGCACCATTGCACTCCAGCCTGGGCAACAGAGTGAGGCCCTGTCTCTAATAACAGTAAAAAAAAAAGACGATGATCAGTCTAGAGAGAGACTACAAAAGAAAGGAAAACAATTTTCCTGCTTCTTGAACAAGATGCCCCACATTTTCATTTTATACCGGGCTTGGATGATTCTGTAGCCATCACTGGTCACAGTGCACCTGGGGTTCAAGTGCACTGGACAGAATTGCATAGGGGGTGAGAACTTACACGCTGGCATTCACTTTCCCAGGTTCAAATCTCTCCCCTATCTGTAGAACCTTAGGCAAGTGACTTTGGGCCTCAGTTTTCTCATCTGTACGATGGGGATATTAATAGCACCTATATTATAAAGTAATTGTGAGTCAAATGAGCACTATCATTATTATTATTATTTGAGATGGAGTTCCACTTTTGTCACCCACGCTGGAGTGCAATGGCGTGATCTTGGCTCACTGCAACCTCTGCCTCCTGAGTTCAAGCGATTCTCCTGCCTCAGCCTCCTGACTAGCTGGGATTACAGGCGCCCACCACTACTCCAGGCTAATTTTTGTATTTTTAGTAGAGACGAGGTTTCACCATGTTGGCCAGGCTGGTCTCGAACTCCTGATCTCAGGTGATCCACCCGCCTCGGCCTCCCAAAGTGCTGGGATTATAGGTGTGAGTCCTGCGCCCGGCCCTATGATTATTTTTTAATCATTTGTTGTGTTTGAGGTCAGTACCCTGAGTCCCAGACATCAACCCTGGGTTCTCAGACTCAGCCAACATTTCAAGGCTGTGGACTCAGGTAATGGCTGTTAAGCCTGGGCTGCAGGCCAGAGTCCTGATTTTCAATTCCCTTTCACGGTAGGTTCGTGGTTTACAGCTACAAGTACGTGCATGACGATGGCCGAGTGTCCTACCCTTTGTGTTTCATCTTCTCCAGCCCTGTGGGTGAGACACAGCTCTACTGTCCTCAGGAGAGGGTCTTCGATTCTGTGTGTGTGTGTTTGTGTGTAAATGCGAATGTGTGCAGGCACTTGTGTAAGAGTGTGAGCATGTGACAGCCTGTGTGTGACTGGGTGAGGATGTGTGTGTGTCGCACGCATGATGTGGGAGGGCAGTGAAGTGGAGGTGGGGGCTCAGATTCACCAAGAGCCCACCCGTTCTCAGTCCTGGGGCCTAAGCCAACCCACCTTTTCCTTTCACCTAGAAATCCCCGTCTGGCCCCTAAATCATCTCCAGAGACCCTCAGAATAACTTGAAGCCCCCAAGCCAACCTAGAAACTGAGTACAGTGCAGGGACCTCCTTAGAAGAGCTCCTAGGACCCTTGGCAAGCTGCAGGGCCTTCAGGACATTACTAGAGCTTTAGAGAACACGCCTGGGTCCCCACTGATGTGCCTTTCTCCTCTTTTCCACGCAGGCTGCAAGCCGGAACAACAGATGATGTATGCAGGGAGTAAAAACAGGCTGGTGCAGACAGCAGAGCTCACAAAGGTTCAGACTGGGATGGGGCTCCAGAGTGTTAGGGAGAGGTGGTGTGGGTCCTGGGTCTGAGGGAAGAGGGACTAGAGTCCTCACTGTCTCAGTGGTTTTTGTTTTTGTTTTTGTTTTTTTAAAGAACTGGGTCTCGCTCTGTCATCCAGGCTGGAGTGCAGTGGCACAACCTCGGCTCACTGCAACCTCCTCCTCCTGGGTTCAAGCAATTCTCCTGCCTCAGCCTCCCAAGTAGTGGGACGACAGGCACACGCCACCACACCTGGCTACTTTTTGTATTTTTAGTAGAGTCAGGGTTTCACCATATTGGCCAGGCTGGTCTCGAACTCCTGACCTTAAGTGATCCACCCACCTCAGCCTCCCAAAGTGCTCTCTTACAGGTGAGCCACCGTGCCCAGCCACTGTCTCAGTGTTTGAGTAGATCATAATGCCGAGACCTCTCTCTGCCCAGGTGTTCGAAATCCGCACCACTGATGACCTCACTGAGGCCTGGCTCCAAGAAAAGTTGTCTTTCTTTCGTTGATCTCTGGGCTGGGGACTGAATTCCTGATGTCTGAGTCCTCAAGGTGACTGGGGACTTGGAACCCCTAGGACCTGAACAACCAAGACTTTAAATAAATTTTAAAATGCAAAAACTCGGAGATCCTCAGTTTGGACTCAGTTTCTGCCTCTTCTGGGCTCTAGCCGACGGTTCCTGCAGTACGAGGCTTGGGCCAGCAGGGGGCGGGCTGACCTAGAGGAATGCGAGCTGGGTCCCGGGAGGGAAGGAGGATACCTCTTTCTTAGAAAGAAAGGGAAGGGCCTGAAGGATTTCCTTGGGGGGTGGGGGACGGATGGGCGAGGCCTGGGTCTCCTGGAGGTATTGGGGAAATATCTGGATCTACAGAGCGGTCACTCCCAAGGGGAACAAGGACCCCTGAGAATAAAGGAGGCAAAGTGCCCGTTTCCTCCCCCACTCCCCACCTCTGGGGGGTAGGAGGCATCACCGAATGCGACTTTTCTCAGCTGAGCCCTTAGATAGGAAGAATTTAAAGGCCGAAGAGGTTTGAACGTAATTGCTTCAGGATCTCAGGAGCTGCTGGGGGGTGGATGGTTTGTACGGTCAGGTAGGCCTGAACACCCAGGGCTGGGGAAGCTGAAGTCGATCCTGGGCCCTCGGTGGACTCCCAGGGGTGTGAGATTGAGGAGACAGGGAAGGGACACTTGCCCCCATCTGAAGATTCTTCTTTTCTTTTTTCTGGCATCTCTTGACATCGAACTTTCTCAGGCTTTCTGCGTCTGTCTCTGAGGGACATTGATTAAGTACCCACAATGTACCGGGCTCTGAGAATTCCGAGATGGGCAGGTCTTCACAGAGATGAATCACACCCTTTCTGTCTCTCTGCTTCTCTTCCATGTTTCTAATTGTTCCCCTCTCTGTCCCCGGTTTCAGGGACGTGGGAACTCCCTCCCCCCACCCCTTTTCAGGTTCCCGGTAGAGAGGTGGCTGTTGCCATGGTAACAAAGACATAGTGACCTTGGGCCTGGGCTGCCCGTTCCCCCAACCTTGGTGTTTCCGGGGATAGGGTCCAAAAAGCCCAGCTCCAAGCCCTCCCAGCCTTAACACACCATCCCCTTACCACCCCACTCTACCCTATCTCTTGCCCGCTCACCCCCAATCAGGGCAAGTCCTTTGCATGAGGGATTCGGGATAGAATCACTCTACACTGGTCCATAGAGAAAATTCACCCTGCCCTAAATTCTCTGGAGGGTTAGGTTGAGCTCCTCTGCCCTCCACTAGTGCTGTTTTCCTGTCCCTATCTCTCTGTCCCTCCCTCTGATCACAGGCCCAGTCCCTGAAGGCAGGAGATGGAGGAGGAGGAGGACTGGAGACAAGAGGGGTCATTCAATTAAATGGACAAGGAACTCCTGGCCTGCAGAGGTCAGAGAGGCAGAGGGACTCATCCAAGGTCATGCACTTACATGATCAAATGAATACTAATAGCTGACCCTCCTCTTGAGGGCTTCCTATGTACCAGGTACTTCTATAAGCAGTTTATAGGCATTAGCTTATTTAATTATTGCAATACCTCGTGAAAAAGGTACTATTATTCTCTCCAACTTAAAGACGATAAAAATCTGAGGCATAGAAGCCAAAGGCACCTGTGGTCTGTACAGTTAGAACTCTTTAAGCCCAGGCTATCTTGGGGGTCAATGGCCACACTCTCTCTTAGGCAAGAGACTTAGGGAACCTCCTCCTCCTCCCCGCTCCCCTCCCCCTCCCCTCCCCTTCCCTCTCCCCCTCCCCCTCCCCCCCCTCCTCCTCGTCCTCCTTGGTGGTACTCCCACCCTCCATAGTGGAACTTCTGTTTCATCCAGGCTTGTGATTACAAACGGTCCAATCAGAAAGAGCCATGCACAAGGACTTGCCCGATCAGGAGCAAAGCATGGGAAAGCAGGGGCCAATCAGAAAGGGTGGCTCACAGGCGCAGTCCAATGCAGAGGGAGTACAGCTAGGGATTGTGGAAGGACCAATCAGAGAGGCCAGAACAGACTGCACTATCCAATGAGGAGTCAGCACAATGGGACGTGTCTTCGGGTTTGGGGAGATTCCCTGGAGAGGCAGTACAAACTGGGGACCGCCTCCTCTAGTTCCACCAACCTATCCTATAAACGCCCACAGATCCAAGCTCCCTAAGTTTTGAGTCGGTGCCCTAGACTTGGGGGACTTCCTAACCTTGAAAGGGCCGGAATGGGCATTGCTTAGCTTTAAAAGGGCTGGAGTTTTTGCTTTGGGGCAGGGCCTAAGAGTCTGGGGGTGGGGCCTAGGCTTGGGGCGGGGCCAGAAGAATGGGATTGGTAGAGGGTCTGTATTAGGTTTGGGGCAGGAATTAGGGCTCCAGGGAAACAATTAAGATGTCTAGTTCAACCTGTTGCCCGTTTTTCAGGCCAACTCACACATTCCCTTACCTTATGGGACATTCTCCAGCTGCTGGGTATACCCTTTTCTTCTAGGGAACCTGGGCTAAGAGGTCGTTATTTATTCCTTCCTGTGGTCCCTGAACTGAGTCTGGAGCCAGACTAGATCCCCAGTCCTCTCCCAAGACGCATTTGAGAACACATGTTGGGCCAGGCACGGTGGCTCACGCCTGTAATCCCAGAGGATCACCTAAGGTCAGGAGTTCGAGACCAGCCTGGTCAACATGGTGAAACCCCATCTCTACTAAAAATACAAAAAAATAGCTGGGCGTGGTGGTACGTGCCTGTAATCCCAGCTACTCGGGAGGCTGAGGCCGGAGAATTCACTTGAGCCGGAGAGGCAGAGGTTGCAGTGAGCCGAGATCGCTCCATTGCACTCCAGCCTGGACAACAAGAGCAAAACTCCGTCTCCAAAATAAATAAATACATAAATAAATAAAAATAAAATAAAAAGAACACATGTTGTCTAGGTGCAGTGGCTCACACCTTGTAATCCCTACATTTTGGGGGGCCGAGGCTGGAAATCTTAGAGGCCGAGAGTGTGCGACCAGCCTGGACAACATAATGAGACCGCTTCTCTACAAAAAATAAAAAATTAGCTGGGTGTGGGGGTGCGTGCCTGTAGTTGGGAGGCTGAAGTGGGAGGATCACCTGAGCCTGGGGAGGTCGAGGCTGCAGTGAGCCATGATCACGCCACTGCACTCCAGCCTGGGTGACAGAGGGAGACCCTGTCTTTAAGAAAAGCACGTTTACTGAGTTCCTGGGTGGCAGTCACTATTCTGGGCACTGGAAGATGTTGGTGTCCGTGCCACTTCCCTTGGGAGGCTTATATTTCAATGACTAGACAGTAAATAAATAACAATAAATAGGTAAACAAGTAAACAAAATAAGAGGGTGACAAGAGCCAGGCGCAGTGGTTCACGCCTGTAATCCCAGCACTTTGGGAGGCCAAGGCAGGAGGATGGCTTGAGCCCAGGAGTTCGAGACCAACCTGGGCAACACAGCAAGACCTCATCTCTTTTTTCCTTTTAAAATAAAAATAAAGAGAGTGATAAATACTATAAGGGAAATAAATAAGGTGATGTGCTAGATAGAAATGGTGGCACCTGGTGGGGCTGTTTGTTGCCGCCAGAAGAGTCCTGCTTCCCCACTCCCTAACATTTACTATGAAACATTTCAAACATGCAGCCAAGTTGAAATAATTATATATATATGTGTGTGTGTGTGTGTATTATATATATATCTATATATATATTTATATAAAAGTTTATTAGAGATGGGGTCTCGCTATGTTGCCCGGCTGGTCTTGAACTCCTGGGCTCAACTGATCCTCCCTCCTCGGCCTCCCAAAATGCTGAGATTGCAGATGTGAGCCACCACGCCCAGCCTGAGTTGAAATAATTTTATAGTGAACACTCATATACCCATCACTTAGATGCCACCACTGACACGTCAAGGTATTACTTCATCATATATCCATCCAGCCACCCTTCTTCCTCCTCCTTCTCCTCCTCTTCCTCTTCTTCCTCCTCTTCTTCCTCCTTTCTTCTTCCTCCTCCTCCTTCTTCTTCCTCTTCCTTTCTTTTCTTCTCTCTTTTCTTTTCTCTTCTTCCTCCTCCTCTTCCTCCCCTCCTCCTCCTCCTCCTCCTCCTTCTTCTTCCTTTCTTCTCTCCTTCTCCTTCTTCTTCTATTTCAAAGTAACATCAGACTGCTGGTTGGGGGCCCAGGTAGGGATGGTGTGTGTAAATTGGGGATGGAAAAGGAAGGTCTCTTTGAAGAGATTACATTTAAGACCATCATGAAAAGAAAGAACCAGCAGCCATGGAAAGGGGAGAAGAGTGCATATGCTCAGGGGCTGCTGCTGTGGGCTGGTGTGTTGGAGGAATAGGAAAGTCATCGTAGAAGCTGAACAAGGGGTCGGATGCGGTGGCTCACACCTGTAATCCCAGCACTTTGGGAGACTGAGGTGGGCGGATCACTTGAGGTCAGGAGTTCGAGACCAGCTTGACCAACATGGCAAAACCCTGTCTCTACTAAAAATACAAAAATTAGCCGGGTGTGGTGGTGGGCGCCTGTGGTCCCAGCTACTCAGGCTGAGGTAGGAGAATCGCTTGAGCCTGGGAGGCAGAGGTTGCAGTAAGCCGAGATCATGCCACTGCACTCCAGCCTGGGTGACAGAGTGAGGCCCTGTCTCAAAAAAGAAAAGAAAAGTCATTGTTAAAACTGAAAGAGGGGCCAGGAGTGGTGGTGCACGCCTGTAAACCCAGCACTTTGGGAGGCTGAGGCGGGAGGATCACTTGATCCCAGGAGTTCCAGACCAGCCTGGGCAACATAGTGAGACCCCCATTTCTAAAAAAAAAAAGAAAAAAAAAAAAAAGAAGAAGAAGAAGCTGGAACAGAAGAGGAGAGTCGTTGGAAATAGGGTCAGCTGGGACCAGAGCTCACAGGGCCAGATTGGCTCTATGAATAAGGCATATCTCCCTCGGTTTCAGCTTCTTTCTTCTTCCATCTGTCTCTCTTATTATTATCTTTTTTTCTCTCCCTCTCTTTTCTACTCCTGTCCAGCCCAGGCCTACCCTCACCCTCTTTCCCCATCACCCCTACCCTGTTCTGCCACATACTATCTGTGTGACCTTGGGCAAGTGACCAAACCTCTCTGTGCCTCTATTTCCCTTATCCATAAAATGGGGATGGTAATAGGACCTCTTCATTTGGCTGTTGTGTAGATTGAATGAAGTGATAGATGTGAAACCCTTAGAATCATTTCTGGCACATAAATAGTGCTGTATATGTGTTCACTTGTGTTGTTGTTGTTATTCCTACCCCCAAGCTCCAGCAGGGAGCACTAGCAACCACGGTGGGAGGTGGGGATGCTGCCTGGGTGGTGGCGATGAAGGGTGGAGTCTGGAGAATAGGGGGATTGTGAGTGTCCCCAGGGACATCTCAGAGTTGCGCTTGGGGTTAAGGTTCACCAGAAGGAGTTATCTGCAGAGCTGAGCTTGATCTGGGGGATAGGGCGGGCTTCATGTAAATAATTTAGGCCAGGCACAGTAGCTCATGACCACCGTGGTCAGGAGTTCAAGACCAGCCTGGGCAACATAGTGAGACTCCATTTATAAAAAAACTAAAACAAAACCAAAAACAAAACAGCTACTGAGGAGGCTGAGATGGGAGGAACACTTGAGCCCAGGAGGTCCAGGCTGCAGTGAGCTGTGATCACACCAGTGCACTCCTGCCTGGGTGATGGAGTGAGACTCTGACTCAAAAACAAACAAATAAAAAAAAAGAAAGAAAGAAAAATTAGACTGGGTGCGGTGGCTCATGCCTGTAATCCCAGCACTTTGGGAGGCTGAGGCGGGCGGATCACTTGAGGCCAAGAGTTCGAGACCAGCCTGGCCAACATGACAAAACCCTGTCTCCACTAAAAATACAAAAAGTAGCCAGGCATGGTGGGACATGCCTGTAGTCCCAGCTACTCGGAAGGCTGAGGCAGGAGAATTGCTTGAACCCGGGAAGCAGAGGTTGCGGTGAGCGGAGACCATGCCAGTGCACTCCAGCCTGGGCAACAGAGCAAGACTCTGTCTCAAAAAAAAAAAAAAAAAGAAAAGAAAAAAGAAAAAGAAAAGAAAAATTAGCCGGGCGTGGTGGCGCACACCTGTAATCCCAGCTACTAGGGAGGCTGAGGCAGGAGAATTGCTTGAACCTGGGAGGTGGAGGTTGCAGTGAGCCGAGATCGTGCCACTCTACTCCAGCCTGGGTGACAGAGTGAGACTTTGTCTAAAAAAAAAAAAAAATTAGGAAAGGGGTTTAGAGGAGGACCTCTGTACAGTGGGATCCAAAACGAGAAGGGTTTGAGACCCCAGGAATCTGGGGCACTGCATGAAACAACACAGATTTTTAGGGGAGAAGTTGCTGGGTTTAGGGACCCTGTGAATATCTCAGAAAGAGAAGGAGAGTGGCCTGAGATACTCAGTGGGGTTTGAGGGAAGGGGTGGGGTTCAGCTATGGGACAGGGGATGGGCAAAGGGGTCTGAACTAGGAAGGAGCAAGGCATTCTGGGCTCTATGGAAGTCACAGGGAGGGGGGACTTTCAGGGTCCAAGAGAAAGAACTGGAGCAAGAAGGAGGCAGGGTCCTCAAGGGGGCAGGACTAGTAGGGGGTGGGAAAAAATTGGGGCTAATTGGGGAGTTTTGGAAACCAAAGGATGTCTTGGAGGAGAAGGAGAGAGAAAGGTGTAAGGTCAAAGGGGTGGAAGATGGTTTGGGGTCTAATGGGGTTCATGGGGAAAGTTTAAGGGTCTTCCATAGGGATAAGAGACATTTTAGGGCCCCCTAGAAGTTAGGCATGGTTTGGAGTTCATACTGGGGGTAAGGGAATGGGTTAGGGTCCTTGAGGGTAGAAGGACATGGCTGGGGGTCCCCAAGAAGGAGTGGAATATGATTTGTGGTTCTGGTGGCTGTAGAATGTGGTTTGGGTCCCCAAAGGGAGTCAGGCACCATCTGGGATTTGGCTGACATATGGTCTGAAGTCTCCCCCGATGTTAGGGTATGATTTGGGGTCCGTGAGGGAAGGGGTGTGGTCTGGGGGTCTATCTGAATGTTGGGATATGATTTAGGGTTGCTGGTGGGGTGGTCTGGATCCCCTTGGATGCTGGGATATGATCTGGGATTCTTCTGGGTTTGGGGGCATGGTCTGGGGTTCCTGACAGTGTGTGGGTCATAGTCTGAGGTCAAGCAGGAGAGCAGGGCATGATTTGTGGTCCTGGGTGGCCCTAGAACATCGCCTGGGTTCTCAAAAGAGGTGAGGCCTGATCCGAGGTCCCCCTGGGTATTAGGACGTGATGGGAGGTCTCTGTAGGGAGATCCGGGGTCCCTAGGCCAGTTGGGGCGTGGTCTGGGGGGGTCTCCGGGGAGGCCGGCGGGGCTGGGGGTGGGGCTGGGGAAGGGTCGGGGGCGGGCCCGCGGCGGCTCGGCAGTGGAGAGGGGTCTGCGGCGGGTTCGGGGCGGGGATCCCGGGTGTGCGACCGCCCCGCCCGGCCGCCCCCACCAGTCGGCGCCCCCTCCCCCCTTGCGGCGGCGGTGGCGGCGGGCGGCGCGGAGGGCGGAGCTCGGCTGCGGCTCGGGAGGGAGGGCGGGAGGCGGGAGGGAGGCGGCCCCGCGGCACCGCGCCCCCTCCCCCGGCCCTCCCCCCACCATGGCGCGGAGCGAGGCAGCGGCGGCGGGGCCGGGCCCGGGGCCCCCCCGGGCTGGGTGAGCGCGGCCTGCAGCGGCCCGGGAGCGGCGGGCGGGGGCGCGGGTGTGTGCGCGGGTGTGAGCGTGCGAGCGTGCGAGTGTGTGTCCGTGGCGCTGCGGCGGGCCCGGCGTGCGCCCGCGCGGCCCTATGTGTGCCCGGTGCCGGCGTGTGCGGCGCCCTGCCCGTGTGGCCATCGGGTGTGCGCGGGGTGTCGAGCCCGGCCGGCGTGTCCGGCTGTGCACGCGTGTCCCCCCGAGCGGCCGCCCCTCCGGCTGTGTGTCTGGGCGCTGTCGCGCGCCCATCGGAGGGGCTGTGTGCAGGTGTGTGTGTGCGTGGGTTGTGTGCCCAGGTGTGGGTCCCCCCCAAGCCCATGTGCGTGCGCGACTAGCTGCTCTGGGTGTTTGTGTCCGGGTTGGATGTCCATCCCCGGGTCTGTGGAGCCGGGTGTGCCCGCTCGGGTGTCCATTTGTGTGTGTGTGTGTGTGTGTGTGTGTGTGTGTGTGTCTGCGGGTTGTATGTCTCCGAGGGTGTGTATCTGTGAGTCCACGGCAGGTTGCTGGCTTGGGGGCTGAGGCTCGGCGCCCAGGCCTCGGTGTGGATTTGGGGGAGGGGAGTTCGCCGCTCCCTCGGTCCATGTCAACTGGGGGGTCCTTAGCGGTCCTGGGGGAAGCGGCCATGTCTTCCCCTTCCCGGTGGTTGCGGGGGGGGGATGGGCGGCCAGGAGGTGGACAGATGGAGGGGGGATGAGAGGCCGAGAAATGGACAGATGGGCCCTGAGGTGGGGGTTGGGGGGCGAAGACCCGGCCCTTCCCCACCCACTCCACCCTAATTCCCCCACCGGCCAGACATCTGCAGACGGAGCCAGAGTTACCTCCATCCTGATGGCCAGGCTGGGGAACCTTTGGGGCTGCTGGTGGGAGGATCTCCTTGAAACGGTGATCTAGGACTCAAACCCCCAAATCCTCTTGAGTTTCCACCTGCTGAACTCTGACCTCTGGCCTGGCTTTTGCCCTGGTTTTTTGGGGGTGTGGAGGGCAGGATGCTGAATGTGCTGCAGGGATGTTAGGATTTCTTGGGCCTGGGAAGTAAGTAGGTGGGGTGGTGGGGGGGTGCCTCAGGGCTGGGAGGAATGTGTGTCCAAGACTGTGTGAGTGTGAATCTGGGCCTGTCTACTGACTGTGCTACTGTGGTTCAGTATTTTCTATGCATTTGGAAGTGTGTAAATCACAGGACTGTTGTGTGAGCATGTGTCTGTTATGAGTGAACATCTTGGCGTGTCTGCAAAGGTGGATCTTTTTGTGCCTGTGTGCGTGTTCCAGTGTGGATCAGCCTCGTATCTGTATGCTTGTGGTTTTGTGTGTGTGTGTGTGTGTGTGAGGTATGTATCTGTTAGCGTGGTGCTGTATCAACTTTGCAACATGGAGATGTGTGAAGTATGAGTGTGTCTAGGCATTTAAGAGTGTGCACTTGTGTATGTTTGCACAGGTGTGTGTGTGTTTGTTAGATGTGTGTGCCCCTGTGTGCTGGTGAGTGTGCAAGGTAGATCTGTTGTAAATGCATGTACCTGGTTGTCTGTTAGGGGGCACATGAGTTTCTCTGTTGTATCTGTGCATTTGTGTGTGTGAACTTGCATGGCAGAGTCAGTGTTGTACATGTATTGTTGCATGCAGGTGTGTCAACCTTGAGGGTATGTATCCATCTATGTTGTGAGTCTGTTTGTGTTTTGGTGTTGGTCTCTGGGGGTTGTGTATGTTCAGACATGTATGTGAAAGACACATGTGTCTGTGCCCTGGCACAAGGCTGTCCCTACTCTTGGGTTCAGTGGGTTTGAGGCCCATGTGGCATGACCTCTGGTATACTGGGGTCCCGCCTGGGGTCCCTGGACACAGTGTGTCCATATGCCAGGCCAAGTGCCCATAGAGGGCGGAGGGCACACAGATCATGTTGCTATGTTCATAGAAATCCAGATGTAGAGACTTGGGTTGTGGGCTTGCGTGGGTTCTGACATGGACACACATGTTGGTGTGGGCAATAGTATCATGGCAAGGATGGGAAACTTTGGCCCTTCCCCAGCTCTTGGTACCGTTCAGGACTTTGGAGTTGAGGGGCTGGGATGTAAACTCTTGGGTTCTAATGGAGGGCCAGAGGTCTGGTCTGGACTCTTGGGTCAGAGGGAAGAGGGGGCTGGGGTTCTTGGCTCCTGAAACCCCAGAGGACAAAGGGCTAAAGTCCTCGACTCCTGGGCTTTGGAGGGTGAACAACCCTGAGGCCTAATCTAGGATTCCAGAGAGGACTTCTGGGTTCCTGTGAGACTATGCAAAACCCGCCACAGGAGGACTGAGAGCGTGATCACACCAGGGACTTCCTTGGCCGGGATGGTCTCCAAGGCAAGATCTGGTGCACAGAGAAGAGCCAGAACGATGCTAACAAGGTGGTTCTGTTCCTTTGCAGGTGCTGGCCCAGGCCCTGACTCCCTGAAGAGAGGTGAGTAGAGCCGTAAGGCTTCAGAGAGAGAGAGACATGGGGGGTGATGGGGCTTGCTGTCAGCCAGCTGGGGGTCTGGAACCCTGCCTCGCATGGATTTCAGTTCAGGGGATGACAGTTTCCTGAAGGACCAGTTGCCCACCACTCTGTCCAAGGCTGGGGAGTGGTGACAAGGTCAGGAACATCAAAGTTGGGTGAGGGCTTGTGGTGGCCAGGTGGCTCTGGGGAGCAGGTGGGGGGTTTCAGGCCAAGAGACATTCATTCTCAGGATGGTTAAGGTGTTTGGGAAAGCAAGGTTTCCTCATGATATCAGTAAAGGATACAAGAATATGTCAAGATATGAAATGACCCCTGCATTTAGAGGGTTGAGTGAATATGTTTGCCCATTTTGTATGTGCGTGTGCATGGGTGTGGGAAGATCTCCCGATAGCCTGACCTCCTGGTGGCTGAGAAAGCTGGAGAAAATAATAAATTAGTAATAATAATAGTAATAATAATAATGATAATAGCAGCAGCTCACATGTATATAGTGTTTACTTTGTCAGGAACTATTCTAAGCATGTCATAAAATATTATCTCATTAAATCCTCATAGCAACCTTATGAGGTGGGTGCCATTATTATTCCCATTTGACAGATGAGCACACCGAGGCACAGAAAGGGGAAGTCACTTGATTAAAGTCACACAGTGGGGAGGTGAGGTCTGAACCCAGGCAGTAGGGCGGATTCTGTCCTGCAGTGCTGCACCACTCTCCATAAATGTTAGCTATTTCCATTGCTATTATTATTCCCTCCATTTGAGTCCTACCCCAGCTGTCGGAGGCGAGGCTCTGGACTTCTGTTTCATAGACTGGGATTCTGAGCCCTGAAGACCCCACAGCCAAGCAGGGGCAGACTCAGGCTCCTAATTCTGGAGTCCCCCTTTCTAGGCCAGGGTTTCCAGTACATTGTAGAGTAGTGATCTAGAGGGAGTGAAGGACAGATTTGGGGTGAACTCAGAGATGGTAGGACACCCCGATCCGGCCTCTTTTTCCGCCTTCAGCCCGGTCATTGTCTCTCTTACTCTCTGTCTCTTTCCTCCTCTGTCTTTTTCTCTCTAATACTGTCTCTATTTTTCTCTCCATCTCTGTGTCTTTTTTCTGTGTCTCTCTCTTTTCTGTGTCTCATTCTTCACTCTCAGTTTTCTGTCTGTTCACCTTCCTTTCAGACTCATCTTTTTGTCTCTCTGTTTCTCTCCCAATCTGTCTCTCTCTCTTTGCCAGTCCACTTCTCCCTCCCCCTGGTCTCTCCTTGTCTCTCTTCACCTCTGTCTCTGACTTTCCTGGTCTCTGTCCCAGGCCCCCTCCCCACTGGCAGGAAGATCAAAGCCACCTAAGGCCGTAGCCCCAAACACAGATTCCTGGGAGGTAGGCCAGCAGGGGCTAGGGTACAGGGCAGGGTGGGGTGAAAACAGTTTTAGGGACGCCCCCTTCCCATCCTTTCCTCTTCACCCCCCGCCCACCCTGTGTTGTGATGGGAACTGACATGTCGTGGGCTGCAGCCGCCGCAGGGGGAATCCCTGCCGGAAGGTTTTGCCTGGAGCAGAGACATAGCGTGAGTGTGTGAGTGTGTGAGTGTGTGTGTGTGTGTTGTGTGTACCCAAAGATGTGAGCATGAAAGTCTGCCTTGCTTGGGAGCTCAACTGAGCCCAGGATGAAACCAGACCTCAGAGAAGGCCTTCCTGAGGCTGAACTGGAAGACTCTGATGTGTTTTCCTCAGTCCCTCCCACTTTGACACTCTCCCTGCCAATGCCAGAGGCGGGAGGGGGGAAACCCTTAACATTTATTGAGTACTTACTGTATGCCAGGCATGGTCGGTGGTACATGAATGAAGATGGTACAATTATCATCCCAATTTACAGATTAAGAAATTACAGCCTAGCTAGGGGAAATCATTGGCTTGGGGGTCACAGAGCTAGCAAAAGGGGAATCAGGATTTGAACCTGAGTCTGTTTGATTTCAAAGTACTTACTCTCAATAATAGGGCACTGTTCTATGCCTGGTACATATTAAGCACTTGATGATCATGATGATGATTGCTAACATGTAATAAGCACATTTTATATGCCTGGCACTATTCTAAGTATGCTATGTTCATCAATACATTTAATCCTCACAGAAGTAAGGCCTGTTTCTATCTCCCTTTTACAGATGAAGAAACCGAGAATCAGAGAGGTTCAGATACTTGCTGGAGGTCACACAGCTAGTAAGTATCAGAGCTGGGATTTGGAGCTAGGGAGTATGGCTTGGATAGCCAGGGCCTTAAACCATAGTTAACAGTGATTTTTTAGACAATTTAGTGGGTACTGGAGGGCCCAGGTTGGGCCAGGTGTCACCCCTCTGGTTGGGAGATCATGAGAGGTTTGGGAGCTACTACAGGAGGGGCAGAGGTGAGGGTGGGACACGCAAGTAGGGACAGGGGTATTCTATCAACCAGTATAGAGATATTTTTATTTTTATTTATGTTTTAAGATGGAGTCTTGCTCTGTCGCCCAGACTGGATTGCAATGGTGTGATCTCGGCTCACTGCAACCTCCACCTCCCTGGTTCAAGCGATTCTCGTGCTTCAGCCTCCCAAGTAGCTGGGATTACAGGCGCCCACCACCATGCCCAGCTAATTTTTGTATTTTTAGTAGAGACGGGGTTTCACCATGTTGGCCAGGCTGGTCTTGAACTCCTGACCTCAGGTGATCCGCCTGCCTCGGCCTCCCAAAGTGCTGGGATTACAGGCGTGAGCCACTGTGCCCAGCATGGAAGTGTTGTAATCTGTTGTTAATAGCTGATAGTGGCTTCCTCTCACCATCCTATGGAACCCAGCTGTAGGCGGTAGGGGAGGGATCCAGGCCTGACTCGTAGCAGGACATCCCATGGCGGCCAAGTCCCACGCCTGGGTAACCGGCTCCTTCCCCGGCAGGTCTCACCTCCCACCCCTCCTGCCTTCCCACTGCACCATGGCTCCAGGACCCTTCTCCTCGGCCCTCCTCTCGCCGCCGCCCGCTGCCCTGCCCTTTCTGCTGCTGCTCTGGGCGGGGGCATCTCGTGGCCAGCCCTGCCCCGGCCGCTGCATCTGCCAGAACGTGGCGCCCACACTGACAATGCTGTGCGCCAAGACCGGCTTGCTCTTTGTGCCGCCCGCCATCGACCGGCGCGTGGTGGAGCTGCGGCTCACCGACAACTTCATCGCCGCCGTGCGCCGCCGAGACTTCGCCAACATGACCAGCCTGGTGCACCTCACTCTCTCCCGGAACACCATCGGCCAGGTGGCAGCTGGCGCCTTCGCCGACCTGCGTGCCCTCCGGGCCCTGCACCTGGACAGCAACCGCCTGGCGGAGGTGCGCGGCGACCAGCTCCGCGGCCTGGGCAACCTCCGCCACCTGATCCTTGGAAACAACCAGATCCGCCGGGTGGAGTCGGCGGCCTTTGACGCCTTCCTGTCCACCGTGGAGGACCTGGATCTGTCCTACAACAACCTGGAGGCCCTGCCGTGGGAGGCGGTGGGCCAGATGGTGAACCTAAACACCCTCACGCTGGACCACAACCTCATCGACCACATCGCGGAGGGGACCTTCGTGCAGCTTCACAAGCTGGTCCGTCTGGACATGACCTCCAACCGCCTGCATAAACTCCCGCCCGACGGGCTCTTCCTGAGGTCGCAGGGCACCGGGCCCAAGCCGCCCACCCCGCTGACCGTCAGCTTCGGCGGCAACCCCCTGCACTGCAACTGCGAGCTGCTCTGGCTGCGGCGGCTGACCCGCGAGGACGACTTAGAGACCTGCGCCACGCCCGAACACCTCACCGACCGCTACTTCTGGTCCATCCCCGAGGAGGAGTTCCTGTGTGAGCCCCCGCTGATCACACGGCAGGCGGGGGGCCGGGCCCTGGTGGTGGAAGGCCAGGCGGTGAGCCTGCGCTGCCGAGCGGTGGGTGACCCCGAGCCGGTGGTGCACTGGGTGGCACCTGATGGGCGGCTGCTGGGGAACTCCAGCCGGACCCGGGTCCGGGGGGACGGGACGCTGGATGTGACCATCACCACCTTGAGGGACAGTGGCACCTTCACTTGTATCGCCTCCAATGCTGCTGGGGAAGCGACGGCGCCCGTGGAGGTGTGCGTGGTACCTCTGCCTCTGATGGCACCCCCGCCGGCTGCCCCGCCGCCTCTCACCGAGCCCGGCTCCTCTGACATCGCCACGCCGGGCAGACCAGGTGCCAACGATTCTGCGGCTGAGCGTCGGCTCGTGGCAGCCGAGCTCACCTCGAACTCCGTGCTCATCCGCTGGCCAGCCCAGAGGCCTGTGCCCGGAATACGCATGTACCAGGTTCAGTACAACAGTTCCGTTGATGACTCCCTCGTCTACAGGTGGGTGCGGGTGCTGCAGTCCCAGGGCCTCCTCCCAAGCCCAGGGGGACCCTCCCTCCCACCTGCCCATTCCCTTGGCCTTCTTGCTCAGCCAGGGTTCTAGATGGCTGTGAGAGCTGTTCCCGCCCTCCTTTGCCCTGTCTCCTCTCTCTATTTCTCACTGTCTCTGTTTTTCGTGCTTATAGAAAATATTCGCTGAGCACCTACATGAACCCGACCAGGGCTGGGCACTGGAGTCCTAACAGTGACTGAGCTCAGCATGAACCCTGCCCTCATGGGGCTCATGGTCGATATCACTGCTCCCCACAACAATCTGATTGTGCACCTCTTCAGTTAAACATTTTGGAGCATGAAACACACACACACATTTACAGTGACATTTATTTATTTGTTTGTTTTGAGACTGAGCCTTACTCTATTGCCCAGGCTGGAGTGCAGTGGCACGAACTCAGCTCACTGAAACCCTCCGCCTCCCGGGTTCAAGCGAATCTCGTCCCTCAGCCTCCCAAGTAGCTGGGATTACAGATACCCACCAACACACCCAGCTAAGTTTTGTATTTTTAGTAGAGACAGGATTTTACCATGTTGGGCAGGCTGGTCTTGAACTCCTGACCTCAAGTGATCCGCCTGCCTTGGCCTCCTAAATTGCTGGGATTACAGGTGTGAGCCACCGTGCCTAGCCTACAGCGACATTTATATTTATAAATTATATACCAGTACTACTGAACCAACACATTGGGTACATTACAGAAACAGAAAACAAAACGTATGAGAAAAATATGTTATTTCCACCCTCACTTGGGTTTGAAGCCATTGCCCTGGTGGGGACAGACCATACGGTGTCAACAGACATTTTAAAAAAAGAGTTATTTTCTCCCATCGCCTCCTTATTTCTCCTTTCACCTCTCTGTCTGTCTCTACCTTCTCTGCCCTCGTTAGGCACAGAGCCCCTGCTTTGTGCAAACTCCTGAGCTGGGTGCTGGGGACACAGGGAAACCACCCAGACCCTGTCCTCAGGGAGCTTATAGCCCAGTAGGTCGTGGTCCATAGTACACTATGAGTTGCAGTCCTGGCCTTGCCATGTCTCTCCATCTCAGTAGTTTTTTTTTTTCTTTTTCTTTTTTTTTTTTGGCAGGGTCTTGCTCTGTCACCCCAGGCTGGAGTGCAGTGGTATGATCATAGCTCACTGCAGCCTCAAACTTTTGGGCTCCAAGCAATCCTCCTACCTCCTGAGAGTAGCTGGGACTATAGGTGTGCACCACCACACTGGGCTAATTTAAAAAAATTTTTAGTAGAGATGAGGTCTTGCTATATTGCCCAGACAGGTCTTGAACTCCTGGGCTGAAGTGATCCTCCTGCCTTGGCCTCCCAAAGTGCTGGGATTACAGGTGTGAGCCGCTGCACCTGGCCCATCTTGGTAGTTTTTTAGTATGGCTCTCTGCCACAGAATTGTCACACAGTAGGCACTTGATAAATGGTAGTTTGCCACATGGATGTCTCTCCTTCTAGCTCTGCCTCCCTCATGCACATTGTAGAGCACCAGTTAAATGCTTCAGTCATCTGCTTGGCTTCACCTGGAGATGCCAGCGGGGCTGGAGCTGTTTCCCTACCTGTGGAGAGCCCCAGCTCCTGGCTGTCAGATCTTCACCGAGAAACCTGCCTCTTGGCCTCCATCTCTGCCTTTCCAGTGTTTTCTTGGCCATAGGTGTGGCACATAGTAGGTGCTTTCCCAGTGTTGGTTGAATGAAAAAAATGCCTCTTGGCCGGGCGCGATGGCTCATGCCTATAATCCCAGCATTTTGGGAGGCTGAGGCGGGCGGATCACTTGAGGTCAGGAGTTCAAGACCAGCCTGGCCAACATGGTGAAACCCTGTCTCTACGGAAAATACAAAAATTAGGCAGATGTGGTGGCACGTGCCTGTAATCCCAGCTACTCAGGAGGCTGAGGCAGGAGAATCGCTTGAACCTGGGAGGCGGAGGTTGCAGTGAGCGGAGATTGCGCCATTGGGTGACAGAGCGAGACTCCCTCTGGAAAAAAAAAAAAAAAAAAAAAAAGCCTCCCTTTTCTTTTGTCTCTGTCTTCCTCATTTCCCTCTCTTTTTGATTCTGGTCCCAAACACTGAGTAGATGCCTACTGTGTGCCCATCTTGTGTTGGGCCCTGGGCCTACTGAGATAGGTTAGATCCTGGCCCAGCCTTACAAACATGAGGACAAACAAATGAACAAAACACAAACCTTCACAACGAACTTCCAAGCTTGATCTTCCCAGCTCCGCTATGAAGGCGTGATGACCCCCTCTCCATTTCAAAGACAGAAAAACTGAGGTTCAGTGGGGGATGTCACTTGCCCAAGGTCACACAGAAAGTAGCAAAGCTGTCCTTTATACACTGACACACATTTGTTGGGCACCCACTGCTTGGAAGGGAGATGGATAATATATTTCTGTAAATAATTCTGAGCTTCTGTGACTCTCCACTTCTCTGTCCCTCTCTTTCCTTTGCTCTGAGCCATGGCCACCACATGGTGGGGTGGGGGAGGTTCACAAGCCCCCAGACCCTGCATGGATGCAGATGTTGATGGCCCCCTGTCCCCAGCTGGGCAACAGACCCTGGGACTCTTCTCTTCCCTGTAGGGCCCCAGTTCCAGTTCTCCAACCCCCATTGCAGATTCCTATGCTATGGTGCCGCAGGGGTTAACTTCCTCACGCTGTCATGGGCGGAGGTGGCAGCCAACCAGAAGCCTGCTTAGCTGCTTGCTTTAATTCTGCAGCCAATTAGAGACACTTGGGCTGAAGCTTTCTTAAGGAGCCAGCCTCTGTCCTTGAAAAGGGGTGGGGGAAGCCCCTAGCAACTGGCTATTTAGGGGAAGGAGCAAGTGGAATCCAGGGCTCTGGAGAGGAGAGATGAAGAGAGGAGGAGGAAGGCTTAAAGCCAGGGCAGCCGAGGGTGGCTGGGGTGGGTGGCAGTGGTCTTTGAAATGGCAGTCAGGGGTGGGTAGAGTGGAGTTGGAGAAGTGGGTGGACCTTTATGAAGGGGCGGGGCCCTGATTGGAAGTCTTTTGGTGGGAGGGTGGCTCTTGGTAGTGGGAGAACCTCCTGGAGGTGGGATGACAGAGGTGGAGCTTCAGGGCCAGAAGGTGGCTCTGCTGGAGGGGAAGCGGAAGCATCGGAGAGATAAGCAGGCCTTCGGAGGTGGGGATGTGGCCTGTCAGAGGGGGTGGAGCTTGTTCTGCATGGTCCCACGAAGAGGAAGGGGCAGTCCTTGTCTCCCGGGACCCACCAAGAGTCTTTGCTGGAGAAGAGAGCTTGTGAGGTTGCATCCTGGCCATGCCAATCAATGTGGAACGGGCAGTCCAGGTTTAGCTGAGGCTGGACATGGCCCACAGTGTGGAAACGATGTGCTCAACAGAAGAGGGCCAAGGCCTAGCAGGAATGGCCCTCCAGAGGGGTAGATCTTATAGATGGGAGGAATGCAATGGGCTGGATAGTGTGAGCCACAGCAAGGGTTACTGGCCAACACGAGGTGTGATGCAAGCTAATGATGATATCATTAAGTGCCAGGTCCTGGCTGTGTTAACTCATTCATTCCTCACACCATCTCTATGATGTAGGAATTATTATCATCCCCATTTGGGGAAAATGAGACACAGGGAGGTTAAGAAACTTGGCGAAGTTCGCCGGGCGTGGTGGTTCATGACTGTAATCCCAGCACTTTGGGAGATCGAGGCGGATGGATCACCTGAGGTCAGAAGTTTGAGACCAGCTTGGCCAACGTGGCGAAACCCCATCTCTACTAAAAATACAAAAATTAGCCAGGTGTGGTGGTGGGTGCCTGTAATCTCAGCTGTCCGGGAGGCTGAGGCAGGAGAATCACTTGAACCCGGAAGGCAGAGATTGCAGTGAGCCGAGATCGCGTCATTGTACTCCAGCCTGGGTGACACAGCGAGAGTCTGTCTCAAACAAAACAAAATGAAACAAAAGAGAAACTTGCCTGAGGTCACAGAGCAAGCAAGTGGCAGAGGAGAGACTCAAACCCGGGCAATCTGGCCCCCAGCCTTTGTCATCTTAACCACTTCTCTACACTAGTCTTCATTCGAGGGGAGGGGCCTACAGCAAGAAAGGAATATGGTGTGTGCTTGGCTACGTTTGACCCCTTTACGGAAGAAACTTACCTGGTAGCGTGATTTGGTGACTTCTGGTGGCACATGAACATATGAGGTGGTTGCCTTTAATATCTGGACAAGGAGCAGGGCCTGTAGTCTGGATGTGGCCTATACACAGTAGGGGAACCATCCTTAGTGGGCCATTGTGGGGTGTGCCTGGAAGCCACATTTCATTTGGTTGGGGAATGGCCTGTAGCAATGTCAGGGAACATGTAGTTAAGGGACTTGGAAACTGTTCCAGGACATAGACAAAGCTAGATGGTTTTTTTTTTTTTTTTTTTTTTTTTTTTTGGTTTGTTTGTTTTTTGAGACAGAGTCTCGGTCTTGCGGTCTTGTAGCCCAAGCTAGAGTGCAATGATGTGGTCTCGGCTCACTGCAACCTCCACCTCCCGGGTTCAAGCGATTTTCCTGCCTCAGCCTCCCGAGTAGCTAGGATTACAGGTGCCTGCCACCACGCCTGGCTAATTTTTGTATTTTTAATAGAGACAGGGTTACCATGTTGGCCAGGCCAGTCTTGAACTCCTAACCTCAGGTGATCCACCCTTCTTAGCCTTCCAAAGTGTTGGGATTACAGGCGTGAGCCACTGCAGCCGGCCAAAGCTAGATGTTTTACCCAAAGGTGCTGCATGCAGATAAGGGGGAGCGACCTGCATCATGGTTTTCCCTGAAAGGCAGGAATATGTATAAAAGAGGAACTAGAAGAGCATCCATTGTTCCAGTAGGAATATGACAGGCGCTGTGAGCTGACCTTAGTGTCCACCTGAGTGGGGGATGGGGCATGCAGAAAAGGGGAGGTGGCCAGTAGCGTTGGCCCAGTTTTGGGGTAGAAATGCCTAGATGAAGGACCTTGAATGGCAGTTGTCCTAGCAAGAGTGAGACATAGCTAGGGAGCATGTCCCTTGAGGGCAGGGCTTAAAAGCCATAGCACTTCTCCCCTGCAGGGGCCGGGATATGCAGAGGAGGTAATACGAATGATAGATATATTGTCCCAGTGGGTGATGGGACACAGCCAGGAGGTGGGTCTGAGGGCGGGGCATACAGATGAGGGGTGTGAAAGGGTGGGAATATGTTGATGGAGGCGGGGCTTGAATTGCTGCTGTTGTCTCAGTAGCGGCTGAGACTTCGATAGCAGGGTTTAGTCCCCACTGTTCACCATGGGCGGGGCATAAAGCGAAGGGGCGTGGTTCGGGGGGACTAACCCCGCCCTGAACCCGCCCCCTCCTACAGGATGATCCCGTCCACCAGTCAGACCTTCCTGGTGAATGACCTGGCGGCGGGCCGTGCCTACGACTTGTGCGTGCTGGCGGTCTACGACGACGGGGCCACAGCGCTGCCGGCAACGCGAGTGGTGGGCTGTGTACAGTTCACCACCGCTGGGGATCCGGCGCCCTGCCGCCCGCTGAGGGCCCATTTCTTGGGCGGCACCATGATCATCGCCATCGGGGGCGTCATCGTCGCCTCGGTCCTCGTCTTCATCGTTCTGCTCATGATCCGCTATAAGGTGTATGGCGACGGGGACAGCCGCCGCGTCAAGGGCTCCAGGTCGCTCCCGCGGGTCAGCCACGTGTGCTCGCAGACCAACGGCGCAGGCACAGGCGCGGCACAGGCCCCGGCCCTGCCGGCCCAGGACCACTACGAGGCGCTGCGCGAGGTGGAGTCCCAGGCTGCCCCCGCCGTCGCCGTCGAGGCCAAGGCCATGGAGGCCGAGACGGCATCCGCGGAGCCGGAGGTGGTCCTTGGACGTTCTCTGGGCGGCTCGGCCACCTCGCTGTGCCTGCTGCCATCCGAGGAAACTTCCGGGGAGGAGTCTCGGGCCGCGGTGGGCCCTCGAAGGAGCCGATCCGGCGCCCTGGAGCCACCAACCTCGGCGCCCCCTACTCTAGCTCTAGTTCCTGGGGGAGCCGCGGCCCGGCCGAGGCCGCAGCAGCGCTATTCGTTCGACGGGGACTACGGGGCACTATTCCAGAGCCACAGTTACCCGCGCCGCGCCCGGCGGACAAAGCGCCACCGGTCCACGCCGCACCTGGACGGGGCTGGAGGGGGCGCGGCCGGGGAGGATGGAGACCTGGGGCTGGGCTCCGCCAGGGCGTGCCTGGCTTTCACCAGCACCGAGTGGATGCTGGAGAGTACCGTGTGAGCGGCGGGCGGGCGCCGGGACGCCTGGGTGCCGCAGACCAAACGCCCAGCCGCACGGACGCTGGGGCGGGACTGGGAGAAAGCGCAGCGCCAAGACATTGGACCAGAGTGGAGACGCGCCCTTGTCCCCGGGAGGGGGCGGGGCAGCCTCGGGCTGCGGCTCGAGGCCACGCCCCCGTGCCCAGGGCGGGGTTCGGGGACCGGCTGCCGGCCTCCCTTCCCCTATGGACTCCTCGACCCCCCTCCTACCCCTCCCCTCGCGCGCTCGCGGACCTCGCTGGAGCCGGTGCCTTACACAGCGAAGCGCGGGGAGGGGCAGGGCCCCCTGACACTGCAGCACTGAGACACGAGCCCCCTCCCCCAGCCCGTCACCCGGGGCCGGGGCGAGGGGCCCATTTCTTGTATCTGGCTGGACTAGATCCTATTCTGTCCCGCGGCGGCCTCCAAAGCCTCCCACCCCACCCCACGCACATTCCTGGTCCGGTCGGGTCTGGCTTGGGGTCCCCCTTTCTCTGTTTCCCTCGTTTGTCTCTATCCCGCCCTCTTGTCGTCTCTCTGTAGTGCCTGTCTTTCCCTATTTGCCTCTCCTTTCTCTCTGTCCTGTCGTCTCTTGTCCCTCGGCCCTCCCTGGTTTTGTCTAGTCTCCCTGTCTCTCCTGATTTCTTCTCTTTACTCATTCTCCCGGGCAGGTCCCACTGGAAGGACCAGACTCTCCCAAATAAATCCCCACACGAACAAAATCCAAAACCAAATCCCCCTCCCTACCGGAGCCGGGACCCTCCGCCGCAGCAGAATTAAACTTTTTTCTGTGTCTGAGGCCCTGCTGACCTGTGTGTGTGTCTGTATGTGTGTCCGCGTGTAGTGTGTGTGTGTGTGTGTGTGTGTGTGTGTGTGTGTGTGTGTTGGGGGAGGGTGACCTAGATTGCAGCATAAGGACTCTAAGTGAGACTGAAGGAAGATGGGAAGATGACTAACTGGGGCCGGAGGAGACTGGCAGACAGGCTTTTATCCTCTGAGAGACTTAGAGGTGGGGAATAATCACAAAAATAAAATGATCATAATAGCTAACGCTTAGTGAATACTTACTTACTATGTGCCAAGCACTTAAGTCATTTAATTCTCACAACACCAGGACATATCGGTATTATTATCCTGTTTTCCAGATGAGGGAATTTTGGCCCAGAAAAGTTAAATAACTGGCCCAAGGTGGTAAAACTGGGATTTAAAAAGGCAGGCAGGCCAACTTCTGAGTCTCTACTATAGGGGTGAAAAGACAGCTTCCCCTTCACTCTCTGAAATTTCACTGGAATGGGCTGACAATAGATTAACAAGAGAAAAGGAATATGGAGGGTATTTAACATGCACTAGGAAAATCACAGGAAAGTGATTACCCAATAACCCAGTGAGGTTTATATACTTATATACCTTTCTTCACAGGAGGGGAGATGGGGAAAGGAAGGCAATTTTGAGGGGTAATAAATGATTTTGGGGAAAATAAATGGGTCCAGGAGATAGAATTTAGCTTGTAAATGTCTCTGGAATTTGAGACTGACAGACAGATAATTTCTTGTGACAAAGTCCGTCCAGGTGTAGACATTTCTCTGTCTTTTTTTCCTGTTAAAGATAATGAAATGTCAGGGAGAGGACAGAAGGCACTTGTGTTCTTTTTGATCTTTAGGCAGATAAGAAGACATAGGAGGAAAGCCTCTTCCAGCATCTATGGATCTCTAAGTGCCTTTAATTTAAAATAATCAGCATACCAGGGTGCCATATTTTGGGGTGACATTCCCTGAACTCCTTTAATACTCAACTAGAGCACTGTACTGCTGAGCAGTTATTGAATATTCATTCCACCCTCTGAGACCTCACAACTCAGTGGGGTAGGGTAGATCTATCCTTGGTCCCATTTTACAGACAAGAACCTGAACCACAGAGAGATGAAGTCACTTGCCGTAGTCCCTCCATCCCCCCAATGAATAAATAGCGGAGCTGGAAGTTTGATTGTACCCCTACACTATGCTGCCTCTGGGGTCTGTGTCCGGAAGCTGGGGTATGGCCCCCATGAGCTTAGCTGAGCTTGGATATCCACAGCTAGCCTGGTGAGCTCAGGGACAAGACCTCTTGTGTCGCTCTGCCTGGAATCTGAGGGACCCTGGCGGAGGGCATGGAGGATGGTGTGGGGAGAGGAGTTTCTCAGGTGAGGCTGAGGGCTGTGGCTGGGGAAGGAAAGCTGGTTGGGGAGAGGAGAGGGACAGACATCCCAGTCCTTGCAGGGGCCCTGCAGTGATAACACCTTCCTGATCTTGGGGAAGAAGGAGGAAGGCTTCTTGCCAGCCAGGGGCCCCCTGAGGCCAGGGGAGGAGGAGAGAAAGACAGAAATAGAAACGGAGCAGGAGGGAGGGGGATGGATCTAGGCAGACAGGGTGGGAGGCTGCTAGGACAGAGGCACCAGAGAATCACAGGCCAGGAGGCTTCCTCACCCAGGAGCCCAACCACCCTCATTTGTGTCAGTCATGACGACTCCTAGGTACTGAGGGCTTTTCACAAGCCAGGCACAGTGCTCCCAAACCCTCCCTGATGCACGGATAAAGAGCATGCAACCCAGTGCATGGCACATAATGCTTAGGAAATGGAGTTACTCCAATAATAAGTATGACTGCATTTAAAGCCTGCACAGGTATATGCAGTGTGTGCACACAATTTTCAAGATGAGGAAACTGAAGCTCAGAGAGGTTAAGGAGCATCTCCAAGATCACACAGCCAGTTAACAGCAGAGCCATGATTGGAAAGCTGACTGCCTCCAACCTGCACACAGAACCATCAGGAATCTTGTCTCTAATTCACTTGATAAAGCATTATTGAGCATGTATTATGTAACTGGTCCTATGTAGGGGCTATCGCAGTGAACAAAATAGATGAAACAAAACAAGAAAGCCCTGCTCCGTGGTGCCTATATTCTAGAGGGAGGAGAAATAAACAAATAAGCAATTAAATGAGTCCAGGAGGTTGAGGCTGCAATGAGCCCTGATTGCACCACTGCACTCCAGCCTGTGTGGCAGAGTGAGACCCAAAAAACAAGCAAACAAAAACGAGTAAATAATGCATGTCCAGTGGCAAATAAATGTTGTGCCAAGAATGAAAACAGGATGATGGCATAGAGAATGACTTTGAGGCCTACTTTAGGTGGGAGGGTGAAGGATGGTGATGACAGAGCTAAATAAATGCATTGTGAGAAAAGCAGGGAAAAGCATTCCTGGCAAAGGGAACAGCATGTGCAAAGACCCTTAGGAAGTAGTGTGCTTGATGTGTTGGAGGCAGTGTGTCTGGACTGAAGTGGGAAGAGTGAGAGGAGAGTAGGTGGGAGAAGCAAGTGGGTTCTACAGAACCTTGTGAGGTGTGGTCAAGAGTTAACATTTTATTCTTTGGGGCCATGGGAAGCCAATGAAGGGTCTTTACCAGGGGTGGTATGTGGTCTGATTTCTATGGAGACCCCAGCTTTGGGGTGAGGTATGCCTACCTTCAAAACAGAATTGGGGGTGGGTGCAGTGACTGACACGTAATCCCAGCACTTTGGGAGGCCAAGGTGGGAGGATCGCCTGAGGTCAGGAGTTCGAGACCAGGCTCGCCAACATGGTGAAACCCTATCTCTACTAAAAATACAAAAATCAGCTGGGCATGGTGGGTGCCTGTGATTTCAGCTACTTGAAAGGCTGAGGCAGGAGAATCACTTGAGATTACATCACTGCATTCCAGCCTGGGTGACAGAGTGAGACTCCGTCTCAAAAATAAAAAAAAAAAGAAAAAGTTGTGGGGTGATTGCAAAGCTACAAGGAACAGAGCTTTAGAGAAAGGAACCCAGACTCAACCCCACCAAGACACTCTCCCTACACAGCTCTCTTCTCTGCTTGGCTCAGCTCAGACTCATCCCTTTCAACTGCATGTGGCGGGGGAAAATGGTCATTTATTTACAGACACAGACTCAATCTTTCCAGAGCCCAGAGATAAAATGGCAGAATCTCTAGTCCTAAGAGAAAAATCTCAGGGAAGAGCTCTTATCGGCCTGGCCGAGGTCACATAGCAACCCCTGCACTGATTGCCGCATCCAAGGGAATGAATGGAATGCTTTGATTGGCCAGGTAGGGGGTGGGTGGGTCCTATGTCCCGGTTGTGTGTCCTGGGAAGTAGGGATTGCTAAATATTAGGTTGAACCACATGAACTTGCCATTTTTGTAGGTCACACATTGTATAGTATTGGCAATTTTATGTGGTTGAAGGTAAATACTCTCCAGAAAAAGTAGGATAAGAAATCTTGTTGGCTGGGTGTGGTGGCTCATACCTGTAATTCCAGAACTTTGGGAGGCCAAGGTGGGATGATCACTTGAGGCTAGGAGCTTGAGACCAGCCTGGGCAACATGGCGAGACTCTGTCTCTACAAAAATAAAAATAAAAAATTAGCCAAGCATGGTGGTGTGTACGTGTAGTCCCAGTTACTCAGGAGGTGGTCTTGAGCCCAGGAGTTTGAGGCAGCAGTGAGCTATGATTGAGCCACTGCACTCCAGCCTGGATGACAGAGCAAGATCTTAAAAAAAAATAAAACAAAGAAAGCTTGTTGCTGTAATATGCTAGTCTCAAAAAAGAAAAAAAAATAAGAAAGCTTGTTGAGCATATAAAAGCAATAGAGGCTGGACACAGTGGCTCATGCCTGTAATCCCAGCACTTTGGGAGGCTGAGGCGGGTGGATCACCTGAGGTCAGGAGTTCGAGACCAGCCTGGCCAACATGGTAAAATCCTGTCTCTACTAAAAGTACAAAAATTAGCCATGCATGGTGGCGGGTGCCTGTAATCCCAGCTACTCAGGAGGATGAGGCACGAGAATCACTTGAACCTGGGAGGTGGAGGTTGCAGTGAGCCAAGATCGCACCACTGCACTCCAGCCTGGGTGACAGAACTAGACTCTGTCTCAAAAAAAAAAAAAAAAAAAAAAAATATATATATATATATATATACACAAATATATATATATATACACACATATATATATATATATACACATATATATATATATATACACACATATATATATAAAATAAAAAATAAAGCAATAGAAACCCCGGTGTACTATGCAGAAGGATTTTTGGAGGAGGAAGTGATATTGTGGAAATGAGCCAGGTGAAGACTTGGTCGTGGGAGAGTGGTGGGAACTGTCCTAAGCAGAGGGAACCACTTAAGCAAAGGCCACCATGAGAGAGGACAAGGAAAACTTGTTACTGTGCTCTGGAGATGGAGTGCTTGCTCTAATTGATCAAATTGGAGTCATGTGTCCAGCCAAATGAGGGAGTAGGAAAGGAGGTCATTTCCGAAGGAAAATTGAAGCACTGTTACCAGGAGTAATGGATGCTGCTCAGGCAAAACTAAAATATATCCAGTTCAAAATCTCTTCTATAAAGCCTTGGCATCTCCAAGTAGAGATTTGCAACCTTGTTTTCTTCCATTGCAACATTCATAATTGAAGAGACTCATATGCCTGGGCTCAGACATGTCCTATATGATTAAAATTTTTATGAAATATTAATTGACCACATTCTCTGGGTTCAGTGCTGGCCATGCAGAGATGAATTTGTGGGGATACATTTGGCCACAAGAAACAGAAAAATCCAATTAACACGACTTAAGCAAGAAAGACATTCAGTTATGTCACCTAAGAGTAAGTCTGGAGTTAGGGGATTCTGGGGTTTGGTGCAATGGCTTATTAATATCAGCAAGGACCCCGTTTTCTACTCTTTTGTTCTACCTTCCTCAAAATGATAGCTTCACACCCTAAACTTGTTGCCTTGTGGTCACAAAATGGTTGCCATAGCTCTGGGTCTCACATCCTCATACCAATGAACTAAGCAGGAAGGAAGGGAACAAGTGGGAAAGAGTTCTGTTTGTATTAAGGAAGAAAAATATGTTAAAATAATAAGAGTAACAGCAACAAACACATGTATGGGGCTCCGCCTTTGCCAAGCTCTGTTACATTTTTTACATAAATTAACTTTTTTTTTTTTTTTTTGAGACGGAGTCTTGCTTTGTCACCCAGGCTGGAGTGCAGTGGCACCATCTCGGCTCACTGCAACCTCTGCCTCCTGAGTTCAAGCGATTCTCCTGCCCCTCAGCCTCCCGAGTAGCTGGGGTTACAGGCACGCACCACCACACCCGGCTAATTTTCGTATTTTTAGTAGAGATGGAGTTTCGCCGTGTTGGGCAGGCTGTTCTCAAACTCCTGACCTCAAGTGATCTGCCTGCCTCAGCCTCCCAAAGTGCTAGGATTACAGGAGTGAGCCACTGTACCCAGCATAAATTATTTAAGAAGCCCTTAATTTCATGGCCACCCTGAGCTGCGAGGGAGCCTGGGAAAGCAGGTATCAGGCAAAAGGGACAGAAATTCATGTCCTGGGCAGGGCACCATGCTGCCCCCTACCCAAACTGAGGTTCTGCTAGTCACAGACTTTATAATGTAGTGGGAATGGCTGTGAGGTTATGTGTAAATTTTTAAGACATTTACAAATAGCTTTTTTACGTTTAACTCCCCTTTCTTTCTCTCTCTCTCTCTCTTTCTTTTTTTGAGACAGTCTTACTTTGTCACCCAGGCTGGAGTGCAGTGGCACGATCATGGCTCACTACAGCCTCAACCTCCTGGACTCGAGCCATCCTCCTGGGACTGGGACTACAGGCATGTGCCACCATGCCTACCTAATTTTTAAGTTTTTTTGTGAAGATGTGGTCGCTATGTTGCTCAGGCTGGTCTCTAACTTCTGCGGTCAAACAGTCCTCCCACCTAGGCCTCCTAAAGTGCAGGGATTATAGGCGTGAGCCACCACACCTGGGAACATTTAACTTGTTTTTGGTTATCAAAGGGAGTGCTTCAACTTTTGCCCGTTGGTTGTGTGTAATTTCTGTGTATGGCTGTACTTCAGCCCTCTGACTCCTAATCAAGAAAATACTCAAGAGTGCAAAGGAGGCTGGGAGCCGTGGCTCATGCCTATAATTCCAGCACTTTGGGAGGCCGAGGTGGGAGGATCACTTGAGGCCAGGAGTTCGAGACCAGCCTGGCCAACATGGTGAAACCCTGCTTCTACTAAAAATACAAAAATTAGCTGGGAGTGGTGGCATGTGCCTGTAGTCCCAGCTACTCAGGAGGCTGAGGCAGGAGAATCGCTTGAACCCAGGAGGTGAAGGTTGCTGTGAGCTGAGATCTTGTCATTGCACTCCAGCCTGGGTGACAGAGCAAGACTCCGTCTCAAACAAACAAACGATACAAAGAAGTGAGAGTTATAGGATTATAAGAATGGAATTTTATTCTGAATCCCCTGTAATGTAACAAAAAGTCAACCATTCAGAAACCTTGGTGGAGCTGGTGTGGTGGCTGACGCCTGTAGTCCTAGCACTTTGGTAGGCCGAGGCAGGAGGATTTCTTGAGTCCAGGAGTTCGACACCAGTCTGGGCAACATAGCGAAACCCCGTTTCTGCAAAAATTACAAAAATTAAGTGGGGGTGGAGGCACATGCCTGTAGTCCCAGCTGCTCGGAAAGCTGAGGTGGGAGGACGGTTTGAAACTAGGAGGTGGAGATTGCAGTGATCTGAGATAGATCGTACTACTGCACTTCAGCCTGGGCGATGGAGCCAGGCGCTGTCCCCCTCTCCCCAACCCAAAAAAGAAACTCTGATGAGTTATTTTGGTAATAAATTTCTTGTGACACACCTCACAGTGAATTGTGATGGGCTGGTGGCTCTCTCACTGTTTCAATGATTTCTTGCCTTATAACAAACCCAACTTAGTGGCGTAAAACAAATATTATTATGCTCACAGTTTCTGTGGGTCAGGAACTTAATCAGGGCCCAGTGGTGATGGCTTGTCTCTGCTCCAGCTGGGACCTAGAGTCATCTAAATGCTTCTTCACTCGCATGTCTGGTTCCTGAGCTGGGGTGATTCAAAAGCTATACTGGGACTATCAGATGGAGTACCTATATGTGGTCTCTCTGTATGTCTGGGCTTCTCACACCATTGTGGTTAGGTTCCAGGATGTAGCATCCTGACCGCTTTTCTTTTCTTTTCTTTCTTTTTTTTTTTTTCTTTCTCGAGACGGAGTTTCACTCTTGTTGCCCAGGCTGGAGTGCAATGGCGTGATCTCCGCTCACCACAACCTCCACCTCCCGGGTTCAAGCGATTCTCCTGCCTCAGCTTCCCGAGTAGCTGGGATTACAGGTATGCATCACCACACCCGGCTAATTTTTGTATTTTTAGTAGAGATGGGGTTTCTCCATGTTGGTCAGGTTGGTCTCAAACTCCCGACCTCAAGTGATCTGCCCGCCTTGGCCTCCCAAAGTGCTAGGATTACAGGCCTGAGCCCACGGAGGCTGGCCTTTTTTTTTTTTTTTTTTTTTTTTTTTTTTTTTTTTTTAAGATGGAGTTTCTCTCTTGGTGGCCAGGCTGGAGTGCAGTGATGTGATCTCGGCTCACCACAACCTCCACCTCCCGGGTTCAAGCATTTCTCTTGCCTCAGCCTCCCGAGTAGCTGGGATTACGGGGTCATGCCACAACTCCCGGCTAATTTTTGTACTTTTAGTAGAGACAGGGTTTCACCATGTTGGCTAAGCTGGTCTCAAATTCCTGACCTCAAGTGATCTGCCTGCCTCAGCCTCCCAAAGCACTGGGATTACAGGTGTGAGCCACCATGCCTGGCAGTACACACACATACTTGCACACGTGTGGGCATGAACATGCACAGTTACGCACCTTTGGTTAGACTCAAGTTCAGGCAGACACTCATTTCCATACAAATACATACATAGTCACAGAAGTCAGGCACACACAAATATACACAACGAGTCACAAATTTTGCCTGCATCACCCAGACATCCACACCCAGTCACAGACCCACAATCACACACACACTCAAGGATTCACCTATCACAGAAGGTTCCAATTCCTTGTTGTTTATTTGTGCATAATGTATAAAAGTAAAACAATAAACTCAGCCCTATGTCTCAGTCAGGGCTGCAGCTTCATAAATAAAGGGTGAGAGGAAATAAATTAAGGAAGGAGTAGGGCTCAGCGCATAAATAAGGTGTGGGGTGTCAGGTGGACTCAGGGTGGGTTGACGTTCTCAGACACAGGTTCCCATCGGCCACATATTTGAGGTCTCGCGTGAGGAGGCGGAAGAGGTTGAAGGTGACAGATGCCTCCAGGCAGCCAGCGGACTCCTGTAGGGGAGGAGGGGATGGGTCAGGGGCTGTCCAGGGTCTGGGCTCCTATTGGCTCCCCAGACCCTGGTCCTTCTCTTCCTGGGTCACTCACCTTTTTGGGGGCCTCCTGGAGCCGGTGCAGCCAGTGGTGGAGGCGGCCCCGGGGCCTGGGCCCTGCTGTGGGCTGAGGCTGGATCTGTGGGCAGAAGAGGGCGGTGTGTGAGGCGGAGCCTGGGCCACCACAGGGGAAGGATGCTGCTCAGAGCCCACAGACCTGGGTGCCCGGGCCCCAAGGACTCACACAGGCCTGGAGCTGGGAGAGGATGTGGTGCAGGGTGTGAAGGGGCTGGTCTAGGACGTCCTCCAGGGCTGGGCCAGCAGCGGCCTCCAGGACCTTCAGCGTCAGGGCCAGCTCAGCCTCCAAGGCCACAGGGCGCTCCCTCACCTGAGGAGAGGTGAGAAAGAGCAGGTGAGGGAGAACAGGCAAGAAGACCCAGTTAGTGGGGACAGGTAGGCAGTCCTGGGGAAGGTCGGTGACACAGTGCATGTGGTGGGGACAGGTGAGGGGTCTGGGGAGAAGGAGACAGGAGGGGGAAGACATGAGGAAGGATACAGGTGAGGCAGGATGGTCAAGGAGGCAGGTGAGGGGATAAGTGAAATGGAGACAAATGAAAGGGGACTTACGGGGGTCACAGAAGTTCTCTGGGGCGGGGTGGGGACGGGTGAGGAGAAAGCAGGTTGGGGGCACAGTAAGAGAGGGACAGTTGCATGCACAGAGAAGAAGGGTAGGGCTGGGTGTGGTGGCTCACGCCTGTAATCCCAGCACTTTGGGAGGCCGAGGCGGGTGGATCACCTGAGGTCAGGATTTCGAGACCAAGCCTGGCCAACATAGTGAAACCCCGTCTCTGCTAAAAATACAAAAATTAGCTGGGCATCATGGCACATGCCTGTAATCCCAGCTACTCGGGAGGCTGAGGCAGGATAATTGCTTGAACCCGGGAGGCAGAGGTTGCAGTGAACCGAGATCATGCCACTGCACTCCAGCCTGGGCCATAGAGCAAGACTCTGTCTCAAAAAAAAAAAAAAAAAAAAAAAAAAGAGAAGGGTGGATGAGGGGGGAGCATGAGCTGGATGAATGTCAGTGAGAGATAATGAGGGACAGGTGACAGAGGCAGGTGAGAGGGAGAGGGGGTCAGTGTTGGGAACAGACAGGGAGAAGTGGAGCAGGACGAAAGGCACAGGTGGGCGACAGACTGGAGACATTTGGGAGAGAAATGAAGAGTGAGAGTGGAAGTGACAGGGACAGGTGAGCGAGCTAGGGAAGTGGGGCCGATGGGAGATGATAAAAGGGACCCAGGGGAAGGACAGAGTCAAGAGAGCAGTTTTGAAGTGGCAGGGGCACAGGACAGGTGAGGAGAGGTCCAAGAGAGTGAAGGACAAGGGAAACAAAGAAGGCTAAGGGGCCACTTAAGAAGAGGGGGGAGAGGGTCAAGGGAAGGGTGAAGGGGGCCTGACTTTCAGCTCACCTGGAGAAGCCTCAGGTCCCAATTCCCGGGGAAGACAGGAGAGCTGCAACTCCAGTTTTTCAGCTTGAGTGACTCTTCCTAGAGAGCAAGGGCAGGGGTTAGCCCACAGCAGGATGGCTGGAAGCTAGCTCATAGCAGCAAGGATGAAGTTGGCCTGACAGCATGGGTTTAACCCAGTGCAGAAAGGATAGAGGTTTGCCATAGTTGGAAGGCTAGAGGCTAGCCCACAGTAGAAGGGCAGTAATTGGGACACCCGTAGAAGTGGTTCATCCACAGCAACAGGAACTCACCAAGGCGTCCCTGGCCTTCTTGAAGCTCGCTAGCTCCTGTGGTGACAGAGATTTGAACCTGCCAATGTGGCAGCCCTTCCCAGTTGTGGTGGGCTTGGAAGTGGGGACAGGGCCTGCCACGGCCAAGCCTAGCACCAAAGTCACCAGCACCACGGTCCAAGCTGCAGCCATGGCTAAATCGCAACTGCTTCCCCAGCGGCATGGCTCTGCTTTTTAGCCACGCAAAATGGGCAATCCAAGATGATGTGTGTAAAGTGAAAAGGTAATTGGAAATGAGAATTTCCACTTTGACTTAAGAGGCATGAGTGGGCGGGGCCCGTCTGGGAGCCTGATGAGGGAACAGGTGTGGGCAGGGCCAAGTGAGCTGGGAGCTGCATCAAGAAGGAAAGAGAAACTGAAATCCTTAGAACTCCCTGGGCAGCTTTCAGCCAACTGGCCTCAGGGAGTCCCTGACGGAGGCTGAGATTAGGGATAAGGCTACCTGAGTGGCAGAGAGGAAGCTTCTTTTTTATTCTAAATTAGCCAGGTGTGGTGGCATGCGCCTGTGGTCTCAGCTACTCAGGAGGCCGAGGCATGAGAATCACTTGAACCCGGGAGGCGGAGGTTGCAGTGAGCCAAGATCGTGCCACTGCACTCCAGCCTGGGTGATGGAGTGAGATCCTGTTTCAAAAAAAAAAAAGCTTGTTTTTTATTTTATTGTTATTATTATTTTTTGAGACGTAGTTTTGCTCTTGTTGCCCAGGCTGGAGTGCAATGGTGCAATCTTGGCTCACTGCAACTTCTGCCTCCCGAGTTGAAGCGATTCTCCTGCCTCAGCCTCCTAAGTAGTTGGGATTACAGGTGCATGCCATCACGCCTGGCTAGTTTTTGTATTTTTAGTAGAGACTGGGTTTTACTATGTTGGTCACGCTGGCTTCGAACTCCTGACTTCAGATGATCTGCCTGCCTTGGCCTCCCAAAGTGCTGGGATTACAGGCGTGAGCCACCACCTTACTTTATTATTTATTTATTTATTTTTGTAGAGATAGGGGTCTCACTATGTTGCCCAGGCCAGTCTTGAACTCCTGGCCTTAAGCCATCCTCCTGCTTCAGCCTCGCAAAGTGCTAGTATTAAAGGCATGAGCCACTGCTCCTGGCCAAGAAGGAGCTTCTGCCATTGGTTTAAGAATGTCCCATTAACTAATTTCAGTTCATGCTCCTAATGTTTCTCTGAGTAGTTATTTTTATAATTGTGATGGTTAATTTTAGGTGTCACCTTGACTGGTTAAGTTTATCAGATAGCTGGTGATGCGTTAATTCTGGGTATGACTCTGGGGTGTTTCCAGAAGAGATTGGCATTTGAATCAATGGACTGAGTAAGGAAGACCCGTTGTTACCCAATGTGGTGGGCACCATCCAATTGGCCGAGGGCCTGAATAGAACAAAAAGGCAGAGGAAAGGAGAATTTGCTCTCTCTTATGAGCTGGGACACCCTGCACCTGCCCTTAAACATCAGAACTCCAGGCTCTTTGGTCTTTGAATGCTGGGATGTGCAGCTGGGCATGGTGGCTCACGCCTGTAATCCCAGCAGTTTGGGAGGCTGAGGCAGGTGAATCACTTGAGGTCAGGAGTTCGAGACCAGCCTGGCCAACATGGTGAAACCCCATCTCTACTAAAAATATAAAAATCAGCCAGGCGTGGTGGCACAGGCCTGTAGTCCCAGCTACTTGGGAGGCTGAGGCAGGAGTATCGCTTGAACCCTGGAGGCGGAGGCTGCAGTGAGCTGAGATCATGTCACTGCACTCCAGCCTGGTCAACAGAGTGAGACTCCATCTCAGAAAAAAAAAAAATGCTGGGACTTGCACTAGCTACCCCCTAAGTCCTGAGGCTTTTATTCTGGAACTGAGCTGCACTACAAGCTTCCCTGGTTCTCCAGCTTGCAGATGGCCTGTTGTGGAACTTCTTAGCCTCCCTAATTGTCTGAGCCAATTCCCCTAATAAATCCCCTCCTATCTCTCTCTCATCTATCTAGTCTCTCTCTCTCTCTCTCTCTCTCTCTCTCTCTATCTAGTCTATCTCTCTCATCTATCTAGTCTATATCTCTCTATCTATCATCTATTTATCCAAACATCCTATTTGTTCTGTCTCTCTGGAGAACCCTGACTAATACAATAATCATGCCCATTTTACTAGTGAGATAACTGAGGCATAGGAAGGCAAAGTGACTTGCCTAAGGTCCCACAGTGGGATAGAGGCAGAAATGGGGTATGATGAGTCCTATGTACTTGCTCCCTATTCCATATGCAGCCCAGGTAGAAGATGAGAACCTCTGGGGGTAGCAGGCCCACTTCTCCTTTCTGTCCCTCTGGGTAGCATGAGAGGGGTAGGGAACTCCTTATTCGCTGGGGGCAAGCGCATTTCCTGGGGACTGGAGGGGCTGCCTGGAGAGAAGGCAGGCGGTGAGTCTGGTTGCCTTGCTATCATCATCCCTGCAGTAATAGTAATTGTGTAGCAGGTAAGAAACTGCTCTGATGTGCAGACATTTCCTATTTTCACTCCTTTATTTTTTTTCTTAGCCCTTTGGTGCAGAAAGTTATTAATCATACTCTTCAGATCATAACACAGGATCACAATTGGCCCATGAAAGACCCTCCAAGGCTTTTATTCCTCCATTGCCAATTCCCATTCCCATCGCACCCCCACAGACACCCACTATAATGCACTTGATAAATAGCTGCAAAGATGTATCTTTATAATTTGTGATCTCGTGTGTGTATGTGTTTCCAATTTACATAAGTGGAATTGTGCTATAAATCTTCTACTTCTTTCTTTTTTATTTTTTAACTTAACACTGCTTCTGAGATCTCTTCACAAGCTGTGTACATCAAGTTTCCTGTGCACTGTATTTCATGGTGTATACAACCACAGCACTTTTACTTACCTATTCCCCCAGTGATGGACACTTAGGTTGCCTCTAGCTCCCCATTACCATAAGGCTCACACCTGTCCTCTGGGTGGGCGGCTTTCTGGAATATACGGTAGCACACCAGCTGATGCCCTCTACTGTATCCCCTCGGCTTGTGGATATGGTGGTCAGTTCCCACACAGGCTGACAGTTTCCTGCCTCACGTGCTTGGATCTTTCTGCTTCTCTGCTGGAGACCAAGGCCTTTCTACTGCCCACATGCAGAATGGACTGGAAGTAGCAGGATTGATTCCCCCAGTAGCAGTCCTCAAACAGTGAGGGCTGAAAGCAATGGAATAAATACTGCAGCTTCCCTTTCCCTTGGAGGGTCAATTCTCGGGCGACTTCTACATGACTCCTTGATCTTCTGACTGTCCCCAGAACAAATGACTTCTAGCTGCTCACAGCAGTAGCCTTTTTGGGGGCTGGAATTAGGGTGGGTCAAATTAGGGGACCAGAGTCAAAATTTAAGCAGGGGGCCAGGCGTGGTGGCTCACACCTGTAATCCCAGCATTTTGGGAGGCCGAGGTGGGCAGATCACCTGAGCCCAGGAGTTCGAGACCAGCCTGGCCAACATGGTGAAACCCTGTCTCTACTAAAAATACAAAAATTAGCTGGGTGTGGTGGCATGTGCCTGTAAACCCAGCTACTCAGGAGGCTGAGTCACAGGAATCGCTTGAGCCTGGGAGGCGGAGGCTGCAGTGAGCCGAGATTGTGCCACAGCACTCCAGCCTGGGTGACAGAGTGAGACTCTGTCTCAACAAACAAACAAACAAACAAAAATTAAGGAGGTGCTCACTCTGAGTCAGGGAAGTGCTCTAGGTGCCTCCCTCTACTCCAGACTCTGCACCATTTATTGGCTTTTTGCTCTTCCTGGCTCAGTTTCCCCACTCGCTTGTGCTTCTGGGAAACAGCTCCCAAATAAGCCACCTGCATCTTTGGCTTCAGGATATGCTTTTGGGAGAACCTGAACTGAAGATTGCTGGGTCACAGGGCATACCTGTGCTTATATGGTCTAATCAGTGCTGTTCATTAGAACTTTCTGCAATGACAGAAATATTGTGCATCTTTACGGTCCAATGTGGCTGTTAGGTATTTAAAATTTGGCAAGTGCAATGCAGGAACTGAATTTTCAATTTATTTCATTTTATTTAAATTTAATTACTGTATGTGGCTAGTGGCTATCATGATGGGCAGCACAGCTCTACATATTCATCCTTTGCTCTCCCAAATAGTTGCACCTGTATCCCTCTCTCCAGAAGTGCTCGAGGGTCTATATGCTGGCAATACTGTAGCCTCCCCAACACTTGGATCTGATTTAGATGATGAGATCCTGGGGCTTGCATCTGAGCCTGCCATAGTAGATGAGATTTTTGAGGTTGAGGAAAGACATGAGTCTATTTTGCATGTGGAAGGAATATAAATAATTTGTGGCCAGAGAGCTGACTGTTAAAACTTGTCTTTGGCCTGGCACGATTATTCATGCCTATAATCCCAGCACTTTGAGAGGCTGAGAAGGGAGGATTGCTTGAGCCCAGGAGTTTGAGCCCAGCCTGGGCAACATAGCAAGACCTCATCTCTACAAATTAAAAAAAAAAAAAAATAAGGGCTGGGCGTGGTGGCTCACACCTGTAATCCCAGCAGTTTGGGAGGCCGAGGCAGGCAGATCATCTGAGGTCAGGAGTCCAAGACCAGCCTGGCCAACAGGGTGAAACCCTGTCTCTACTAAAAATACAAAAAATTAGCCAGGTGTGGTGGCGCTACTCGGGAGGCTGAGGCACGAGAATCGCTTGAACCCGGGAAGTGGAGGTTGCAGTGAGCTGAGATCATGCACTCAGCCTGGGTGACAGAGTGAGACTCTGTTTCAAAAAAAAAAAAAAAAAAAGTTTAATCCCCAGTATGGCAATGTTGGGAGGTGGAGCTTAGTCGGAGGTGTTTGGGTCCTGGGGGCAGATCCATTGTGAATGGTTTGGTGCCATCCTTGAGGTAATGTGTGAGTCCTCACTCTGTTAGGTTTCTCAAGAGCTGCTTGTTAAAAAGAGCCTGGCACCTCTCATCTCTCTTGCTTCCTCTCTTGCCACATGGTCTCCACACATGCAGCTCCCCTTTGCCTTCCATCCTGAGTGGAAGCAGCCCGATGCCCTCACCAGGAACAGATGCCAGTGCCATGCGTCTTGTACAACCTGCGGAACTGTGAGCCAAATAAGCCTCTTTTCATTATAAATTGCCCAGCCTCAGGTATTCCTTTATAGCAACACAAATGCACTAAAACAGATATACAGCCCAGCTTTCAGGTCACCTAAACTATGGTGGGGGCCCTATCACCTCTAATTCCCACCCCACCAAGGACCCCACACAGCCATTTTTACTCTACTGCTGTCCTGGGGCCCAAGGAGCAAAAGAATTATACCTGCACACGTAGACAATTTCTTCTTTTATGTACAAATAGGCTTGTTTGTGTGTGTGTGTGTGTGTGTGTGTGTCTCGTTACAATTACTATGTAACAAATTACCCAAAACTTGTGATTTGTTCACTGTGTAAGGTGACTAGCACCAGAAATGTGTGAACAGAGCTCTGATTATTGCCTCAGCAATGACAAGATTAAAAAAGAAACCAGCATTTCATAATGTAATGTCTCAAAAGTCCAGGATACAAGAGAAAATAACTTGTTATACTCATCATCTCAAGAACTAGGAAAATCTCAAGTGGAATGGGAAAAGCCAATCAATAGATGCCAACACTAAAATGATACAAATATTGAAATTATTGGACAAAAATATTTAAAAAATTTTTATTTATTTGCTTTTTAAGATATGGGTGAAATCTCACTTTGTTGCTCAGGCTGGCCTCAAACTCCTGGCCTCAAATAATCGTCCCTCTTTGGCTTTCCGAGTAGCTGGGATTACAGGTGTAAGCCACCATGCCTGGCTCTCTGACAATAATTTTAAAGTAATTGTCATAAAAATGCTTCAACAAACAATCATGAATACTTTTGACACAATTTTTTTTTTTTTTTGAGACAGAGTCTTGCTCTGTCGCCCAGGCTGGAGTGCAGTGGCTGCAAGCTCCACCTCCCGTGTTCATGCCATTCTCCTGCCTCAGCCTCCTGAGTAGCTGGGACTACAGGCACCTGCCACCACGCCTGGCTAATTTTTTGTATTTTTAGTAGTAGAGACGGGGTTTCACCGTGTTAGCCAAGATGGTCTCGATCTCCTGACCTCGTGATCCACTCACTTCAGCCTCCCAAAGTGCTGGGATTACAGGAGTGAGCCTCTGCACCTGGCTGACACAAAAATTTTTAATAGAAAGTTTCATCAAAGAAATAGAAGGTATAAAGAATTGAGTGGAAATTTTAGAACAGAGAAATATAAGAACTGAAAAATACAAGAACTGAAGTAAAACTCACTGAAAGGGCCAAATAGCAGAATGGAGATGGCAGAAGAAAGAATCAGAAAACTTGAAGATAGGTCAATAGAAATTACTCATTCTGAACAACAGAGAGTAAGTAGCAAATAGATTGAAGTATGAACAAAGGATAGAAAGTAGATTTTTAAAAATGAAAAGAACTCCAGGGAGGTGGAGGTTAAAGCAAGCCAATATCGCACCACTGCACTCCAGCCTGGGGGACAATGTGAGACCCTGTCTCTAAAAAAAGAGAAAAGAAAAGAGCTCCAGGGACCTTTAGTACATTAAGTTTTAACACTCACATCACTGATGTTCTGGATGAACAGAAAGAAAGTGGGGACGGGCATGGTGGCTCATGCCTATGATTTCAGCACTTGGGGGAGCCAAGGTGGGTGTATTGTTTAAGCTCAGGAATTTGAGACCAGCCTAGGCAACATGGCGAAACCCTATCTCTACCAAAAATACAAAAATTAGCCAGGCGTGGTGGCAGGTGCTTGTGGTCCCATGGTCCCAGCTGCTTGGGAGGCTGAGGTGGGAGGACCACCTGAGACAGGGAGATGAGGCTGCGGTGAGCTGTGACTGCACTCCAAATGGGGTGATGGAGCGAGACTTTGTTCCCCCACCACAAAATAAAGATACCTATATATTTATAAATCAGGGAGGATAAAGGGACCTAAATTGTGATGTTTCCTACATTCCATTTGAAGAGATAAAATATTAATACTATTGCATTGTGATGTTATATATATACTGTAATTCCAGAGCAACCACTAAAAAACTATATAAAGAGATATACTAAAAAAAAAAAAACTATAGATAAAGCTAAATGAAACACTAAAAAAAAGCTTAGTAATCCACAGGAGGGCAATGAAAAGGAAACAAGAATAAAAAACAGAAGGAACAGAAGAAAAATAAGATGGGAGACTTAAGTTCTAATATATCTGTAATTACATTAAATGCAAATGGTTTATATACAGAGATTGGCAGAATATATTTTAAAAAACTGTATGCTGTCTACAGGAAACTCATTTCAAATATAATGACATAGGTAGGTTAAAAGTAAATGGATGGAGGCCAGGCGTGATGGCTCACACTTTAATCTCAGCATTTGGGAGGCTGAGGTGGGTGGCTCACTTGAGGTCAGGAGTTTGAGACCAGCCTGGCTAACATGGTGAAACCTCACCTCTATCAAAAATACAAAAGTTAGGCTGGGCAGGGTGGCTCATGCCTGTAATCGCAGCACTTTGGGAGACTGAGGAGGGCTGATCACCTGAGGTCAGGGGTTCCAGACCACCCTGGCCAACATGGCGAAACCCTGTCTCTACTAAAAGTACAAAAAATTAGCCAGGTGTGGTGGCAGGAATCTGTAATCCCAGCTACTTGGGAGCCAGAGGCAGGGAGAATTGCTCGAACCTGGGAAGTGAAGGTTGCAGTGAGTCAAGATTGTGCCACTGCACTCCAGCCTGGGCGATAGAGTGAGACTTCATCTCAAAAAAAAAAAAAAAAAAAATAGCCAAAATGAATGAGGACAAAAATACAACATATAAAAACTCGTGGTTGGACATAGTGGCTCATGCCTGTAATCTCAACAATTTGGGAGGCTGAAGTAGGAGGATCATTTGAGCCCAGGAGTTCAAGACCAGCCTGGGCAACATAGGGAGACACGGTCCTACAAAAAATTTAAAAATTAGCTGGGTGTGGTGGTGTGCACCTGTAGTTCCAGCTACTTGGGAGGCTGAGGAGGGAGGATCACTTGAGCCCAGGAGGTTGAGGCTGCAGTGAGCAGTGATAGCACCACTGCACTCCAGCCTGGGTGACACAATGAGACCCTGTCTCAAAAAAAAAAAACAGGAAGAAACCTCCCCCAAAACTTGTGGGATACAACTAAAGCAGTCTTAGAGAGAAGTTTATAGCACTTAATGCTTATATTAAAAATGAAGAAATGGCCAGATGTGGTGGCTCAAGCCTGTAATCCCAGCACTTTGGGAGGCTGAGGTGGGTGAATCATTTGATGGAAGTTCAAGACCAGCCTGGCCAACATGGTGAAACCTTGTCTCTACTAAAAATACAAAAATTAGCCAGGTGTGGTGGTGCACACTTGTAACCCCAGCTACTTGGGAGGCTGAGGCACAAAAATCGCTTGAACCTGGAAGGCAGAGGTTGCAGTGAGCCGAGATGGCACCACTGCACTCTAGCCTGGATGACAGAGCGAGACTCTGTCTCAAAAAAACAAAAAAATGAAGGAAAAGTCTCAAATTACTAAACAAGGCATTCCCTCAAGAAACTAGAAAAAGCTAAGTAAACTCAAATCAAGCAGAAGGAAAGAAATCATAAAGAGGTGGAGAAATCAATTACATAGAAAACAGAAAAGCAATAAAGACAATAAAATCAAAAGCTGGTTCTTTGAAAAGATGAATAAAATTGATAAACTTTTAGCAAGACAGAAGAAGAGAAAAGAGAGAAGACACAAATGACCACTATCACTACAGACCTCATGGACGTTAAAAGAATAATAAGGGAATACTGTGAATGAGTCTATGCATATAAACTCAACTTAGACAATATGGACAAATTGCTCAAAGACCGCAAAGTGCTGTAATCCTAGCACTTTAGGAGGCCAAGGCGGGAGGATCGCTTGGCCAAAGCTCACCTAAGATGAAATAGATATTATGAGTAGTCTTATAACTATTTAAAAAACTTGATCTCTAATTAAAAGGCTCCCAAGAAGGAAATCTTTGTGTCCAGATGTTTTCACTGTAGAAATCTAGCAAACATTTAAAGAAGAATTGATACCAATTCTTTAGTATCGCTTCCAGAAAACAGAAGAGGAAGCAATACTTTTCATTTCATTTTATAAAGTCAGCATTATCCTGATTCCAAAACCAGACAAAGGCAGAATGAAAACAAATAAAGAAAAAGAGAAGCTATAGACCAGTATTTTCCTTTTCTTTTCTTATCTTTTTTTTTTTTTTTGAGACAAGGTTTCACTCTTTTACCCAGGCTGGGTGCAGTGGCATGATCACAGCTTGCTGCAGCCTCAACCTCCTGGGCTCAGGTGATCCTCCCACCTCAGCCTCCTGGGTAGCTGGGACTACAGGTGCCCACCACCATGCCTGGCTAATTTCTGGATTTTTTTGTAGAGACAAAATTTCGCCATGTTGCCCAGGCTACTCTTGAACACCTGGGCTCAAGCGATCCTCCCGCCTTGGCCTCCTAAAGTGCTAGGATTACAGGCATGAGCCACAGTGCCCAGTTTAGACCAATATTTTTTATGAATGTACATACAAAAAAAGCAAATCTTATACAGCAATAAAAAATATGTAAAAATAAATATGTTGCCATATGAATTGAACAAGGACTTCGGGAGGCCAAGGTGGGCAGATCATTTGAGGTCAGAAGTTCGAGACCAGGCTGGCCAACACGGAGAAACCCCATCTCTACTAAAAATACAAAAATTAGCAGGGCGTGGTGGTGCATGCCTGTAATCCCAGCTACTCGGCAGGCTGAGGCAGGAGAATGGCTTGAACCTGGGAGGCAGAAGTTGCAGTGAATCAAGATTGCGCCACTGCACTCCAGCCTCAGCAACAGAGTGAGACTCCATGTCAAAAAAAAGAACTGAACAAGGACTCATGCAGACACTTATAGACCTATATTCACAACACTGTTATTCACAAAGATGGAAACAACCCATGTGTTCATGAACAGATGAGTGAATAAACAAAATATGATATGTACATGCAATGAAATATTATTCATGTATAAAAAAGAATGAAATTCTAATACATGCTGCTATATCGATTATCCTTGAAACCATTATGGCTAAGTGAAGTAAGCCAGACACAAAAAAGACAAATATTTTATGATTCTACTTATGGGAAATATCGAGAATAGGGAAATTCATAGAGGCAGAAAGGAAATTAGAAATTACTTAGGGCTGAGTGAGGAAGGGATGTTATTTGCTTTATGCATACAGGTTTTCTGTTTGGGGTGTTGAAAAAAATTTGAAAACACATAGTGGTGATGGCTGCACACCATTGTGAATGTAATTAATACCACTAAATTGTACACTTAAACGTGGTTAAAATGGCAAATTTTACGTTATATTAGGTTGATGCAAAAGTAATTGTGGTTTTTGTCGTTAAAAATAATGGCAAAAACTGCAATTACTTTTGCACCAACTTAATATATCTTTTACTGCAGTTAAAGGTGGAAAAGTTAATCTCACTGGAAGAGTGGTGGTCCAAAGTAAATAAAGATGTTTCACATTAAAGAAAAATTATACTTCATGACTATGTGGGATTTATTCCAGGAATGCAAGGTTAGCCAAATATTTTGCAATTTCTCAATGGGATTCATCATATTAACAGGCTAAAAAAGAAAAATCATGCATAAAAAGCATCTGACAAAATCTAACATCCATTCCTGATATAAAAAACTTTCAGAAAACTAGAAATTGAAGGAAACTTTCTCAGCCTGATAACAAAATTTATGAAAAACCTTCAGCTAGCCTCAAAATGGTGAAATACTTGTTGCTTTTCCTCCTAAAAATCACAAGCATGGCAAGGATACTCATTCTCACCCCTCATTATTTCATTATTTTCATTGGGATGAAATACACATAATATAAAATTTACTATCGTAACCATTTTTTTTTTGAGACAGAGTTTTGCTCTTGTTGCCCAGGCTGGAGTGCAATGGCGCGATCTCAGCTCACTGCAACCTCTGCCTTCTGGGTTCAAGCGATTCTCCTGTCTCAGCCTCCTGAGTAGCTGGGATTACAGGTGCGTGCCACCATGCCTGGCAAATTTTTGTATTTTTAGTAGAGACGGGGTTTCATCATATTGCTCAAGCTGGTTTTGAACTCCTGACCTCAGATGATTTGCCCACCTTGGCCTCCCAAAGTGCTGGGATTACAGGCATTAGCCACTGTGCCTGGCCTATCATAACCATTTTTAAGTATACAATTCAGTGGCATTAAATACATTACATTGTTGTGCTACCATCAGTACCATCTATCTCCAGAACTCTTTTCATCTTGCAAAACTGGAAGTCTTTACTTATCAAACAATAACTCCCATTCCCCTCTCCTCCAAGCCCCTGGTAACTGCTATATTACTGTTTCTATGAATTTGACTACTCTATATGCCTCATATAGGCAGAATCATATATTTGTCCTTTTGTGACTGGCTTATTTCACTTAGCATAACGGCCTTAAGGTTCATTCATATTGTAGCATGGGTCAGAATTCTTTCTTTCTTTTTTTAAGGCTGAATAATGTTCTGTTGCATGTATATATCACATTTGTCTTATTCATTTATCAGTCAATAGACACTTGGAATGTTTTCACCTTTTAGTTATTGCAAATAATGCTGCTATGAACATGGGTGTACAAATACCTCTTTGAGTCCCTGCTTTCAATTCTTTTGGGTATATACACAGAAGTGGAATTGCTGGATCATATGGTAATCCTATTTTTAATTTTTTGGGGAACTGCCATACTGTTTTCCATAATGGCTGTATCATTTTACATCTCACCAACAGTGTACAAGGGTTCCAATTTCTCCATGTCCTTGTCAGCATTTGTTATTTTCTGTTTTTGTTGTAGCCATCCTAATGGGTGTGATGTCTCATCACTCTTATTTAACATAGTGTCAGAAGTCCTAGGCAGTGCAATAAGGCAAAAATAAAATAAAATACACAGAGATTGGAAGGGAAGAAATAAAACTCTCCTTATTTGTAGATGGCATGATTATGTATAAAGCCCCAGGAAACTACAAGAACTCCTAGAACTAATAAGTGAGTTGATCAAAGCCACAAGATACAACATGAACACAGAAAATCAATTATATTTATTTATACCAGCAATAAATATTTGGAAACTAAAATTAAAAATACAATTCCACTTACAATTACTGAAAAATACTTAGGTATAAATCCAACAAAACATGAATAGGATTTGTATGCTGAAAACTGTAAAACCCGGATGAAAGACATCAAAACCTATCTAAATTAAGGGACAGATATACCATGTTCATGGATTGGAATGCTCAACATAGTAAAGATGTCAATTCTCTTCAAAGTAATCTATAATTCAATGCAGTTCCCATAAAAATTCCAAGTTTTTTTTGGTCTGTATAGACAAGCTTATCTTAAAATGTATATAGAAAGGCAAAGGAACTAGAATAGCTGAAACAATATTTAAAAGGAAGAAGGTAGGAGGAGTCACACTTGCTGGTTTTGAGATTATTATATGACCATGATAATCAAGACAGTATGATATTAGTGGAAGCACAGACACATAGGTCAATGAAACAGAAGAGAACCCAGAAACAGAACCACATAAGTATACCCAAATGAATTTTGATCAAGGTACAAAAGAACTCAATATAGAAAAGATAGTCTTTTCAACAAATGGGCAATGAGACATCAAGAGTGAAAAGTACGAATGTCAGCCTAAACCTCACCCCTTATATAAAAATTAACTCAGGACCTGGCATAGTGGCTCATGCCTGTAATCCCAGTACTTTGGGAGGCCAAGGCAGGTGGATCACCTGAGGTCAGGAGTTTGAGACCAGCCTGGCAAACATGGTAAAACCCCATCTGTAATAAAAACACAAAAATTATCCTGGCATGGTGGCAGAGGTCTATAGTCCCAGTTACTTGGGAGGCTGAAGCACGAGAATCACTTGAATCTGGGAGGCCGAGGTTGCAGTGAGCCAAGATCACGCCACTTCATTCCAACCTGGGCAACAGAGTGACAATCTGCTCAAAAAAAATAAAAAAGAAAGAAAAAAGAAAATTAACTCAGGATATATCATAGATCTTAATGTAAAATGTAAAACTGTAAACTTTAAAAACAGAACATAGAAGAAAATCTTTATAACTTAGGGTTAGGCAAAGAGTTCCTAGACTTGATACCAAAAGCATGATTTTTTTTTTTGTTTTGTTTTTGTTTTGTTTTTTTGAGATGGAGTTTCACTCTGTCACCCAGGCTAGAGTGCAGTGGCGCCATCTCGGCTCACTGCAACCTCCCGGGTTCAAGCGATTCTCTTGTGCCTCAGCCTTCTGAGCAGCTGGGATTACAGCCACATACCACCACACCCAGCTAATTTTTGTATTTTTAGCAGAGGCAGGGTTTCATCATGTTGGCCAGGCTGGTCTCAAACTCCTGAGTCAGGTGATCTGCCCACCTCAGCCTCCCAAATTGCTGGAATTACAGGCATGAACCACCGCTCCCAACCAGCATGATTCTTTAAAAAACAAAAAGGGGCTAGGTGAGGCAGCTCATGCCTGTAATCCCAGCGCTTTGGAAGGACAAGGTGGGAGGATTGCTTGAGTCCAGGAGTTCAAGACGAGCATGGGCAACATAGTGAGACTGTTTCTTTTTTTTGAGATGGAGTCTCACTCTGTCATCAGGCTGGAGTGCAGTGGTACAATCTTGGCTCACCGCAACCTCTGCCTCCCAGGTTCAGGCAAGTCCCCTGCCTCAGCTTTCCGAGTAGCTGGAACTACAGGCGTGTGCCACCACACCCAGCTAATTTTTTGTGTTTTATTAGAGACGGGGTTTCACCATGTTGGCCAGGATGGTCTTGATCTTCTGACCTCATGATCTACCTGCCTCTGCCTCCCAAAGTTCTGGGATTACAGGCGTGAGCCACCATGCCCAGCCAGTGAGACTGTTTCTACAAAAATAAAAAAATTAGCTGGGCATGGTGGCACATGCCTGTAGTCCTAGCTACTTGGAAACTTGAGGTGGTAGGATTGCTTTATCAAGATCCTGTCTCTAAAACAAAAAAAGGATCAATTGGACTTTATTAAAATTAATAACTTTTGTTCTGCAAAAGGCCCTGTTAAAGGATGAGAAAACAAGACACTGGCTGGAAGACAATATTTACAAATCATGTATTCAACAAGGAATAGTAGCTAGAAAAAAATATATATTATTCTCAAAACTCATCCATAAAAACAAGAAAAAATCCAATAGAAATGGGCAAAAGACATGAACAGACAGTCAAAGAGGATACACAGATAGTAAACAAACACATGAAAATATGTCAATATCACTAGCCATTAGAGAAATGTGAATTAAAACCAAGATGAGATACCAGTACACCCCTATTAGAATGAGTAACAGTAATACCAATAGGACCAAATGCTGCTGAGGACGTGAAGAAACCCAGTCTTCCACACACCACTGGTGAAAATGTAAAATGATACAGCCATTCTGGAAAACAGTGGCACTTTCTTAAAAATTTAAGTGTGTGCTTACCACATGACTCAGCAACCACACTCCTGCTCATTTATCCTAGAGACATCAATATGTATGTCCAAACAAAAAGCTGATACAAATATTCATAGCAGCTTTATTTGTGATAGTCCCAAACTGGAAACAACTCATATGTCCTCCAACAGGTGAATGGTTAGTGTGGCACGTCCATGCAAGAGAATATTATTAGGTTGGTACAAAAGTAATTGCAGTTTTGGACAGTGAATTTTAAAAACTATTATAACTAGGCTCAAACCCATCTTTATTATAAGTCAGAATATGATACATTACAATCAACACATTTTTGCCAATGAGAAATAAGTTTGTTTATTCCTGTACCGTAAAAATTGTGCTTTGGGATTCGACGAGTTCTTGGGAAACATTTTCTGCATCCTACTGATTGTGGAAGCATTTTTTTCTGCAAAAAGTTGTCGAGATGCTTGAAGAAGTGGTAGTTGGTTGGCGAGAGGTCAAGTGAATGTGGTGGATGAGGCAAAACTTCATAGCCCAATCATTCAACTTTTGAAGCATTGGTTGTGTGACATGCAGTCAGGCGTTGTCGTGGAGAACTGGGTCCGTTCTGTTGACCGATGCCAGCTTCAGGCATTGCAGTTTTTGGTGCATTTCATGGATTTGCTGAGGCTACTTCTCAGATGTAATGGTTTCGTCAGGATTCCGAACGCTGTAGTGGATCAGACGGGCAGCAGACCACCAAACAGTGACCATGACCTTTCTTTGGTGCAAGTTTGGCTTTGGGAAGGGCTTTGGAACTTCTTCTCAGTCCAGCCACTGAGCGGGTCGTTGCCGGTTGTTGTATAAAATCCACTTTTCATTTCACGTCACAATCTGATTAAGAAATGGTTCGTTGCTGTTGCATAGAATAAGAGATGACACTTCAAAATGACGATTTTTAAAATTTTCGCTCAGCTCATGAGACACCTACTTACCGAGTTTTTTTTTTTTTTTCTTTTTGTGACAGAGTCTTGCCCTGTCTCCCAGGCTGGAGTGCAGCGGCGCGATCTCGGTTCACTGCAACCTACGCCTCCTAGGTTCAAGCAATTCTCCTGCCTCGGCCTCCTGAGTAGCTGGGATTACAGGCACCCACCACCACACCCAGCTAATTTTTGTATTTTTAGTAGAGACAGGGTTTTGCCGTGTTGGCTAGGCTGGTCTCGGACTCCTGACCTCAGGTGATCCGCCTGCCTCGGCCTCCCAAAGTTCTGGGATTACAGGTGTGAGCCACTGCGCCTGGCCATTATGGAGCTTTTTCACCTTTCCGATTTGCTTCAAATGCCGAACAACCATAGAATGGTCCATGGTCGACGTTGAGTTCTTCGGCAACTTCTTGTGTAGTTGTAAGAGAATCAGCTTCGATGACTGTTCTCAGTTGGTTGTTGTCAATTTCCTACGGCGGCCACTATGCTCCTCATCTTCAAGGCAAAACTTCTCCTTTTCAAAAGTTCTTGAACCACCACTGCACTGTACGTTCATTAGCAGTTCCCGTGCCAAATGTGTTGTTGATATTGCGATTTGTCTCCGCTGCTTAACAACCCGTTTTGAACCCAAATAAGAAAATTGCCTGAATTTGCTTTCTGCCTAATATAATTTCCATAGTCTAAAGTAAACATAAAATCAACAGCAAGTAATGTCATGAGCAAAAAAACATAAAGCAAGAAATGGACATTAAAATGATGTATAACATAACCACATTTATTTAAGAATGTATTCCAATATCAAATGACAAATTTCAACAATGCAAAAACCACAATTACTTTCAGCAATTAATAGGATTCAACTATTGATACACACAACCTGGATGGATTTTAAGCATGTTTTACTGAGTGGGGAAAAAAGTCGGTCTCAAAAAGTGACATTCTGGCCGGGCGTGGTGGCTCACACCTGTAATCCCAACACTTTGGGAGGCCTAGGCAGGCAGATCACGAGGTCAGTAGTTCGAGACCAGCCTGGCCAACATGGTGAAACCCCATCTCTTCTAAAAATACAAAAAATTAGCCGGGTGTGGTGGCACGTGCCTGTAACCCCAGCTACTCGAGAGGCTGAGGGAGGAGAATCGCTTGAACCCAGGAGGTGGAGGTTGCAGTGAGCCGAGATTGCACCACGGCACTCCAGCCTGGGCAACAGAGCAAGACTCTGTCTCAAAAAAAAAAAAAAAAGTGACATGCTATGTGATTCCATTTATATAACATCCTTGAAATGACAAAATTACAAAGCTGGAGAACAGATTAGTGGTTGTCAAGGGTAAGAGAAGGAGAGGGAGGATGTGACTGTAAAGGTGTGACTTGTACATTTCTTTGTAGTAAGGAAGCAATTCTGTATTTTGATTATGGGATTTATACCTGTGATAAACTGTCACTGAATTATACACAAAGACATGCAGAAAGAAATGAGTGCATGCAAAAACTGGTGAAATCCCGGTAAAGTCTGTAGTTGAGTGAATAGTATTGTGACAATGTCAGGTTCCTAGTTTTGAGAATTACTATAGTTATGCAAGATGTTACTATTAGGAAAAGCTGGGTGAGGGATATGGGAAACGCTTCTGTGGTATTTTTGCAACTTCTTGTAAGTCTATAATATTTTATTTATTTTTCTGAGATAGGGTCTTGCTCTATTGCACAGGCTGGAGTGCAGTGGTGTGATGACAGCTCACTGCAGCCTCCATTTCCTGGGCTCAAGTGATTCTCCTGCCTCAGCCACTCAAGTAGTTGGGACTACAGGTGTGCCTGCCTATGATTATTATTATTAGTATTATTACCTTTGTAGAGACAGGGTCTGGCTATGTTGCCTGTGAGCCACCGAGCCCGGCTGGATGCATCTTCTTCTTCTTTTTTTTTTTTTTTTTTTTGAGATAGAGCCTCACTCTGTCACCCAGGCTGGAGTGCAGTGGCACCATCTCGGCTCACTGCAACCTCCACCTCCCAGGTTTAAGCAATTCTTCTGCCTCAGTCTTCCGAGTAGCTGGGACTACAGATGCACACCACCATGCCTGGCTAATTTTTGTATTTTTAGTAGAGACGGGGTTTCACCATATTGGCCAGGCTGGTCTCAAACTCCTGATCTTGTGATCTGCCCGCCATGGCCTCCCAAAGTGCTGGGATTACAGGCGTGAGCCACCGCGCCTGGCCGGATGCATCTTGATGCTCTGGGTCCTCATCTGTAAAGTGGGACTAATTGTAAGACCTACATCCTAAGGTGGTAGTAAGGATTAAATGAATTAACTTAATTCATTTAATTCCTTGCATAGGAGATGCACCAAATAAACTTTTGCCATTTTGTTATTAAAATATTATTTATTATTATTATGATGCTCCATAGGCAGAGGTGGGAGGAGCGTTCAGAGAAGGCTGTGTAGGAAATGGAGGTTACAGTGGGGTTGGGATCTGGCTGTGGGATCTGAGGTTCTGCAAGGCAAGCTGGCAGGCCCACTCCACCTGGTCTACCCCCAGCTGCACAGCAGTCAGGGGTTGAGCCCAGTGCTTCTTCAACTTTCACATGTGTAGAGTTACCTGGAAATATTGTTAAAGTGCACACTTCTTTTCTTTTTTCTGTTTTTTTTTTTTTTTTTTTTTTGAGACTGGTTTTCACTATGTCACCCAGGGTGGAGTGCAGTAGCACAATCACTGCTTGCTGCAGACTAGACCTCCCTGGGCTCAGGTGATCCTCCTGCCTCAGCCTCCCAAGTAACTAGGATCACAGGTGCACTCGACCACACATGGTTTATTTATTTATTTATTGAGATGGGGCTTTACCGTGTTGCCCAGGTTGGTCTCAAACTCCTGGGCTTAAGCAATCTCCCTGACCCCACCTCCCAAAGTTCTGGGATTACAGGTGTGAGCCACTGTGCCAGCCTAACCTGCACATTTCTGATTTAGTGGGTCTGGGCTAGGGCCTGAGATTCAGTATTTCTAACACTCTGCCAAGGTGGTGCCAATGAGGTTGGTTCTACGGTTTAGCAAGACTCTAGCTGATTCCGATGCGCTTTAAAGTTTAGGAATCACTGATAGAATGTAATGATTAAAACCAATCACATCTCTGGGATTGCAGGCCAGACATCTTTTGAGTTCCCTAGGTGATTATGAAGCAAGCAAGGGCCATGAACCACTGGATTGGCTAATCCCAGCTGAAGAAAGAAAAGCAAACACACCTCCTGAAATTGGAATGTGCCGCCAGGGCAGGGCTGGGGAAGCTCAGATACGCAGTGGTCAGGAGATGACAGAGGACAGACTGAATTCGAAAGAGAAACAGAAAGGAGGCTAGAGCAGAGAGCTTGGAATTCTTCTAGAAAGAGATCCCTGACGGAAAACCCTCAGAACCCATAGAGTGGTGAAAGGAGAGGAAATCGCCCTGAGTCACCCCTATTTCCTAGCAGTGGTGAAAGCACAAACGAGTTGGGGGCAGATGTTTTTGAAGCAATTGGGGCATGGTGGAGGTCTTTCTTGGAATCTTAGGGGGCACATGTACAGTTTTGCGGGAGCTGCCAGAAGAAACACGATGGGTTTGGTTGACTTGTCTCAAACACACCCAGTGGGCTGGGTGCTGCAATCCTAGCACTTTGAGAGGCCGAGGCAGGTGGATCATTTGAGCCCAGGAGTTCGAGACCAGCCTGGCCAACGTGGTGAAACCCTGTCTTTACCAAAAATACAAACATTAACTGGGCATGGTGGCACGTGCCTGTAATCCCAGCTACTCGGGAGGCTGAGGTAGGAGATTGCTTGAACCCAGGAGGTGGAGGTTGCAGTGAGCTGAGATCATGCCACTGCACTCCAGCCTGGACAACAGAGCAAGACTGTGTCTTAAACAACAACAACAATGACAAACACACCCAGGGGAGATTAAAGTAACTCCATCTTGGATGCTAATCTGCCATCTTGACTTCTTTTTTATTTGTTTGTTTTGCGACAGAGTCTTGCTCTGTTGCCCAGGTTGCAGTGCAGTGGCACGATCATGGCTCACTGCATCTTGACCTCCCAGGGTCCAGCAATCCTCCCACCTCAGCCTCCTGAGTAGCTGGGACTACAGGCCTTCACCACCACACCCAGCTAATTTTTAAATTTTTTTGTAGAGACGGGGTCTCACTATGTTGCCCAGACTGGTCTTGTACTTGTGGGGTCAAGCGATCCTCCATTCTCGGCCTCTCAAAGTGCTGAGATTCAGGCCCATGTTGACTTCTGATTAACTCCAGTTCTGGGAATGCCTCTAAGATTTCTATTTTCATGTACTTACCAAAAATCCTGCCCTTAGGTCAAAATAACCTTTATGTTATCATAAACACATACTTACCATAAATCCTGCCTTGAGGCAAATTTCCTATAGTGTATAAGCCCTACATTTGTGGGATAACTGTGTGGGGGATCCCCTCTGTCTTCCTAGGGCCTCCTGAGACATGGCTTCGGTTTGTGAATTCCTCTTAAACGTTTCCTTCTAAGAAATTGGATTTGTCGGCCGGGCGTGGTGGCTGACGCCTCTAATCCTGGCACTCAGGGAAGCCAAGGTGGGCGGATAACCTGAGATCAGGAGTTTGAGACCAGATTGGCCAACATGGTAAAACCCTATCTCTACTAAAAATACAAAAATTAGCCGGGCGTCATGGTGGGCGCCTGTAATCCTAGCTACTCGGGAGGCTGAGGCAGGAGAATTGCTTGAACCCAGGAGGCAGAGTGAGCTGAGATCGCACCTCTGCACTCCAGCCTGGGCAACAGGAGATTCTGTCTCAAAAAAGAAGAAGAAGAAGAAAAAAAAAGAAACTGGATTTGTCAGGCTCTTTCTCCCTTGGCCTTTGGGGGTAGGTTTGCACAGACCTGCTTACCTTAGAACACATCTCGTAATGAATAATGATGACAGTGACTATATTTCATGAAATGTGCTAAGTGCTTTACACCCACAATTATATAGATTCCCCACAACAAGCCTCGGCAGTGAGTATTGTTCTCCTTTTCCACTGATGAAATTGAGGCTTCATTGTAACCATCAGGCCATCCTTCTCTCTCTCTCACGCCTGCATGCACATGTGCACACACACATACACAATACCACATCATTTTCAATTCATCAGTAAGTTCCACTGGCTGTATTTTCAAAGCGTTTCCAAATTCACGCACTTCTCACCCTCCCCATACATCTCATCTACCTGTCTACTGTCACCTCCTGCCTGGATGATCACAGCAGCTTCCTCCTGGTCACCCCTCACTCCCACACCCTCTTTCCCACCTACAGTCAGAGATTACATCCCCGCTCTATTCAAAACCATCTTGTGGCTCCCATTCTGCTTAGAAAAAAATATCCAACCCCTGCCTTCCCTTACAAAGCTCTTGGAGGTCTGGACCCTCCCCCTCGCAGCTCCATCACACTGGCCTCATTGCTGTTCCTTTCTTTCTTTTTCTGAGACAGGGTCTTGTTCTGTTGCCAAGGCTGGAGTGTAGTGGCATGATCATGGCTCACTGCAGCCTTATCTCCTGGGCTCAAGCGAGCCTCCACGCTTCAGCCTCCTGAGTAGCTAGGATGACAGGTGGGTGCCACCATGCCTGGCTATTTTTTAAAAAAGTTTTATTTATATTTTTTGTAGAAATGAGGTCTCAGTATGTTGCCCAGGCTGCTCTCAAACTCCTGGGCTCAAGTGATCCTCCTGCCGTGGCCTCCCAAAGTGCTGGGACTGCAGGCGTGAGCCACTGTGCTTAACCTGCACTGCTGTTTCATGAATTAAGAGCCCATTCCTGGCTGCATAGGTCAGGGCTCTTAGCATAGAGTCCACACTGGCTAATTTGAGCAGTCAAGGGCATTGGGAAGTTCACAGATGATCGGCGAGGGCAGAGAGGCAGATTATGAAGCTGTTAAAGCAAACTAAATATGGCCTGAGAAGGAGACTCTGTACTTCTATATTTGAGTCCTTGTGGATGAACTGTAACCTAGCTTAATAGGCAGACAAGATTGAAAACCTAATTTAGGAGTATGTGCCCATAACAATAGCTGAGGGTTGGCCAATCCCAGCGGCCATACTTCAACCACTCATAGATTGCTAAGTGTTCGAACTGTTTTCAAATAAGGCAAACGCCAGCCTGCAGCCTATCCAGCTGTTTCTGTACAAAACTTCCAACTTCCATACGTCACTTCGCTTTTTCTGTCTATGAATTTGTTCTGATCACGAGACCGTGCTGGAGTCTGAATCTTCTGTGACTCTGGGGGCTGCTCGATTCACAAATGATTCATTACTCAACTGAACTTCTTTAAATTTAATTCAGCTGAACATTTTCTTTATATTATTATTATTATTTGAGATGGAGCCTTGCTCTGTTGCCCAGGCTGGAGTTTAGTGGCGTGATCTTGGCTCACTGCAGCCTCCGCCTCCCAGGTTCAAGAGATTCTCCTGCCTCAGCCTCCCGAGCATTTGGGATTACAGGCACCTGCCACCACGTCCAGCTAGTTTTTGTATTTTTAGTAGAGATGGGGTTTCGCCATGTTGGCTAGGCTGGTCTTGAACTTCTGGCCTCAAATGATCTGACGGTCTCGGCCTCCCAAAGTGCTGGGATTATAGGTGTGAACCACTGTGCCTGGCCAGCTTTCTGTGAATTTCTTCTACAAATTTACCTATTCTGAATAGTTCATATAAATTGAATCATATAATGTGTGGTCTTTTGTGCCTGGCTTCTTTCACTCAGGATAGTGTTTTCTTTTTCTTTTATTTATTTACTTATTTCATTGCTTTTTTTTTTTTTTTTTTTTGAGATGGAGTCTTGCCCTGTCACCCAGACTGGAGTGCACTGGTGCAATCTCAGTTCACTGCAGCCTCCGCCACCTGGGTTCCAGTGATTCTCCTGCCTCAGCCTCCTGAGTAGCTGGGATTACAGGCATGAGTCACCACATCTGGCTAATTTTTGTATTTTTAGTAAGATGGGATTTCACCATGTTGTCTAGGCTGGTCTCGAACTCCTGACCTCAGGTGATCCACCCACTTCGGCCTTCCAAAGTGCTGGGATTACAGACGTGAGTCACCACGCCTGGCCTTTCTTGCTCTTTTTTTCTTCCCCCAAATCAGAGGTCAAGCACAGAGTTTTCAAGGTTCACCTATGTTGTAGCATACATTAGTATTTTGTTTGTTTTAGAGTCAGGATTTCATTCTGTTGCTCAGGCTGGAGTCAGAGGCAGGATCATAGCTCACTGTGGCCTGAAACTCCTGGACTCAAGTGATCCTCTTGCCTCGGCCTCTTGAGCAGCTGGGACTATAGGCGTGCACCACCACCCCTGGCTAATTTTTGTTTTTGGTAGAGACAGAGTCTCACTATGTTGCCCAGGCTGGTCTAGAACTCCTGGGTTCAAGTGATCCTCCCACCTCAGCCTTGGAAATAGCTGAGATTACAGGCGTGAGCCACTGCCCCGGCCTCGTACAAGTTTTATTTATTTATTTTTATTATTTTATTTTAGATGGAGTCTCTCTGTATCACCCAGGCTGGAGTGCAGTGGCACTATCTCGGCTCACTACAACCTCTGCTTCCCAGGTTCAAGTGATTCTCCTGCCTCAGCCTCCCGAGTAGCTGGGATTACAGGCTCTTGCCACCATGCCCAGCTAATTTTTGTATTTTTAGTAGATACAGGGTTTCACCATGTTGGCCAGGCTGGTCTTGAACTCCTGACCTCAAGCGATCTGCCTGCCTTGGCCTCCCAAAGTGCTGGGATTACAGGCTTGAACCACCACACCTGGCTGGGCTGGCTATTTATTGAACTGATGACCCACTCTTTGTCCCGTACACCTGTCCTGGAGCTACTTTGGCCCAAACTGCACACAGAAGTGAGACCTTGTTTCAAAAAAGCAAAAGAAACCCCAAAAAGAACAAAACAACAGCCGCTCCCCCCAACAATTGCCAGTGATTTGTAATTTCTCAAGATTCTCAGGTGGCCAGCTGGTTCTTCTACTGGTGTTTTCTATCCCACTCGTGAGGCTTCAGGCGTCAGCAGAGCGGGTTCCTTCTGGAAGCAGCAGGGGAGATCTCTCTCCTTTCTCAGCCTCTGGGGGTGTCCAGCATCCCTTGACCCCGGTTCCCTTGCTGACATCACTCCAACATCCTGCTTCTGTGGTTACATCTTCCGCTAATGATGCTGACCCCGGCCTCCTTCTTAGAAGGACTTTCGTGATGACATTGGGTCCAGGTGGACAACCCAGGATAACGCCCCCATCCCAAACCCTTAACTTACTCACATCTGCAGAGTCCCTCGTGCCATGGAACATAACATATTCCCAGGTCCAAGAATCAGGAACATCTCTGGGGACCAGTCTTGCATCTAGCACGAATCCATTACAAATGCAGCAACACACCACAACAGTGTTAGCAGAACTTGTGACTTTGTTACCAAAAGAAATCACAGGCATTTCCTATCACGTTATCTTCCAGCAGGCACCTTGAAATATCATTTATGCTCATCTCTGCTTCTAAGTCACAGTGGTTATTAAAGCTGCCACAGGTGATTTTTTACTTAATGCATTCATGAAGAAGCACATGAATTGCTATGTCACAGTGTGAAAAAATATTTTGATCACTGTATTACAATCAGAGTTGGATTCCTTTGTCCTGCACGTGTTCTTTCCTTCTGAGAAGGGTCCGTAGGCTTTTCAAGGCTGCCGTGAGGTCCGGTGGGTGAAGATGATGAGGGAGCCCTGTCCCGGGGACTGTGGAGCACAGAACTGCCAGGAACTAGGGCCCCTGGATGACTGAGTGGGGCCATCCTGCCAGGGGGAGCGCTCACCTTGGGAGGAGGAGCTGGTGGAGAATGACACTCTGTGGTTTGTAATTCATGATCACTGTATTTGGGGGACTCTTTGTTCCAGCAGCTCAGCCAACTCTACTCAGCAGGGGTCCCTGATCCAAGTTGTCCCCCTCATTTGTGGGGGCCGATCCAGGGTTAGTGAGACCTCATGCTTGCTTATACAATTCAGGGGCTTCTTGGAAAGAGAATGGGCTGGACCCGGTGACTCAAGCCTGTAATCCCAGTTCGGGGAGGGGCTGGAGAGGGTGGAGGATGGTGCCGAGGAGAGAGAATCACTTGAGCCCAGGAGTTTGAGGCTACAGTGAGATGTGATCACGCAAGAGACAGGATCTTGCTGTTGCTCAGGCTGGTCGTGAACTCCTGACCTCAAGCAGTCCTCCCATCTCAGCTTCCGCCAGTAGCTGGGATTATGGGCTTGTGCCACCACACCCAGCCAATTCTCTAATTTTTTATAGAGACAGGATCTTGCTATGTTGCCCAGGCTAGTCTGGGCTCAAGTGATCCTCCCAACTCAGCCACCCAAAGTGCTGTGATTACAGGCTTGAGCAATCACATCCAGGCTCTAAATTAATTTTAAAGATGCTTCATTTCACCCAATACATCCAAAGTGCTATCATTTCAACATCTAATGAATATGTAAATTATAATCGAGCTGTTTTACATTATTTTTTTCCCACAGTAAATCTTCAAATTCTGGGGTATGTTTTACACTCACTGAAAAAATGAGGTTGCACCACCTATATTCCAGGTGCTCGATAGTGACATGTGGCCCGCGGACTCCAGTGGATAGCACAGCCCTCAATGAACCTGCTGTTCTAGATGTCTCACCATGGATGCTGATGAAAGTTCTTATTACCAAGGCATTTCTAGCTTCTGTTACTTTACTTATAGCACAATGCATTCTAAATGATCCCTCATACACTCTCAGGTAGACCAGGCACACACACAATCCCATAACTACAATGACGCACAATCAGAAGCACAATCATACACACACTGTAGGAGGCCGAAGATGCCACCCCAAAGTCACCCAGCACCGCATCCCTGGACCCTGTGCATATCTTATGTTACTCGGCAAAGGAGCTTTGCAGATGCGATTATGGCATGTGGATTGACAATGGGGAGATCACCCTGGATGCCAAACTAACCACCTGAGCCCTGAAACGTGGAAGACTTTCTCTAGCTGGAAGTACAAGAGCAACATGGCAGGAGAGGTCAGAGAGGTTCCAAGCATGAGAAAGGTTTGAAGCACTGTTCCTGGCTCTGAGTTGGAAGGGCCTATTAGTAGGGACCACAGACAGCCAGATAAGCATGAATGGGGAAGGACAGTGAATTTTCAGGGCAGTGAAATTATTCTGTCTTCCACTGTCATGAGGGATAGAATACGTTATGTATTATGCCTCAGATCTCAGGTCCTGGGGAAGAAGCGGGAGCGGCACCTGCCATCCATCCCCAGGAGCGACTCTTCCTAGAGAGCAAGGGCACAGGTTAGCCCCCAGTAGAAGGGGTGGAGGTTAGACCACTCCAGTGAGATTAGAGGATGGCTGACAACAGGATAGTGGAGGTTAACTCCCGGGAGGATGTTACAGGACCCTCCACTGCAGGAGGACATGAATCAGCCCCTATAGTAGGAGCATGAGATAGCCCACTGCAGGGAGGGTAGAGGTTAGCTTAGTGAGAGGAGTGGAGAACCCTTCAGCAGAGTCAGCTCAGGATGGACCCATAGCCAGGAGGGGGCAGGAACCTTAGTCCTACAGCAGCAAGGAACAGTGATCTGCCAACAATGTGACTGACCCTGGAAAGAGTTTCTCTTCAGAGCTCCCAGTAAGAGCCCAGCAGCAATGCTTGGATTCTAGCCTGTGAGTCCCACAGGAGAGAAACCAGCCAGGGCCAGCGAGCCTCTGACCTGCAGACTCCCAGCTCATCAAGTGTGTCTTTGGAAGATGCTACTTTTAGCGTTGTTATGGCAGCAACACAAAGGAAATACACACCAACAGACACACAGTCCAACGTCATGAGTGTCTTTTCCTTTGTTTATTTCAACAAGGGTTATAAAAAGTAGAAAAATAAACATTTTCCTGGAGGTGAGTTGGATTTACACACACAAATACATAAATAGCGACTGGGTGGCAATAAATTAAGACAAGTGGCTAATTTATAAATAAAATCTCAGGTTGCATGACTGGTGGGAGGGTCAGACACACAGGTCCCCACTGGCAACACAATTCAGGTCTCGCGTGAGGAGGCGGAAGAGGTTGAAGGTGACAGAGGCCTCGAGGCAGCCAGGGGACTCCTGTAGGGAGGAGGGGATGGGTCAGGGGCTGTCTGGGTTCTGGGCTCCCAGTGGCTCCCCAGACCTCAGTCCCTCTCTTCCCGGGTCACTCACCTTTTTTGGGGCCTCCTGGAGCCGGTACAGCCAATGGTGGAGGCGGCCCCGGGTCCTGGGCCCTGCCGTGGGCTGAGGCTGGATCTGTGGGCAGAGGAGGGCGGTGTGTGAGCCGGGGCCTTGGCAAGGGGAAGGACGCTGCTCAGAGCTCACAGACCTGGGTGCCCAGGCCCCAACGACTCACACAGGCCCGGAACTGGGAGAGGATATGGTGCAGGGTGTGAAGGGGCTGGTCCAAGACGTCCACCAGGGCTGGGTCAGTGTCAGCGGTGGCCTCCAGAACCTTCAGCGTCAGGGCCAGCTCAGCCTCCAAAGCCATGGGGCGCTCCCTCACCTGAGGAGAGGTGAGAAAGAGCAGGTGAGGGGGGAGGTGAGGGGAACAGGTTGGGGAGCAGGATAGAGAGGAACAAGTGAAGGTGACAGGCACAGGGGAGAGGGCACAGCCAGTGTGGTCAGGTGGGAGCGGAGGGAAGGGAGAGCAGGTGTGAGGAGAAGAGAGAGAGACAAGGGAGAAAGAGACGGTGAAGGGGCCACTACAGAGCCAGGTGAGTGGGGCTGGGAGAGCAGGGGTGGGCCTGACTCCCCCTCTCACCTGCAGCTGCCTCAGGTCCCAGGTCCTGGGGAAGAGGCGGGAGTGGCACCTGCAGTCCTTCAGCAGAAGCGACTCTTCCTAGACAGCAAAGGCACAGGTTAGCCCCAGCAGGAGGGGTGGAGGTTAGACCATCCTGGTGGGATTGGAGGATGGCTGACAACAGGATAGGGGAGGTTAACTGCTGGGAGGATGGTAGAGGACCCTCTTCTACAGGAAAACATGAGTCAGTCCCTACAGTAGGAGCATGAGATAGCCCACTGCAGGGAGGGTGGAGGCTAGCCCAGTGAAGGAAGCTGGGAGTGGGAAAGCATGGTGACGCTTGGAGTGGGGGTGGAGGCTAGTCCATGGCAGGAGGGCAGGGGGAGACTCACTAAGGCATCTTTGGCCCTCTTAAAGGCCTGCAGCTCCTGTGGAGACAGGGACTTGAACTGGGCTATGTGGCAGCCCCTTGCATCCGGGAGAGCCCCGTGGAGCCTGGCGACAGGAACTGCTCCAGTCACGGTCAGCACTGCGGCCATCAGCACCAGCACTGGCGTGCAGTCCCCAGTCATGTCTGTGTCACAGAGAGAAAGGGAGCTGAGGGGATGGAGAGGCTGCCCACTGAGGGCAGGGGCTGCAGGAGCTGAGCACGGACAGAGATGTGGGACTCACCTAGTTTCATTCCTGATCTCTGGTCTTTGTCAGCAGAAGAAACACTCTGAGGCTGTCACCCAGGGTCTGTTTGGGTCTTGTCTGGAGTCTCTGTTCTTTTCAGTCCCCTCTTCTGGATCTCAGACTGTGTCCTGGCTTTGACTCTTTCTGTCAGTTTTGAGCTCTGTCTGGGATGTAATTCCTGCCTGAGCTCCATGGGGCAGCTTTTATCCCTGACAGAAGGGCAGTCCCAGCTGATGTAGGAAAAGTGAAAACACAGCCTCAGGTAAGACACCGGCCACCAGGGGAGCCCCAGGCTGGGAAAGCCCAGAGCAGGGCAGGGCTAGTGAGCCAGATGAGCAGCTGGAGGGAAAGAGAAACTGATGGAGACTCAGGGGTAACCTACAGGAAGGTATGTTCCCAGGAGGATTCCACCTGCTCTGGTTTTGTTGTTGTTTAAGACAGGGTCTCACTCTGTCACTGGAGTGCAATGGCATGATCACAGCTCACTGCAGCCTCAAACTCCTGGGCTCAAGCCATCCTCCTCACCCAGCCTATTAAAGTGCTGAGATTACAGGCCTGAGCCACCCCTCCTGGCATATATATATATATATATTTTGAGACAGGGTCTTGTTCGGTCACCCAGGCTGGAGTGCAGTGCAAAATCTTGACTAACTGCAACCTCCACCTCCTGGGTTCAAGCGATTCTCTTGCCTTAGCCTCCCAAGTAGCTGAGATTACAGATTTGTGCCACCATTCCCAGCTAATTTTTATGGTTTTAGTAGAGATGACAGTTCACCAATTGGCCAGGCTGGTCTCGAACTCTTGACGTCAAGTGATCTGTCTGTCTTGGCCTCCCAAATTGCTGGGGTTGCAGGCATGAGCCACTGTGCCCAGAGGCCATGATTTCTTTCTTTCTTTCTTTTTTCTTTTTTTTTTGAGATGGAGTCTTGCTCTGTAGCCCAGGCTGGAGTGCAGCAGCGTGATCTCGACTCACTGCAACCTCCACCTCCTTGGTTCAAGGGATTCTTCTGCTTCAGCCTCCCGAGTAGAAAGGACTATAGGCATGCACCACCACGCCCAACTAATTTTTGTATTTTTAGTAGAGACGGGGTTTTGCCATATTGGCCAGGTTGGTCTTGAACTCCTGACCTCGTGATCTGCCTTCTTCGGCCTCCCAAAGTTCTGGGATTATAGGCGTGAGCCACCGCGCCCGGCCAGAGGCATATATGTGTGTGTATATATATATATATATATATATATAGAGAGAGAGAGAGAGAGAGAGAGAGAGAGAGAGCATGAGAGAGAGTGAGTGAGCAAGAGAGATGGAGTCTCGCTCTGTTGCCCAGGCTGGAGTGCAGAGGCACCATCTCAGCTCACTGCAACCTCTGCCTCCTGGGTTCAAGTGATTCTCCTGCCTCAGCCTCTTGAGTAGCTTGGATTACAGGCATGTGCCACCATGCCCAGCTAATTTCTGTATTTTTAGTAGAGACAGGGTTTCACCATGCTGGCCAGGCTAGTCTTGAACTCCTGACCTCATGATCCACCTTCCTCGTCCTCCCAAAGTGCTGGGATTACAGGCATGAGCCTCTGAGCCCAGCCAAGGCCAATATTTCTTAATTGCCCAGGCAAGGAAGGACTCAGGAATATGAGGCTCTGCTCAAGAACTGAGGTGTGACGAAGGACTTGAAGGACACCACGTGGGTGCCGTCTTTCTTAGGGAAGTTCAGGCAGTGGTGAAGAGCATGGGTCTTGGAGATGAAGGGTCTGGGGTTCAAACCTGGTTCTGACCCTCACTAGCCGTGTGACCTTGGCAAGGAGGGGTGCATTCAGCAACGCAGATTGCTAATGCACAGATTTGGAGAAAAAATTAATAACACAATTGTTTGTGTATTTATGTGAGTGATTATTTAATAGAATCCACTCATTAAGACCATACTAGGACCTCAGTTGGAGAGTTTAAAACGTGATCTCAACGGACACTACTCCTCCACAAGGCAAGTATGCTAACCCATCCTATAGGTGAGGAAACAGAGGCTCAGAAAAGTAATTTGCCCTGAATTCCACTGTAATTAACTGGCAGGGTCAGAACTGAACCTCAGGCCACCTGAGTCCCTGGCTCGGCCTCTTTTTTTGCTGTAAGGTGCACCTCACAATCATCATACGGAAAACAACCAATGCGATCAAAACACTCTTTGATAACTGGCAATAAATTTAAACCGGGAGACAGAATAGCAAATGCACAGGAACTTCACAAATACAAACACACGTAAGGGAATCCAAAGAACCACAGTCGGTTAAGGACCCTTGGGCCTTTCACTACCAAATCCCTCATGGATTGGTGTCCCTTAGATGCCGGATCCAAGAGTCACGGATTCACAGAATCTCAAAGCTGGCTGTGGGGCTACAAATCCGGGGTTAGGACCTGGTGTTGGGGGTGTCCTGGTAACCACACAAGGAGGAACTGGTCCCTGTTGCCTGGGGTCAGCCACGGTTTCCAGAGCTCAAGTTTTTTCCTGCCATAGCAACCGTTGGAGGGTCGTACAATGCACCCCGAGGAAATATCGTGGCTTCCTGGAGAACTGTGGTCTCTTCCCTGTAGAAGGACCCGCTCCTCTTATATCTGAGACAGTGGATCCAAGTCAGGCCCAAGGCTGCGAAGAAGTTCTCGTGCCTCAGCACCCACTGGCTGAGATCCTCGCCTGGCCGGCCCAATGGGCGACAGGGACCTCTTTCGGCAGCCAATGGCGTGGAGGTTTCCGTGCTGCCGGAGGGGGCGGGGTCAGAGGCAAGGCCCTGAGTGTGCAGCCAGCCGGAGCTCCCACGTGAGCAGGCGCAGGAGGTTGAAGATCACGCTGGCTTCGCGACACCGAGGGGAGTCCTGGAGCCAGGGAGGGAGGGCAGCGGGGCTAAGCCAGGCTCTTCCCTCCCGAGAAGACCTCTCCAATCCCGCCGCTCCCAGCCTCAGTGCTGTCCGTGTCAACCTCACTCGGTCCTCCGTGCAGGCTAACCCTGTACTGCCTGCTGCACTCACAGCTCTCCGCGGTTTGTGACGCCTCCTCTGGGCCCCGGGGACCTTCCTGGAGGAGCCTGGCCGTGCCAGCTGGAGGTGGGACGCGAGGCAAATGGAAAAGGCGAAGGACGGAGCCCCTCTCTGCATCTGCCCGAGGCCCTCCCAGCCGCAGACCCGAGCCCGGATTTGAGGACACCCAGAGGACCCGACCTGGGTCTGGATCGGTTTTTCCGCTAAGCAGGACAGATTGGCAAAGCGCTGGGGCTCGCCATGGGCCTGAGGATGCAGAGAAGCTGGCGGGGGCGAGGGGCGGCGGGGCGCGGCCGTCACTCACGCAGGCCGCCACGTCCCTCCCCGCGGCTGCCAGGGGCTCCAGGATCCGGCTGGCGCCGGGAAGCAGCTCCAGGCGGTGCAGGCCGCTGAGCACTGCCTGGGCGTCCGCGATGCTCCTGGCCACGTGGCGGAGCCGAGCGCAGGACTGCGGGGACTAGAGGGCGTTAGAGGGGGCAGCGCCCAGGCCATGCCTCTCCCGTCCGCTTCTGGGCCTCACCGATGGCCGCGGAGGATCCCTCCTGGGGCGGACGGAGCAGTTGCGCGACCTCCAACTCAGCGCCTCTTCCGCCTGCGGGACAAGCGGCGCTTATCGCATACGACTGGGCCCCCTCGCCAGGGCCCCTAACCTCTGCACAGTCTGGGATTCCTGGACGTGGATGGGTACTGGCAGCGTACGGTCGTGCCTGTCGTGTACTGAACCAGGGAGCTCCCCGAAGGCGTGAACCAGGGTTGAATTGCATCCCGCTCTCCCCCGGCATAGCCCTGCGCCCGCGACCTGGAGCCGAGTCCGCCCTGCAGGGCTCCTTTTGTGACTGACCCTGAGCCTGCGTTCGCGCTGACGACGGGGACTGCGGGGATCTCGTGGTGGGAACTGTGGGCTCTGACGTACAAGAGGCGCCTGCTGGGCGCTAGGACGCAGGACCCCTCGGGTCAGCGACGGGTGTGTGGGAACCCGGCGGGGCCAGTGTACCGGGGGGCGCAAGGGCTGGGCGGTCACTCACTTAGCGGTTCCTCAGCGCCTTGACCGCCGCCAGCGTCCGGGGCTCCAGCGAGCGGTAGTGCGAGAGCAGGCAGCGCTGGCGGATCGCCGCGCCCACCGTGCACACGACCCACAGTCCCGCGGCCACCGCGGCCCACACACTCGGTCGCATCTCTGCTCCTGAGGGACGTCAGGGAGGCCAAAGAGAGGGTCCCACGCGTCCAGTCCCCTGCCTTGGGTTAGGCTCACAGGGGAGGCGCAGCACACACAGAGGGAGAGAGAGCGGGAGCCGGCCCCCTCCTCGCCTTGGCCTCTGCCCTCACTTCTCCCTGCAGTGCACCCTCTGTGCCTCGTGCTGCAGCAGGTGCTGCCGGCCACTGTCCCCTGGGGGGCGTCCGGAGCAGTCTCCACCTGGGCAACAGTGCCTCGACGGACCATGCTGGCTTTTATGTGCAGGGCTGAGAGGGTTTGCAGCCGGTCCCCGTCCTGGACAAGATTTCGGAACGTCACTGCTGGCCCCAGCCCTCTGGGATCCCAGTCGGGGTGTGAGGACTTTAACCCACGGTGGGCCTATGCCAGGGACGGCTGGCCTCCAACTCTCTATCCTGAGCCAACTGCCTGTGTCTGTTTTCTGGACATCTGTTTGTCTCTCTTTGCCTCTGTCTGATCTGTCTTCTGTACTCTAGGAATGAACCGAGACACTTTTTCCTTTTCTTTGAAGCTACAGGCTTGGCAGAGCTACCAAATCATTTAAATGCCTGCCATCGGGTGTTCACAACTGGCTTTCCCATGCTGTCTCCTTCATCTTTCTCTGCTTTCTCATTACATTTCTGTTTGTCTGTCCCTGTCTTTGTATCTTTCTTTCCCTTGTCAATGAATGAGAAGAGTCACACTCTAAAAAACACTTGAAGAGATTTATCCTGAGCCAAATATGAGTGACCAATGGCCTGTGACACAGCCCCCAGGAGATCCTGAGAACCATGTGCCCAAGGTTGTCCGGCCACAACTTTTTTTTTTTTTTTTTGACACGGAGTCGCGCTCTATTGCCCAGGCTTGAGTGCACTGGCACGAACTTGTCTCACTGCAACCGCAACCTCCCAGGTTCAAGTGATTCTTCTGCCTCAGCCTCCCAAGTAGTTGGGACTACAGGCGTGCACCACCATGCCCAGCTAACTTTTGCCTTTTTAGTAGAGATGGGGTTTTGCCATGTTGGCCAGGCTGGTGTTGAGCTCCTGACCTCAGGTGATCCGCCCGCCTCAGCCTCCCAAAGTGCTGGGATTACAGGCGTGAGCCACCGCTCCTGGCCCACAACTTGATTTTATACACTTTAGGGAGACATAAGGCATCAACCAATGCACGTAAGATGTACATTAGTTCCATCCAGAAAGGCAGGACAAGTGGAAGCCAGGGTGTGCTTCCAAGTCATAGGGGGATTCAAAGAGTTTCTGATGGGCAATTGGTTGAGTTATTATCAATAGAAAGGAAGGTCTGGGTTACCATAAGGGGTTGTGGAGACCAAGGAAGGAAGGAAGGAAGGAAGGAAGGGAAGAAAATGCAGAGATCTTGTGCACCCTTTACCCAGTTTCTCCTAATGGTAACTAACATCTTACAAACCTCCAGTCCAATACCACAACCAGCATATTGATATTGACACAATCCACCTATCTTATTCAGATATCCTGTTTTACTTACATTGAGTGTGTGTGCAGATGAAGCCTCCAGATAGCAGGCTTCAGAGAAAATAGATTGTAATTTTAAAAAAAATCAGACTTAAAGTTCTCTTCTATCAGTAATTCCAAAAAGCAGGAGGCTATGATGAGGCACGTCCCACTCCCCCTTGCAATTATGGCCCGAACTGGTTTTTCAGGTTAACTTTGGAATGCCCTTGGCGGAGAGGACAGGATCCATTCAGATGGTTGCGGGGGGCCTTAGAATTTTAATTTTGGTTTACACCCTGAATACTCCCCCTTCTCTTCTGTTTTTTTTTTTGTTTGTTTGTTTGTTTGTCTTTTCTTTTCTTTCTTCTTTTTTAGAGACAGGGCTTCACTGTCTCTGGGCCCAGCCTGGAGTGTGGTGGTGAGATGACAGTTCACTGTAACCTCAATCCTGTGGGCTCCAAGGATCTTCCTGCTTCAGCTTTAAGTAGTCCCTAAGCAGCTGGAGCTGCAGGCACCCACCACCATGCCCAGATAATTCTTCTATTTTTTTTTTTGTAGAGATGGGGGTCTCACTCTGTTGCCCAGGCTGGTCTTAAATTCCTGGCCTCGAGCTGTCATCCCACCTTGGCCTCTCAAAGCACTGGGATTACAGGTGTGGGCCACTGCACCTGGCCCCCTCTCTCTGGTTTTTGTTCATCTGTGTCTCAGACGAGCTATCTCTGGCTTTCATATTGTTATATGAATATAATATTTATTTGTTTACCACTTAATAAAGTATTGTTAGTTTGCTGTTGAAAATTGGAATTACAGACATGTTTTTCTCAACTACTGTTTTGTGTGTGTATATATATATATATATAGCTAATATATACTCAGCACTTCCTGGCTCCATTCTAAGCTCTTCTCATGTAAATATCTGTTTTTTTTTTTTTCTCCCCAGCAACTGTTAGGTAGTTGACTGGTTATTGGCTGACATTTTGTAGAAGAAAGAACGGTGGCACAGAGAGGTTATGAATGAAACACGAGCTCACACAGCTTGTAGGTGTGAAATGGGGATTTGATCCCAGGCTCCCTGGGTTATTATTGGCAATACTCTGCCATCTCTCATCTGTATGACTGATCTATCCCATACAGAATAGCCTACATATGTTTTTTGTTTGTTTTTGAGATACAGTCTCGCTCTGTTCCCAGGCTGGAGTGCAGTGGTATGATCACAGCTCACTGTAGCCTCAACCTCCTGGGCTCAAGCGATCCTCCCACGTAGCTGAGACTATAGGCATGCACCACCATGCCAGCTAGTGTTTAAATTTTTTGTAGAGACAGGATCTCAGTATGTTGCCCAGGCTGGTCCAAACTCTTGGCCTCAAGCGATCCTCCTGCCTTGGCCTCCCAAAGTGTTGGGATTACAAGTGTGAGCCACTGCACCCAGCCCTAGGTATGTTTTGAGTAAGTCAGGCACGCTTCCTACTTGAGACCACTTTTAATTAATTCTAATTAGGTTTATATAAATATTGATAATTATGGGTAAGTAGTGACTGTTTTTCATGGTTATATGTCTTCCTCAGCATGAGTATGAGAAAATTATTTTATGGTTTGCCAGTGCATATTTTCCTATTCAAAGGCATAGAGGTTTTAAGAACCAGCAAAGCCTGGCCAACATGGTGAAACCCCGTCTCTACTAAAAATAAAAAAATTAGCTGGTCAGGTGGCACGTACCTGTAATCCCAGCTACTCAGGGGACTGAGGCAGGAGAACTGCCTGATCCAGGGATGGGGAGGTTGCAGTGAGCCGAGATTGTGCCACTGCACTCCAGCCTGGGTGGCAGAGAGAGACCCTGTCTCAAAAAAAAAAAAAAAAAAAAGATTTCAAAAAGTGTCCATGGAATATAATTTCCAAGCTTCTATCACCTCTCCCCAGTCTTTCCTGAGATCCCCCATTTCAGTTGGGGAGCTAAATAGTTTTGGGAAGATGATTTAGCCCCCTCCCCATCCCTGGGATGGGGTATGTGATCTGGCTGTAGCCATTTACATCAGTTTGTCTTCTTAGCCACAGTGATTGGGTTTGTGGTGGGCATGTGACCTAATCCAGTTCAATCAGAATGATCTTCGGTCCTGAACATCTTGGGAAAAAGATGCTGTTTTTTTGTTTTTTTTTTTTATCTACTGAAGAAAAATAAAACCTGAAGCCTGAAGCCTGGGATGCTGCTAGACCCATGTTGGATTTACAAGAGTAAACAGGCTTCTCATCAGCATAAGGGAGACCTGAAATATTTAAAAACAAACAAGCAAACAAACTGAGGCTGGGTGCCGTGGCTCATGCCTGTAACCTCAGAACTTTGGGGCCGAGGCAGGCAGATCACCTGAGGTTAGGAGTTCGAGACAGGCCTGGCCAACATGGTGAAACCCCGTCTCTACTAAAAATACAAAAATTAGCCAGGCATGGTGATGTGCACCTGTAACCCCAGCTACTCAGGGAGCTGAGGCAGGAGAGTTGCTTGAACCCTAGAGGCGGAGGTTGCAGTGAGCCGAGATCATGCCACTGCACTCCAGCCTGTGTGACTGAGTGAGACTCCATCTCAAAAAACAAACAAACAAACAAACAGACAACTAACCAACTGGGAGGTTACTCATGTCTTAAGCTGCTAGATCAAACTTAACCTGAAGCCTCACCACTAACCCTAGGCTTCTCAGTTTTGTAAGCTCAAAAATTCTCCAGTGTTCAAGCCAGCATGAGTTGAGTTTTTGGTTATTTACAACCAAAAGTGTCCTAACTGATAGATACCATGAGGCCGAAATAAAATTATATATGTCCAAAGACTGAAGAACTAGAAGGAAAATTAGTAATGGCAGAAAGAACGGAGTGTCATAGATTGGTTGGAGGAAAGCGCCAGATGCAAATTATTGACAATCAGTGATCCAGCTCTGACCACCACAGAGCAGGTTATGTGCAATAAAAAATTCAATTTAATGCTGTCCCAATAGAAATGTGTCTTGTGATCCACTGCTTGAGACCCCTAGTCTGTTAGAAACACTACTTCAGGAATTTAAGAAATAATAAAAAGCTTTGGAGAACATTTATTTGTGAGTATAACTCAAAAATGATCTAGGAACTGGATCACTCATACATTGCTGGTGGGAATGGAAAAATGGTGCAGCCATTCTGAAACACAGTTCAGTAGTTTCCTGTAAAACTAAATATGCAACTCCTAGTTGGCCCAGAATGGTATGCCTGGATATTTATTCCAGAGAAATGGAAACCTATGTCCATGCAATAACATAGTTATTTGCTTTGCAAATGATCACAGCAACTTTATTTGTAATAGCCCAAACTACAAAGCCCAGTTGTCCTCCAAAAGGTGCATGATTACACAAATTCTGGCAAATATATACCATCAAATAGGAATGAACTATTGATACATGCAACAACTTGGATGAATATCCAGAGAATTATGCTGAGTGAAAAAAGCCCATCCCAGAAGGTTACATACTACTTCATTATCATACACACACACACACACACACACACACACACACACACACACACACATTTTTTAAAGTTGAGAGTCTTGCCCTGTCACCTAGGCTGGAGTGCAGTTGCAAAATCATGGCTCACTTCAGCCTTGACCTCCTGGGCTCAAGCAATCCTCTCACTTCAGCCTCCAGAGTAGCTGAGACCACAGGCACATGCTGTGGGCGGCAAGCCATCCAGGTGCCGAGGCAAGAGGCTGAAGGCACAAGCTGTTCCAGTATAATAAAGAAAATAATTATAATAAGAAAAGTTATACTAGAAATAGGATATAGATATGATTATATATGAATATTATCAATCATTAGTTTGTAGTATTACTCTTTGTTTTATTATTATAGTAATTTCTGTTTTATAATTATAACCTAGGAGAAAACAGGCCGTACAGAGTCAGGGCTAAAGGGACACTGTGAGAGGTGACCAAAAGACAAGAGTGTGAGCCCTCTGTCACGCCCGGATAAAGGCCGTTTGAGGGCTCCTTGGTCTAGCGGTAGCGCCAGTGCCTGGGAGAGCACCCGTTACTTAGCAGACCGGGAAAGGGAGTCTCCCTTTCCCTGGGGGAGTTAGAGAACACTCTGCTCCACCAGCTCTTGTGGGAGGCCTGACATTAGCCAGGCCTGCCCGCAGTCATCTGGAGGCTTAAACGTCTCCCCATGGTGCTGTGCTTCAACGGTCACGCTCCTTGTCCACTTTCATGTTCCGCCTGTACACCTGGCTCCTCTTTTTGAGTTCTTAGAAGATAACAGTAACAGAATTAGTGAAAGTATTAAAGTCTTTGATCTTTCTGATAAGTGCATAGAAAAAATGCTGACGTATGCTGTCCTCCCTCTCCGCCTCAGCTACCACAAAGGGAAAGGCCCCCTGTCATGTGGACACGTGACTCACGTGACCTTATCAATCACTTGACATGACTCATACTCCTTACCCTGCCTCCTTGCCTTGTATACAATAAATAGCAGTGCGTCCAGGCATTTGAGGCCACTACCAGACTCCGCACATTGGTGGCAGTGGTCCCCTGGGCCCAGTTGTCTTTCCTTCTATCTCTTTGTCTCGTGTTTTTATTTTCCTACAATCTCTCGTCTCTGCACACAAAGAAAAAACCCACAGGCCATTGGGGCTAGACTCTACAACATGCCACCGTGCCTGGCTAATTTTTGTATTTTTTGTAGAGACAGGGTTGCCCTATATTGTCCAGGCTGGTCTCAAATTCCTGGGCTCTAAGTGATCCTCCCACCTCAGCCTTCCAAAGTGCTGGGACTACAGGCATGAGCCACTGCACCTGGGCTATATAACATTTTTCAAATGAGAAAAATTTGAAAGTGGAGAATAAATTAGTTGTTTCAAGGAGTTAGGGAAAGATGGTGGAGGGAGGAAGGTGGGTGTGGTTATAAAAAAGGGCCAGGTGCGGTGGCTCACGCCTGTAATCCCAGCACTTTGGGAGGCCGAGGCAGGCAGATCACGAGGTCAGGAGATCAAGGCAATCCTGGCTAACACGGTGAAACCCCGTCTCTACTAAAAAAAAAATACCAAAAATTAGCCAGGCGTGGCGGCGGGCATCTGTAGTCCCAGCTACTCTGGAGGCTGAGGCAGGAGCATGGTGTGAACCTGAGAGGTGGAGGTTGCAGTGAGCTGAGATCTCGCCACTGCACTCCAGCCTGGCGACAGAGCAAGACTCTGTCTCAAAAAAAAAAAAAAAAAAAAAGATGGCATGGCCCCAAGGATATTCATGGTGATGGAACTCTTCTGTCTTTACTGTGGTGATGCATACATGAACCTAAGCATGTGATGAAATTATATAACTAAATTGTATACAGTAAACTGTATGACTAAACACACACACAAGAATACACAAACACACTCAATGCAAGTAAAACTGGGGATATTTGAATAAGATGGGTGGACTGTATTAATGTCAATATCCGGCTGCGGTATTGGACTAGCATTTTGTAAGATATTACCATTGGGGGAAACTGGATAAAGGGTGCACAGAATCTCTAATATTTCTTTCTTTCTTTTTCTTTTTGAGACAGGGTCTCGCTCTGTCACCATGCTGGAGTGCAGTGGCACCATCACGGCTCACTGCAGCCTCCACCTCCCAGGCTCAAGTGATCCTCCCACCTCAGGCCCCTGAGTAGTTGAAACTACAGGTGGGTGCCACCACACCCAGCTAATTTTTATATCTTGTGTGTGGAGATGGGCTCTTGCTATGTTGCCCAGGCTGGTCTTGAACTCCTGGACTCAAACAATCCTCCTGCCTTGGCCTCCCAAATTGTTGGGATCATAGGCATGAGCCACCAAGCCTAGCCTGAATTTTTGCTTATAGCAGCATGTGAGTCTTTAATGACCTCAGTCTCAAACATTTCTATTAAGAAAACTCAGGGGAAAAAAAATAGAAATCTTCAGGAAGTAGATGACCTACTTGAACATTTAAGCACGGGAAAAGTGGGCAGGGTTAAGGAAGACACAAGAGGTGGTGGTGCACCCAGAGGCAAGTAACAGGGGGAGCTGTTAGCACTCCTAGGCATGACAGGACAAAGACTGTGGCTGTAGATAGAGGATCACGGCCACTGTCTAACTCCAGACTTGCAGGGGGCAGCCAGCAAATAGGAGAATAAACACCCCCACCTTGCTCTCTGCCCTCCCTCAATCTCCTGCCAGCACCTCCACTGGCTAAACACCAACCATAAGCAAGAGGGCAGGCAAGCCTCAGAGGTGCAGATCAGGAGGGGTCAGTGAACACCCACACAGCAGCAAAGTGGCAGAGGATAAGGACAACGTTTTACAAAGCCATTATCAGAAGCTCTAGAGGCCAGTCTCTCCTGGTGCAGGGACTCTCACACCTGTAATCCCAGCACTTTGGGAGGCCAAGGTGGGTGGATCACTTGAGGTCAGGAGTGCCAGGCCAGCCTGGCCAACATGGCGAAACCCCGTCTCTGCTAAAAACACAAAAATTAGCTAGGTGTGATGGTGGGTGCCTGTAATCCTAGCTACTTGGGAGGCTGAGGTAGCAGGATTGCTTGTACCTGGGATGCAGTAAGCTGAGATTTCACCACTGAGTTCCATCCTGGGTGACACAGCGAGACTCTGTCTCAAAAAAACAAAAAGAGAAGCTCTAGAAATTGGATTAATGTACTTTTTAAGAAAGTCTCACAAATGATCTACCCGACCAGCAACTGAAGAAGCAGTGAGCTACCATTTCCCTCATATCCAGTGAGTTTGTTTGTTTTACTGTTTAGTTAGGCAGAATTCATTCTCCTTGTAAGAAATTAAAATACGGCCAGGCGCAGTGGCTCATGCCTGTAATCCCAGTGCTTTGGGAGGCTGAGGCAGGCAGATTGCCTGAGGTCAGGAGTTCGAGACCAGCCTGGCCAACGTGGTGAAACCCCATCTGTACTAAAAATACAAAAATTAGCCAGGTGTGGTGGCTAATTTTTACAGACACCTGTAATCCCAGCTACTTGGGAGGCTGAGGCAGGATAATCGCTTGAACCTGGGAGGCGGAGGTTGCGGTGAGCGAAGATCATGCCGCTGCACGGCAGCCTGAACGACAGAGCAAGACTCCGTCTCAAAAAAAAAAAAAAAAAAAAAGAAATTAAAATATTGCTAATACATTTAAATATTCCAGTGATCATCTCCTCAGTTCCCATGCTCTCTCCAGTGATAAATAACTCACTATTAATCAGTTTGGGACATATCCTTGCACACTTTTTTATACATTTCTAAACATTTTATATATTATCCATATTTTATATATTTGCATAATGCATGTATAGCTCCCAAGGAAATATGTCTGTATGATTTAGGAAATCATATTTAGGAAATCATATTTAGGAAATCATATTTAGGAATCATATTCCTAAATCATATTTAGGAAATCATGATTTAGGAAATCATATTTCCCAAGGAAATATGTCTGTATGATTGCTTTAATTAGAGTTTTTACTTTGACATAATTGTGGATTCACGTGCAATTGTAAGAAATAATGCAAAGAGATAGGTTCTTGGGAGGTGCAGGGAGGTGGGCGCGGGTCCCAGTGGTCATGGGGTCAGCGGCCTTGGGTCTGTTGGAGGGGGCAAGTGCACAGTGGTCCTGGCGGCGCCATGTCATTCTGCAGCTTCTTCGGGGGCAAGGTTTTCCAGAATCACTTTGAGCCAGGCGTCTATATGTGTGCCAAGTGTGGCTATGAGCTGTTTCCCAGCCGCTCAAAGTACACATACTCATTCCCCTGGCCGGTGTTCACCAAGACCATCCGTTCTGACAGCGTGGCCAAGCGCCCAGAGCACAATCATCCTGAAGTCTTGAAGGTGTCTCGTGCAAGTGTGGCAACACGTTGAGCCACAAGTTCCTGAACGATGGCCCCAAGCTGCGGCAGTCCCGATTCTGAATGAATATTCAGCAGCTCGCTGAAGTTTGTCCCTAAAGGCAAAGAAACTTCTGCTTCCCAGGCGCACTAGGCGGGCAGCCCACACCGACCCCAGATGGCCACGGCACTAAGGCCACACACTGGCCATTCTACCATGGAATTCGAGACCTGGACATTGAGACAGGAAGGCAGGGCACAATGGCTGAAACATCAAGGCTCCCAAGGCCGCAGCTCTGAACAAGATCTTGTTTCTTGGAAAAGTCACTTATTTGCTGATGGTTCCTGCCTTCTGCTAGGACAGGCTTGGGCTGTGTGGCCACACTGTCGGCTGACTTAGCCTCCTGCTCACCTGATAAGGCATCTCAGGGGTGTGGTCTGGGCGTGGCTGGTCTTTGAATGATGTTACGCCCGACCTTCGACCTTTCCTTCCCGGTCCTGCCTCTGGACTCACCCCTGTGGGGCCCAATTTCAAGACAGACTCTCATCCTCACCAAAGCTTAGGCCCACATCTCCCAGGCTGCTTACGAGACAGAATGGAAATGGAGGCTGCCCTTGACAGCTGCCCCGGCTCTGGTCGCCACATGATCCGCTGTGGTTAAACCCTTCCAGACCAGCCAGGTGATGATGGTCCGTGACCCACCAGGAAAGCAGGCTGATGGGGCAGACCCCTGGCCTCTTGTCCAAGAGGGGAGAAACCTAAACCCTGTTTCACAACCTGCGCAGAAGTAGCTTGGGTCACTCGGGCTTAGGAAAGCGGCTGTTGCTTCATTACTTTACCCAGCATGGGGCTGGGGGCCTGCAGTTCACCTGCAGAGAGCTCCCCAAGATATGACTGTGTGTCTTACTGTACATGCTCGGAGGTCTTCCCACAGGTGAAGGTGGGCGATGCTGAAATCACCCCCCCACCCATCTTAAGCATCTTAAGTAATTACCTTCTGGAGTAATCAGGCGGAAATCAATAAACAAATGAAACGTGCAAAAAAAAAAAAAAAAAAAAGAATGCAAAGAGTTACTGTGTACCCTTTACCCAGTTTCCCCCAATGGTAACATCTTGCGAAAACCATGGTATTATATCACATAGAGAATATTGACATTGTGTATTAGTCCATTCTTATACTGCTATGAAGATGCTACCTGAGACTGGGTAATTTATAAAGGAAAGAGGTTTAATTGACTCGCAGTTCTGCATGGTTGGGGAGGCCTCAGGAAATTTACAATTATGATGGAAGGGAAAGCAGGCACCTCTTACATGGTGGCAGGAGAGAGAGACAGTGAAAGAAGGAGGAACTTCCAAATACTTAAAACACCATCAGATCTCGTGAGAACTCACTCACTATCACAAGGACAGCATGGGGGAACCACCCCCATGATCAGATCCAATCACTTCCCACCAGGTCTGTCCCTCAACACCTGGGGATTACAATTCAAGATGAGATTTAGGTGGGCACCCAAAGCCTAACCATATCACATTGATACAGACAAGATACAAAACACTCCATACCACAAGATCCCTTGTGTTGCCCTTTCAGTAGCCACGTCCACTCCTCTCCCATCCGACCCCTTCCTTAACCTCTGTCAACCACTAATCTGCTCTCCATTTCTATAATTTTGTCATCTCAAGAATGTTGGAATGGAAACATACCAGCCTGGCCAACAAAGTGAGACTGCATCTCTGGGGAAAAAAAGAAAAGTTAGCTGGGCCTGGTGGCACGTGCCTACTACAGGTAGCTGGCGCCCCAGCTACTTGTGAGGCTGGGGTGGGAGGATGGCTTGAGCCTGGGTGATGGAGGCTGCAGTGAGTGGCGATTGTGCCACTACTATGCTCCAGCTTGGGCTACAGACTGAGACCATGTCCAAAAAAACAAAAACAAAAAGCAACCTCTGCTCTGCAAAAGACACTGTTGAGGAAATGAAAAACCTGCCACCCTACCAATCAGGGGTTGGTTATTAAATGATCCTGCTGGAATGGAAGCTCTAATAGTGGTGTGGGGGTGGGGGATGTCTTCCGTTTGCCCCTCCTTATCTACTGTCCCTGCTTCTCCAACCTACTCTGGGCCCCAGGTAGAGGGGAGAGGAGGTCAGGTGTTTTTTCCCCAGGGCTCCTCCCTGTGCTGGGCCACCACAATTCATCTGTTTCCTCCACAAATCTAAGTGACTCTCTCCTCCCCAAGTCAGGCAACCACATGCACACCCTCAACCCTCTCCCCTTCCTTTAGGCCTGTGGATGAGGCCCCTCACCCATGCTGGCCCCAGGAGCTTGCACTAGCTCTTGTCATTTGCCTTTACTATCCAATCGCTTTATAAAGGCTTCTGGTATCAACCCCACCTCAAATTATCCTAAATTGACGGGCCATCTGTTTCCTGCTGGGCCCTAACTGATACGCTATAATTAAAGATGTGGGAGAATGCAAATGAGAGATAATGGTAAGACATAAAAAGCCAGCTACCAAACTGTATACAGCATGGTTCCAATTTGGGTGAAATTGCTCACAGAAAGGAAAACAAAAGGAGGAACAGTGACAAATTGTTAAAAAATATTTACCTCCAGGAGGTGAAATACAAGACTTACTTTAACTCTCCATGTTGTATGTTTTTGTATGGATGGAATCTTTTACAAGGAACAAGTGTTACTTTGGTAGTCAGAAAACATATGCACAAATAAACACATGGAAAATTCCTATGTATTGGGACGATTTGTTCCAGAAGTGGGATGAGGGATGAGAGGAGGATGGTGAAGTTATAGGTGATGTTTTTTTTCTTTTATGTTTTTGTGTATTTTTCAAGCTTTATCCACTGAACATGCATGGCTAATTTTATCAGAAAAAGAAGTAGATTTTATGTTTAAACAAAAAGAGATTGATTGAGACAGACAGAGCGACCTGGGGCAGGATGCTTGTTGGAAAAATGAATAAGAAAGATGGAGTCACGCCAGAGACAGAGACAGGAACAGAGAGAGAGAGAGAAAGAGAAAGCAAGACACAGGAGGAGACGCTGAAAAAGATAAGGGCAGTTATGGCATAGAGAACAAGCTTTGAAACTGCAGAGTGTGTGGGTTCAAACCCCACCTCTGCCATTTATTAGCTGTGTATCTTGGAACAGTTCCTTTACTTTCCTGGGCCTCAGTTTTCCATCTGTAAAATAAGGTAATAGAACCTCCCTTTTGTGTCTTTTTTTTTTTTTGAGACGGAGTTTCACTTTTGTTGCCCAGGCTGGAGTGCAATGGCGTGATCTCGGCTCACTGCAACCTCCGCCTCCCGGGTTCAAGTGATTCTCCTGCCTCAGCCTCCCGAATAGCTGGGATTAAAGGCATGCACTACCATGCCTGGCTAATTTTGTATTTTTAGTAGAGATGGGGTTTCTCCATGTTGGTCAGGCTGCTCTCGAACTCCTGACCTCAGGTGATCTGCCCACCTCGGCCTCCCAAAGTGCTGGGATTACAGGCATGAGCGACTGTGCCTGGTTTGTGTCTTTTTTTTTTTTTTTTTTTTTGAGACAGTCTCTCACTCTGTCGCCCAGGCTGGAGTGCCGTGGCACAATCACAGCTCACTGCAGCCTCAACCTCCCAGACTCAAGGGATCCTTTCATCTCAGCCCCATGAGTAGCTGGGACTACAGGTGTGTGCCACTGTCAGAGGCATTTGAACCAGAGCGACTCCATCTTGAGTGAGGGCTAGGAAAAAGGAGGCTGGGACCTGCTGAGCTGCATTTCCAGGAAGTTAGGCATTCCTAGCCTCTAGATGTTTACTGTTAATGGAACAGATTGATAACATTTACTAAAGAGACTCAGGCTCAGGAATGTCCTGAAATCTCGGTATCTTGAGAACAGAAGCATTCTTCATCAGAAGCATTCCTCGTTTTGCTTTAAAGATAGTAATATCGGTTTTTGCAAAATATGATAATTAAGAAATTTAATCCTTTGTCACAAACCCTGGTAGCAGAGCACATCTCCCCATGATATTTTTTGTTATAAACAAGCATTGTACCTAGGGTGGGCCCATTCCTCCTCTTATTTTCAGGAACACCCTACTCTGTCTATGGAGTAGCTATTCCTTCGCCACTTTGCTTATTTTTTTCTCGCTCTGTCACCCAGGCTGGAGTGCAGTGGCGCAACCTTGGCTCACTGCAATTCTCCTGCCTCAGCCTTCCAAGTAGCTGGAACTACAGGTGTGCACCACCACACCCGGCTAATTTTTTTGTATTTCTAGTAGAGACAGGGTTTTGCCATGTTGGTCAGGCTGGTATTGAACTCCTGACCTCAAGTGATCCACCTGCCTCGGCCTCCCAAAGTGCTGGGATTACAGGTGTGAGCCACTGCACCCAGCCACCACTTTACTTTTTAAAATAAACTTGCTTTTGCTTTGCACTGTGGACTCGCCCCAAATTCTTTCTTGCACAAGATCTAAGAACCCTCTCTTGGGGTCTGGATCAGGATGCTTTTCCAGTAACACCACCATGCCCAGCTAATTTTTAAATCCCTTACTTTTTGTAGAGACAGGGTCTCACTATATTGCCCAGGCTGGTCTCGAACTCCTGGGCTCAAACAATCCTCCCTCCTCAGCCTCCCAACATGCTGGGATTACAGGCCTGAGCCACTGTACCCGGGCTTGTGTCATTTTTGACAATGAAATTGTCACCTGTAAATGCAGTTCTTTCCCTACTCTGCATTGGTTGCAAAGAAAGAACACCCAATTGGAAACAAAAAGGCAAGCAGGTTTTATTCCTAGCTAGGATGGGGAAGGAGAGAACTCTTGCTCTAAAGACACCTTATTGCTGGGCGAGCTCATGCCTGTAATCCCAGCACTTTGGGAGGCCAAGGCGGGCGGATCACCTGAAGTCAGGAGTTTGAGGCCAGCTTGGCCAACATGGTGAAACCCCATCTCTACTAAAACTACAAAAAACTAGCCAGGCATGGTGGCATGTGCCTGTAATCCCAGCTACTCAGGAGGCTGAGACAGGAGAATTGCTTGAACCCGGGAGGTGGAGGTTGCAGTGAGCCGAGATCACGCCACTGCACTCCAGCTTGGGCAACAAGGGTGAAACTCCATCTCAAAAAAAACAAAAAACAAAAAACACCTTATCGCCCAGCTGTGGGGAGCTGGGAAATTTTAAGGAGTTAGCTGTGGGGTGGGGAGGTATGTAAGCATGCGCAGAGAGCAACTCCAGACGCAGGTGCAGATCATAAGCATGCCTCTTCATATGATGTATGTTCAGCAAATGGTGAGCGTATTTTCCTCCATGGGTAGGGAGTTTACCATGATAATTATATATTAATGATCTAAAGGTAACCGTGGGTCACTGTGTCTGGTTTGCACTTGTTTTGCCCCAGCCTTTTCTTCCTCCAGTAATAAGCAAAGGAAGCGTCCTGAAGCTCGTGTGGCCTTTCGGGCATCTGCAGTTCTTTTAATCAATGCACCCATAGATAAAGAGACTAGAAAAAAACGGTTTAAGAAAATAATGAGGCCAGGTGCAATGGATCATGCCTGTAATCCAAGAATTTTGGGAGGCTGAGGCGGGCAGATGTCTTGAGCTCAGGCGTTAGAGACCAACCTGGGCAACATGGCGAAACCAGGTTGCTACAAAAAATGGTGGTGGCACCCACCGGTAGTCCCAGCTACTATGGAGAATGAGGTGGGAGGATTGCTTGAGCCTGGGAGGTTGAGTCTGAAGTGAGCTGTGACTGCACCACTACTACAGGCTGGGCAACAAAGCAAGACTCTGTCTCTGAAATAAAATAAAATAAAATAAAATAAATTAAGCGTTCTCTTTCTCAGCTACACCTCCAGGGCTGCCCTGGTACAAAAATGAGATGATATGTCTGTGTCAATTACATAGAAGAGAGCCTGATGCACAGTCAACACTACACAAGGGCTGGTTGTGATTGCAGAACGAAGATAAAGACAACCAGGGTGAAGCAAAGAAAGAGGAAACAGACAGTAGAAACAGGGACAGAGACAATTTGGAAACCGAGTGTTGGAGGGCAGCCATCCCGGGCACAGGCCAACCTCGGGTTGAAGTCCTCACACCCGACTGGGATCCCAGAGGCCTGGGGCCAGCTCTGATGTTGGGAAAGCTTGCCCTGGACGGGAAAGCCCGGCTGCAAACCCCATTCTCAGCCCTGCGCATAAAAGCCAGCATGGACCGTCGAGGCACTGTTGCCCAGGTGGAGACGGCTCTGGACGCCTCCCAGGGGACAGTGGACGGCAGCACCTGCTGCAGCACGAGGCACAGAGGGTGCACTGCAGACAGGAGTGAGGGCAGAGGCCAAGGCGAGGAGGGGGCCGGCTCCCACTCTCTCTCCCACTGTGTGTGCTGTGCCTTCACGCTCCGAGCATTGCCTTCCCTGGGATCCTAACCCAAGGCGGGGGGCTGGACGCGCTGGACCCTCTCTTTGGCTTCCCTGACGTCTCTCGCCTGCTGCAGAAGCAGAGATGCGGCCGAGTGTCTGGGCCGCAGTGGCCGCGGGGCTGTGGGTCCTGTGCACGGTGATCGCAGAAGGCCCCCCGGCGCTGCCTGCTCTCGCACTACCGCTCGCTGGAGCCCCGGACGCTGGCGGCTGCCAAGGCGCTGAGGGACCGCTACGTAAGTCACCGCCCAGCCCCTGTGCCCCCTGGGACCCTGGCCCCACCGGGTTCCCATACACCCGTTCCTGTCCCAAGGGGTCCTGCGTCCTAGCGCCCAGCAGGCGCCTCTCCTATGTCAGCGCCCACAATTCCCACCACGAGACCCCCGCAGTCCCCGTCGTCAGCGCGAACGCAGGCTCAGGGTCAATCACAGAAGGGAGCCCTGCCGGGAGGACTCGGCTCCAGGTCGGGGCGAGGGGCTTTGCTGGGGGAGCGCGGAGTGCAATTCAACCCTGGTTCGCGCCTTCGGGGAGCTCCCTGGTTCAGTACACGACAGGCACGACCGTGCGCTGCCAGTACCCATCCACGTCCAGGAATCCCAGACTGTGCAGAGGTTAGGGGCCCTGGCGAGGGGGCCTAGCCGTATGCGATAAGCGCCGCTTGTCCCGCAGGAGGAAGAGGCGCTGAGCTGGGGGCAGCGCAACTGCTCCTTCCGCCCCAGGAGGGATCCTCCGCGGCCATCGGTGAGGCCCGGGAGTGGGCGGGAGAGGCATGGCCCGGGCGCGGCCCGCTCTAACGCCCTCTCGTCCCCGCAGTCCTGCGCTCGGCTCCGCCACGTGGCCCGGGGCATCGCGGACGCCCAGGCAGTGCTCAGCGGCCTGCACCGCTCGGAGCTGCTCCCCGGCGCCGGCCCGATCCTGGAGCTGCTGGCGGCCGCGGGGAGGGATGTGGCGGCCTGCGTGAGTGACGGCCGCGCCCCGCCGCCCCTCTCCCCCGCCAGCTTCTCTGCATCCTCAGGCCCACGGCGAGCCCCAGCGCTTTGCCAATCTGTCCTGCTTAGCGGAAAAACCCATCCAGACCGGAGTCGGGTCCTCTGGGTGTCCTGAAATCCGGGCTCGAGTCTGCGGCTGGGAGGGCCACGGGCAGATGCAGAGAGGGGCTTCGTCCTTCGCCTTTTCCATTTGCCTCATGTCCCACCTCCAGCTTGAGCTGGCACGGCCAGGCTCCTCCAGGAAGGTCCCCGGGGCCCAGAAGAGGCGTCACAAACCCCGGAGAGCGGTGAGTGCAACAGGCAATACAGGGTTAGCCCGCAGGGAGGACCAGGCGAGGCTGACAAGGACGGGACTGAGGCTGCGAGCAGCGGGACTGGAGGGGGATTCCGGGGGCGGGGGGAAGAGCCTGGCTTAGCCCCGCTGCCCTCCCTCCCTGGCTCCAGGACTCGCCTCGGTGCCGCAAAGCCAGCGTGGTCTTCAACCTCCTGCGCCTGCTCACGTGGGAGCTCCGGCTGGCTGCACACTCTGGGCCTTGCCTCTGACCCCGCCCCCTCTGGCAGCACGGAAACCTCCACGCCATTGGCTGCCGAAAGCAGCTCCTGTCGTCCATTGGGCTGGCCGGGCGAGGCTCTCAGTCAATGGGTGCTGAGGCACGAAAACTTCTTCGCAGCCTTGGGCCTGACTTGGATCCACTGTCTCAGATATAAGAGGAGCGGGTCCTTCTACAGGGAAGAGACCACAGTTCTCCAGGAAGCCACGATATTTCCTCGGGGTGCATTGTACGACCCTCCAACGGTTGCTGTGGCAGGAAAAAACTTGAGCTCTGGAAACCGTGGCTGACCCCAGGCAACAGGGACCAGTTCCTCCTTGTGTGGTTACCAGGACACCCCCAACACCAGGTCCTAACCCCGGATTTGTAGCCCCACAGCCAGCTTTGAGATTCTGTGAATCCGTGACTCTTGGATCCGGCATCTAAGGGACACCAATCCATGAGGGATTTGGTAGTGAAAGGCCCAAGGGTCCTTAACCGACTGTGGTTCTTTGGATTCCCTTACGTGTGTTTGTATTTGTGAAGTTCCTGTGCATTTGCTATTCTGTCTCCCGGTTTAAATTTATTGCCAGTTATCAAAGAGTGTTTTGATCGCATTGGTTGTTTTCCGTATGATGATTGTGAGGTGCACCTTACAGCAAAAAAAGAGGCCGAGCCAGGGACTCAGGTGGCCTGAGTTTCAGTTCTGACCCTGCCAGTTAATTACAGTGGAATTCAGGGCAAATTACTTTTCTGAGCCTCTGTTTCCTCACCTATAGGATGGGTTAGCATACTTGCCTTGTGGAGGAGTAGTGTCCGTTGAGATCACGTTTTAAACTCTCCAGCTGAGGTCCTAGTATGGTCTTAATGAGTGGATTCTATTAAATAATCACTCACATAAATACACAAACAATTGTGTTATTAATTTTTTCTCCAAATCTGTGCATTAGCAATCTGCGTTGCTGAATGCACCCCTCCTTGCCAAGGTCACACGGCTAGTGAGGGTCAGAACCAGGTTTGAACCCCAGACCCTTCATCTCCAAGACCCATGCTCTTCACCACTGCCTGAACTTCCCTAAGAAAGACGGCACCCACGTGGTGTCCTTCAAGTCCTTCGTCACACCTCAATTCTTGAGCAGAGCCTCATATTCCTGAGTCCTTCCTTGCCTGGGCAATTAAGAAATATTGGCCTCTGGGCATGGTGGCTCACACTGAAATCCCAGCAATTTGGGAGGCCTAGACAGAGAGATGACTTGACATCAGGAATTTGAGACCAGCCTTGCCAACATGGTGAAACGCCATCTCTACTAAAAATATAAAAATTAGCTGGGAATGGTGGCACAAATCTGTAATCTCAGCTACTTGGGAGGCTAAGGCAAGAGAATTGCTTGAACCCAGGAGGCGGAGGTTGCAGTTAGCCAAGATTTTGCACTGCACTCCAGCCTGGGTGACCGAACAAGACCCTGTCTCAAAATATATATATATATATATATATATATATGCCAGGAGTGGTGGCTCAGGCCTGTAATCTCAGCACTTTAATAGGCTGGGTGAGGAGGATGGCTTGAGCCCAGGAGTTTGAGGCTGCAGTGAGCTGTGATCATGCCATTGCACTGCAGTGACAGAGTGAGACCCTGTCTTAAACAACAACAAAACCAGAGCAGGTGGAATCCTCTTGGGAACATACCTTCCTGTAGGTTACCCCTGAGTCTCCATCAGTTTCTCTTTCCCTCCAGCTGCTCATCTGGCTCACTAGCCCTGCCCTGCTCTGGGCTTTCCCAGCCTGGGGCTCCCCTGGTGGCCGGTGTCTTACCTGAGGCTGTGTTTTCACTTTTCCTACATCAGCTGGGACTGCCCTTCTGTCAGGGATAAAAGCTGCCCCATGGAGCTCAGGCAGGAATTACATCCCAGACAGAGCTCAAAACTGACAGAAAGAGTCAAAGCCAGGACACAGTCTGAGATCCAGAAGAGGGGACTGAAAAGAACAGAGACTCCAGACAAGACCCAAACAGACCCTGGGTGACAGCCTCAGAGTGTTTCTTCTGCTGACAAAGACCAGAGATCAGGAATGAAACTAGGTGAGTCCCACATCTCTGTCCGTGCTCAGCTCCTGCAGCCCCTGCCCTCAGTGGGCAGCCTCTGCATTCCCTCAGCTCCCTTTCTCTCTGTGACACAGACATGACCGGGGACTGCATGCCAGTGCTGGTGCTGATGGCCGCAGTGCTGACCGTGACTGGAGCAGTTCCTGTCGCCAGGCTCCGCGGGGCTCTCCCGGATGCAAGGGGCTGCCACATAGCCCAGTTCAAGTCCCTGTCTCCACAGGAGCTGCAGGCCTTTAAGAGGGCCAAAGATGCCTTAGTGAGTCTCCCCCTGCCCTCCTGCCATGGACTAGCCTCCACCCGCACTCCAAGGGTCACCATGCTTTCCCACTCCCAGCTTCCTTCACTGGGCTAGCCTCCACCCTCCCTGCAGTGGGCTATCTCATGCTCCTACTGCAGGGACTGACTCATGTTTTCCTGAAGAAGAGGGTCCTCTACCATCCTCCCAGCAGTTAACCTCCCCTATCCTGTTGTCAGCCATCCTCCAATCCCATCAGAGTGGTCTAACCTCCACCCCTCCTGCTGGGGCTAACCTGTGCCTTTGCTGTCTAGGAAGAGTCGCTTCTGCTGAAGGACTGCAAGTGCCGCTCCCGCCTCTTCCCCAGGACCTGGGACCTGAGGCAGCTGCAGGTGAGAGGGGGAGTCAGGCCCACCCCTGCCCTCCCAGCCCTGCTCACCTGGCTCTGTAGTGGCCCCTTCACCTTCTCCTTCTCCATTGTCCCTCTCTCCTCTCCCCACACCTGCTACCCCTTCCCTCTGCTCCTACCTGACCACACTGGCTGTGCCCTCTCCCCTGTGCCTGTCACCTTCACTTGTTCCTCTCTATCCTCCTCCCCCAACCTGTTCCCCTCACCTCCCCCCTCACCTGCTCTTTCTCACCTCTCCTCAGGTGAGGGAGCGCCCCGTGGCTTTGGAGGCTGAGCTGGCCCTGACGCTGAAGGTTCTGGAGGCCACCGCTGACACTGACCCAGCCCTGGGGGATGTCTTGGACCAGCCCCTTCACACCCTGCACCATATCCTCTCCCAGCTCCGGGCCTGTGTGAGTCGTCAGGGCCCGGGCACCCAGGTCTGTGAGCTCTGAGCAGCGTCCTTCCCCTGGCCAAGGCCCCGGCTCACACACCGCCCTCCTCTGCCCACAGATCCAGCCTCAGCCCACGGCAGGGCCCAGGACCCGGGGCCGCCTCCACCATTGGCTGCACCGGCTCCAGGAGGCCCCAAAAAAGGTGAGTGACCCGGGAAGAGAGGGACTGAGGTCTGGGGAGCCACTGGGAGCCCAGAACCCAGACAGCCCCTGACCCATCCCCTCCTCCCTACAGGAGTCCCCTGGCTGCCTCGAGGCCTCTGTCACCTTCAACCTCTTCCGCCTCCTCACGCGAGACCTGAATTGTGTTGCCAGCGGGGACCTGTGTGTCTGACCCTTCCGCCAGTCATGCAACCTGAGATTTTATTTATAAATTAGCCACTTGGCTTAATTTATTGTCACCCAGTCGCTATTTATGTATTTGTGTATGTAAATCCAACTCACCTCCAGGAAAATGTTTATTTTTCTACTTTTTGAAATCCTTGTTGAAATAAACAATGAGGAAAAGACACCCATGACGTGGGACTGTGTGTGCGTTGGTGTGTATTTCCTTTGCATTGCTGCCATAACAAATTACCCTAAAAGTAGCATCTAGAACAGCAGGTTCATTGAGTCTGTGCTGTCCACTGGGGTCCCCAGGTCACATGTCACTATCGAGCACCTGGAATGTAGGTGGTGCAACCTCATTTTTTCAGTGAGTGTAAAACATACCCCAGAATTTGAAGATTTACTGTGGAGAAAAAAAAAAAAGTAAAACAGCTTAATTATAATTTATATATTCATTAGATGTTGAAATGATAGCACTTTGGATGTATTGGGTGAAATGAAGCATCTTTAAAATTAATTTAGAGCCTGGATGTGATTGCTCAAGCCTGTAATCACAGCACTTTGGGTGGCTGAGTTGGGAGGATCACTTGAGCCCAGACCAGCCTGGGCAACATAGCAAGATCCTGTCTCTATAAAAAATTAGAGAATTGGCTGGGTGTGGTGGCACAAGCCCATAATCCCAGCTACTGGTGGAAGCTGAGATGGGAGGACTGTTTGAGGTCAGGAGTTCACGACCAGCCTGAGCAACAGCAAGATCCTGTCTCTTGCGTGATCACATCTCACTGTAGCCTCAAACTCCTGGGCTCAAGTGATTCTCTCTCCTCGGCACCATCCTCCACCCTCTCCAGCCCCTCCCCGAACTGGGATTACAGGCTTGAGTCACCGGGTCCAGCCCATTCTCTTTCCAAGAAGCCCCTGAATTGTATAAGCAAACATGAGGTCTCACTAACCCTGGATAAGCCCCTACAGATGAGGAGGACAACTTGGATCAGGGACCCCTGCTGAGTAGAGTTGGCTGAGCTGCTGGAACAAAGAGTCCCCCAAATACAGTGATCATGAATTACAAACCACAGAGTGTCATTCTCCACCAGCTCCTCCTCCCAAGGTGAGCGCTCCCCCTGGCAGGATGGCCCCACTCAGTCATCCAGGGGCCCTGGTTCCTGGCAGTTCTGTGCTCCACAGTCCCCGGGACAGGGCTCCCTCATCATCTTCACCCACCGGACCTCACGGCAGCCTTGAAAAGCCTACGGACCCTTCTCAGAAGGAAAGAACACGTGCAGGACAAAGGAATCCAACTCTGATTGTAATACAGTGATCAAAATATTTTTTCACACTGTGACATAGCAATTCATGTGCTTCTTCATGAATGCATTAAGTAAAAAATCACCTGTGGCAGCTTTAATAACCACTGTGACTTAGAAGCAGAGATGAGCATAAATGACATTTCAAGGTGCCTGCTGGAAGATAACGTGATAGGAAATGCCTGTGATTTCTTTTGGTAACAGTCACAAGTTCTGCTAACACTGCTGTGGTGTGTTGCTGCATTTGTAATGGATTCGTGCTAGATGCAAGACTGGTCCCCAGAGATGTTCCTGATTCCTGGACCTGGGAATATGTTATGTTCCATGGCACGAGGGACTCTGCAGATGTGAGTAAGTTAAGGGTTTGGGATGGGGGCGTTATCCTGGGTTGTCCACCTGGACCCAATGTCATCACAAAAGTCCTTCTAAGAAGGAGGCCGGGGTCAGCATCATTAGCGGAAGATGTAACCACAGAAACAGGACATTGGAGTGATGTCAGGAAGGGAACCGGGGTCAAGGGATGCTGGACACCCCCAGAGGCTGAGAAAGGAGAGAGATCTCCCCTGCTGCTTCCAGAAGGAACCCGCTCTGCTGACATCTTGACTGTCAGAACTGTAGGAATAGAAATGTGCATGCATTTTGTTTTGTTCTTTTTGTTCAGGTAATTTAAATATTTTTTTTAATTGTGGGAAACCCACAAAATGTACCATCTTATCCTTTCTAAAGCACATTGTTCAGTAGTGCAATTTTATTATTTATTTATTCTATTTTTTTTTTTTTGAGACAGGACCTTGCTCTGTCACCCTGGCTGGAGGGCACTGGCATGATCATAGCTCATTGCAGCCTCGACCTCCTAGGCTCAAGTGATCCTCCCACCTCAGCCTCCTGAGTAGCTGAGACTACAGGTGTGTGCCATTAGCCAGTCAGATGCCTGGCTAATTACTGTATTTTTAGTAGAGATGGGGTTTTGCCATGTTGGCCAGGTTGGTCTCGAACTCCTGACCTCAAGTGATCTGCCCCCCTTGGCCTCCCAAAGTGCCGGGATTACAGGTCTGGTCCTAGTGGTGTTTGCTACATTGTTCGGCAAGCAATCTCCAGAACTCTCTTCATCTTACAAAATTGAATCTCTGTACCCATTAAACAACAACTTCCTATTAACCCCTCCCGCTACCCCGGCAAATATTTAGACACGTCTGTTTCTAGGAATTTGACTTCTCTCAGCACCTCATGTAGGGGGAATCATACAGCATTTGTTCTTTTGAGACTGGCTTATTTCACTGACATAATGTCTTCAAAGTTCATTTTTATTGTAGCATGTGTCAGAACTTCCTTCCCTCCTCTTGCTCTCTTTTTTTTTTTTTTTTTTTTTGAGACAGAGTTTCGCTCTTGTTGCCCAAGCTGGAGTGTAGTGGCGCGATCTTGGCTCACTGCAACCTCCACCTGCTGGGTTCAAGTGAATCTCCTGCCTCGGCCTCCCGAGTAGCTGGGATTACAGGTGTCTGCCACCACACCCAGCTAATTTTTTGTAGTTTTAGTAGAAATGGGGTTTCACCATGTTAGCCAGGTCGGTCTCGAACTCCTGATCTCAGGTGATCCACTGGCCTTGGCCTCCCAAAGTGCTGGGATTACAGGCATGAGCTACCGCGCCTGGACTCTCTCTCTCTGTCTTTAAGTTTAGAGACAGGGTCTTGCTCTGTTACCCAGGCTAGAGTACTGTTGTGCAATCAGCTCACTGCAGCCTCAAATTCCTCAGCTCAAGTGATCCTCCTGCCTTAGCTTCCTGAGTAGCCAGCACTACAAATGTGTGCTACCACATCTGGCTAATTTTTAAATTTTTTATAGAGACGAGGCCTCAGTATGTTGCCCAGGCTGATCTGGAACTCCTGGATTCAAGCGATCCTCCTGCTCCGGCTTCCCAAAGTGCTGGGATTACAGGTGGGAGCCACCGCACCCGGCCAGAATTTTCTGCCTTTTGAAGGCTGAATCATATTCCATCATATGTGTAGACTATATTTTGCCCATCCGTCTATCCATCCCTGGAAAGTCTGAGTTGTTTTACCCCACTAAGTTGGGGGTCATTTGTTACAGCAGGTGTAAGAAACATACATTCAGGAAATATCAAATTTCAGACAGAGGTTAGTGAGAATACACATAGTTTTTCCGCCCTTCCAAATCCACAGGCCCAGGAATTCTTCTGCCAGGTTAGAAGCCCTGTCCTGGAGTTTGTTCTCACCTGTACAGCAGGATTCGGCTCTCAGACATGTCCAGTTTTTCAGTGGTGACAATAGGAAACAGAGCAGGGACCACCCACCCTGTGTTTTAAGGCCTAGATGGTGGTGATGGGTTAGTCACATGGTCATCCCTAGCATGCAGGATGCTAGAGAATGTAGTCTTGGGTTTGGTGGCCAGTACTAGTCTCCATATCTAATAATGCTGAGGATGGAGGGGCAAGAGGGTTTCGGAGCACATGTGCACATGGCAAGATCAGCCCCCAGGTTTCCTCAAGGGACTCCCTGGATGGGCAGAATTCAGGTGACCAAGGACTCAGAAAAGTATCTTCAAAGTACTCAATACCTCTGGTCAGCACGGTAGCTCAGGTCTGTAATCCCAGCACTTTGGGAGGCTGAGGTGGGAGGGTCACCTGAGGTCAGGAGTTCCAGACCAGCGTGGCCAACAAGGTAAGACCCCCATCTCTACTAAAAATACAAAAATTAGCCAGGTGTGGTGGCGGATGCCTGTATGAAAATACACACGGTTTTCCCTGCCCTTCCAAATGAAAATACACATGGTTTTCCCTGCCCTTCCAAATCCACAGGCCCAGGAATACACATGGTTTTCAGCTACTCAGAAGGCTGAGGCAGGAGAATCACTTGAAGCTGGGAGGTGAAGGTTGCAGTGAGCTAAGATCGTGCCACTGCACTCCAGCCTGGGCGACAGGCAACAGAGCGAGACTCCATCTCAAAAGAAAAAAAAAAAGAAAAACTCAAAACCTCTGAAGGCAGGAGGTGCAGGGGTTAAGGCCTGGGTGTCAGGGAAAACTCAGACTGCTCTTAGCACATACCTGCTGTGTAAACTTGGCCAAGTCTCTTAACCTCTCTGAGTACCAGCTTCTTCATTTTCAAGGTAGAAGAAAGCATGGTACCTTTCTCAGAGGTGTTGGGAGAATTCACTGCTCTTGCATGTGTAAAGCCTCCGGGACAGGGTGGCATCCGTTAGAGAAACTTGTCGTTGTCCTCACTTTGCACTGGCTGTTCCCGTTGCCTAGAATGCTGTTCCCTCCCTCCTCCTTTAGGTTTTCAACTAGATGTCCCCTTCTCTGGCTGCCTTAGAGCAGGCAACTTCTTCTGGGTTCAGCCGGCTCCATCTGCAGCATAATTTTTCTCAAAAGCGCTTCTTTCAGTGACATTGTACATATTTAACTTATTTGTTACTGCCTGACTCTCCCACTGGTATGTCAGCTCCTCGAGAGACAGGGAATTTTGTGTATTTTGTTCTCTGCTGGGCCCTCAGTGCACAGGACAGTGTTGGCCCATAGTTCCTGCTCAATAAATACTTTTTGAACCAATGACAGATTCAATGAATGAATAAAGGAATGGGTCTGTTACAATCAACCTGCTTCCTTTGAAGCCCTCAGCTGTACCTGAATTCCTGAGTAGACACTGTCACTCCCCTGTTCCTGCCTCCCCCACCCCCCAACTGATGGCAGGTTGGGGAGAGTTGGGAGTGCAGGGAGGGCTCTCCTTTTTTCCCTTGAGACGAGGTCTAGCTCTGTCACCCAGACTGCAGTGCAGTGGTGCAATCATGGCTCACTGCAACCTTGAACTCCAGGGCTCAAGTGATCCTCCTGCCTCAGCCTCCGGAGTAGCTGGGACTACAGGGGCACACCACCATGCCTGGCTAGTCGAAAAAAATTTTTTTTTGTAGTGACGGGGGTCTTGCTATGTTGCCCAGGCTGGTCTCAAATTCCTGACTTCAAGTGATCCTCCTGCCTTGGCGTACCAAAGTGGCCTGTCCTTTTCTTTATACTCTGTGGTCTTGGCCTCACTGACTCCGTCCTCCCATCCCCACAGTATCCCTTTCCCTGGGTGGTCTCCCCTACCCTAAGCAGTCTCCTTCTAGAGTCCCCCCTTCCACCCCTCAGGGAAATACTTCCCGGGTTTCCCTCAGCCACCCCCCTCCACATCTGAGCAATCTGCAGATACACAAGCCCCTCACCCGCCCCCTCAAACCCTAGTCCTGCCCTGGGGGCACCCGTGGCTCCTCCTCCTGAGCTGAAGCTGCTACAGCCCCAGGCATGTGTGGTTCAGGAAGTCACCTTCCTGTAGGCGAACACAGAGCCTGGCCCGGGCACGTGTCACTTTCTCTTTCCCCAGGGGCAGCTGCGGCACCTGGCCCCGCCCTGCTCTGGACTTCTCCAGCCTGGGCCTCCCCCACCCCACCCCCTCCGGTGCCTCAGGCCGCTCTGCACCCGTGGGACTGGCCTCTGTCCCAGCTAAACAGTGTGCCCTGGAGCTCAGGCAGGAATGATACCCCAGACCGAGCTGGAAATCAGAAACAGCCAAACCCAGAGCAGCAGGTGGAGATCCAGAAGAAGAGACCGAAGCCAGAGACTTTGAATAAGACTGAATAGAGACCCAAAGCCGTGGAGCCCAGGACACTGCATCCCCCTGGTGAAAAAGGCGCAGGAACCAGACAGGAAGTCCATGCAGCTCAGGCTTTAATAGACAGAACGAGGCCTGTGTGAGTCTCCCCCTGCCCCTCCTGCCGTGGGCTAGCCTCCATCACCCTCTATGGGTCACCATGCTGACTTTGTTGAGCGAAGACCTCCAGCTTCCTTCACTGGGCTAGCCTCCACCCTCCCTGCAGTAGGCTATCTCATGCTCCTACTGCAGGGACTGACGCATGTTCTTCTGTAGAAGAGGGTCCTCTACTATCCTCCCACCAGTTAACTTCCCTATCCTGTTGTCAGCCATCCTCCAATCCCATCAGAGTGGTCTAACCTCCACCCCTCCTGCTGGGGCTAACCTGTGCCTTTGCTGTCTAGGAAGTGTCGCTTCTGCTGAAGGACTGCAGGTGCCGCTCCCGCCTCTTCCCCAGGACCTGGGACCTGAGGCAGCTGCAGGTGAGAGGGGGAGTCAGGCCCACCCCTGCTCTCCCAGCCCCACTCACCTGGCTCTGTAGTGGCCCCTTCATCTTCTCCTTCTCCCTTGTCCCTCTCTCCTCTCCCCACACCTGCTCCCCCTTCCCTCTACTCCCACCTGACCACACTGGCTGTGCCCTCTCCCCTGTGCTTGTCACCTTCACTTGTTCCTCTCTATCCTCCTCCCCCCATCTGTTCCCCTCACCCGCCCCCTCACCTGCTCTTTCTCACCTCTCTTCAGGTGAGGGAGCGCCCTGTGGCTTTGGAGGCTGAGCTGGCCCTGACACTGAAGGTCCTGGAGGTCACCGCTGATGCTGATCCGGCCCTGGGGGATGTCCTGGACCAGCTCCTTCACACCCTCCACAACATCCTCTCCCAGCTTGGGGCCAGTGTGAGTCCTCGGGGCCCGGGCACCCAGGTCTGTGGGCTCTGAGCAGCATCCTTCCCCTGTGGTGGCCCAGGCCCCGCCTCACACACCGCCCTCCTCTGCTCACAGATCCAGCCTCAGCAAGGCCCAGGCCCCGGGGCCGCCTCCACCACTGGCTGCACCAGCTCCAGGAGGCCCCGAGGAAGATGACAGACCCGGGTCCTTTGGGTCCTGGGGGAGGATGGCAGGTGCACGAATTAGTGTCTCCCCAACAGAGTTCTGGGGCTCCTCGTGCCTCCACTGTCTTGAACCTTCCCCTTCCCTTCTCCTTTTTTTTTTTTTTTTTTAAGAGAGACATACACTATCACCCAGGCTGGAGTGCCGTGGTGAGGTCCTAGCTCACTGCAGCCTCTAACTTCTGGGTTCAAACGATCTTCCCTGCTAGCCCTCCCACATCACTGGAATTATAGGCATGAGCCACCACACCTGGCCTTTTCTGCCTCTCTATTTGGGACCTGAAGTGTGTGGCCAGTGGAGACCCGTGTGTCTGCCCCTGAGACCCACCTGCCATCTGTCTGTTTTAGTCTGTTTTCTGTTGCTTACAACAGAATATCTGAAACTGGGTAATTTATAAAGAAAAGGAATTTATTCCTTACAGTTCTGGAGGCTGAGAACGGCAAGGTCGAGAGGCCTCATCTGCTGAGGGCCTTCTTGCTGGTGGGGACTCTGCAGGGCCCTAAGGTGGTGCAAAGCATCACAGGGCGAGGGCACCAAGCATGCCAACTCAGGTCTGTCTTCCTCTTCTTATAAAGCCACCAGTTGGCTCACACCTGTAATCCCAGCATTTTGGGAGGCCAAGGTGGGTGGATCACTTCAGGTCAGGAGTTTGAGACCATCCTGGCCAACATAGTGAAACCCTGTCTCTACTGAGAATACAAACAAATTAGCTGACTGTGGTGGCTCAAGCCTGTAATCCCAGCTACTCAGGAGGCTGAGGCAGGAGAATCGCTTGAACCCTGGAGGTGGAGGTTGCATCGAGCCAAGATCATGGCACTGCGCTCCAGCCTGGGTGACATAGCGAGACTCTGTCTAAATAAATGAATAAATAAATAGAGCCACCAGTGCCACCCTCATAGTAACACATCAACCCATTAATCCATTAGTCCACGAATCCATAATCCAATCACCTCTTAGAAGCCACACCTCTTAATTCTGCCACACTGGGGATTTGGTTTCCACATGAGCTTTGGAGGAGATAAATATTCAAACCATAGCACCATCCATTACCTTAGGTATGTATGCACCAACTACCTTGCCTAGATTACCACCTCCAGATCCCTATTTGTTTGTGAAGCCCCCAAAAAATGTTTGCTCTTGTTCTTTTTATACAATTTGTGACAACAAACAATAAGAAATTTGTCTGTGACATTGACCTTGCTTGTATATGTGACTTTATTAATGACTGAACGCCACTTGTCTGCATATGTGACTGTAGCTGTACGTGTTTGTGTGTGTGTGTGTGTGTGTGTGTGCGTGTTTGTGTGTGTGTGTGTGAGACAGAGGAGAGAGAAAGCTGGGCAGGATGGCTTATGCCTATTATCCCAGTACTTTGGGAGGCCGTCCTGGGAAGATTGCTTGAGCACAGGAGTTTGAGACCAGCCTGGGCAACATAGCAAGACTCCAATCTCTATAAAAAATAAAGAATAAAAAAAATTAGCCTGGCATGGTGGTGTGCACTTGTAGTCCCAGCTACTCAGGAGGCTGAGGCAGGAGGATCACTTGAGCCAGGGAGGTCGAGGCTGCAGTGAGTATGATCCCACTACCGCACTCCAGCCTGGGTAATGGAGTGAGACCCTGGCTTTTTGTTATTTTTGTTTTTATTTTTATTTTTTTGAGACAGGATCTCACTCTGTCCCCCAGGCTGGAGTGCAGTGGTGCCATCTCAGCTCACTGCAACCTCCGCCTCCTGAGTTCAAGCGATTCTCCTGCCTCAGCCTCCTGAGTTGCTGGGACTACAGGTGTGTGCCACCATGCTGGCTAATTTTTGTATTTTTGGTAGAGACGGGGTTTTGCCATGTTGGCCAGGCTGGTCTCGAACTCCTGGCCTCAAGTGATCCACCCACCTTGGCCTCCTAAAGTGCTGGGATTACAGGCATGAGCCGCTGCATCCAGCTGACCCCTCCTTTAAGAAAAAAAAAGAAAAGAAAAAGAAGAAAGGGAGAGAGAAAGAGGGAGGGACAGAGAGTAAGAATATGAAAGAATGAATGAAGAGTGAAAAAGTCACTAAGGATGCTTTCAGTTACAAGTTGTGGAAGATTTAATTGCAAATGACTTAAACATCACAAGCAGTCATTAGGCCAACTAATAAGATGTCCAGAGGGAGGCTGTGCCTGGGTCAGAGCAGCAGGAAAATGGCATCATCATGGACCGAGGATCTGCATGTATGAGTGTATGTCTTATCTTATTTTAAAAAGTCTTTTTACTACTTTTTTTTTTTTTTGAGACAGAGTCTCACTCTGTCTCCCAGGCTGGAGTGCAGTGGCACAAGTTTGGCTCACTGCAACCTCTGCCTCTGGGGTTCAAGCAATTTTCCTGCCTCAGCCTCCTGAGTAGCTGGGATTACAGGCTCCCACCACCACACCAGGCTGATTTTTGTATTTTTAGTGGAGAAGACAGGGTTTCGCCACGTTGGCCAGGCTGGTCTCAAACTCCTGACCTTGTGATCCACCCATCTCGGCCTCCCAAAATTCTGGGATTACAGGTGTGAGTCACGGCACCTGGCCTACTATTATTTTTTTTACATTTTATTTTTTGCATTTTGTTTTTTACATTTACATTTTTTTTTACATTTTTACATTGCCCAGGCTGGTCTTGAATTCCTTTGCTCAAGTGATCCTCCTGCCTCAGCCTCCCAGAGTGCTGAAATTACAGGTGTGAGCCACCGTGTCCAGCCAGTGTGAGTGTATTGCTAAGGACGTGTCAAACTTGTGTTTGTGCCTCATTCACCCATAACCTCCTGTAGTTCTAAACCTGAGGTGACTATTGTCAGGGTGGGGACCTCTTGGGAGGAATGTCACAGAGTTGTCATCAAAAAGTCATTTTTGATGAGTTAGGTAGGTTAGAATTGCAAGCAATAGAAACCCACTCAAGCTAGCTTAAATGAAAAGAGGAATGTAGTACAAGGTTAAAGGCTGTGTTAAAGAATCTAATAGAAAACATTTTGGCACTATCTTGTCGAATATATGCAGATTGCATGAGCCAGAAATTCCAAATCTAAGATATATCAACAGAAACTCTTATACACATGCAATAGAGACACAGGTGGTACAAGAATGTTCTTTGAGGAAAAAGGTGACTTGGTCGGGCGTGGTGGCTCACACCTGTTACTCGGGAGGCTGAGGCAGGAGAATCGCTTGAACCTGGGAGGTGGAGGTTGCAGTGAGACAAGATCACACCATTGTACTCCAGCCTGGGTGACAGAGTGAGACTCCATCTCAAAAAAGAAGAGGTGGCTCACACCTGTAATCCCAGTACTTCGGGAGGCCAAGGTGGGAGGATAATTTGAGGCCAGCAGTTCAAACCTTGGCAATATGGCAAGACCCTGTCTCTATTAAAAAAAAAATACAAAAATTAGGTGGGTGGGGTGGCACATGCCTGTAGTCCCAGGTACTCAGGAGGCTGATGTGGGAGGATTGCTTGAGCCCTGGGAGGTGGAGGTTGCAGTAAGTCATCATCAAGCTACTGCCCTCCAGCATGGGTGACAGAGCAAGATCCTATCTCAAAAAAAAAAAGAATATTCTTTGCAGTGTTTGTTGTAACAGCAAAAAATTAGAATCAACCCAAATAGCTGCTAACAAATGAATCACTGAAATGAGGGGTGTGGAATACCATGCAGCAGGAACATGAACTACCACACATTTCCACATGGATAAATCTTAGCACTGTGGCAACCAAAGAGGAGTGCCACCAGGATGGAGTGCAGTGGCATGATCTTGGCTCACTGCAACCTTCACCGCCCGGGTTCAGGCAATTCTCGTGCCTCAGCCTCCCAAGTAGCTGGGATTACAGGCGTGTGTATTTCTTTTCTGAGACGGAGTTTTGCTCTTGTTGCCCAAGCTGGAGTGCAATGGCACGATCTCAGCTCACTGCAACCTCCGCCTCCCAGGTTCAAGCAATTCTCCTGCCTCAGCCTCTCGAGTAGCTGGGATTACAGGCATGTGCCACTACGCCCAGCTAATTTTTTGTATTTTTAGTAGAAACAGGGTTTCACCATGTTAGCCAGGCTGGTCTCGAATTTCTGACCTCAGCTGATCCTCCCACCTCAGCCTCCCAAAGTGCTGGGATTACAGGCATGAGCCACCGCCCCCGGCCGTGTGTGTATTTTTAATAGAGGTGGGGTTTCCTCATGTTGGCCAAGCTGGTCTTGAACTCCTGACCTCAAGTGATCAGCCTCTTTCAGCCTCCCAAAGTGCTGGGATTACAGGTGTGAGCCACTGAGCCCAGCCATCCCTTCAAAAAAGACCGTGCCATTCTGTTGCAAGCAGGGCAGTGCCTTCAGGATCTGCATCAGCTTTTGAGCCAAGACCTGGGGAAGACATCAGTGATTATTGAGCATGGCTTCTCAGATCAGGCCGTGCCTACCCAATGGGAGGCTCCTCTAATGAATGACCTGTGTTCTGAGCTCCCTGTGGCATTGGTCAACATTGCCAGAAATGCATCTTATTCAGGCCAGGCATGGTGGCTCACACCTGTAATCCCAGCACTTTGGGAGGCCCAGGTGGGAGGATCACTTGAGGCCAGGAGTTTGAGAACAGCCTGGATAACACAGCAAGACTCCGTGTCTACAGGAAAAAAAATAATATCACATTCTGAGCCTTTCCCTGCCCAATCCCACCTCACCTTTTTCCTCTCCCAGATGAATCAGATCAACATCATGGTCTCAGGCTCCTCCTGCCAGATTCTATTTCCTCCCCCTTGTATTTCTTTAGGCATCACCTACCAAAAAACTTCACACCCCTAGCTCTGTCTTAGCATCTAATGCCAACAGACGCAGGAATACAATGTTGAGTTCAAACACCAACCTATAGAAGACTACATATAATAAAATAACATTTTTGTAAGGCTCAACAACAAAACGACCCACTCTAGTGTGGTTAAACAGAAGGAAAAATCAATGGAAGGATAACACAACACAAAACAAAAAGTCAGAGGCCGGGTGTGGTGGCTCACGCCTGTAATCCCAGCACTTTGGGAGGCCGAGGCGGGCGGATCACCTGAGGTCAGGGGTTCGAAACCAGCCTGACCAACATGGTGAAACTCTGCCTCTACTAAAAATACAAAATTAGCTGGGCGTGGTGGTGCATGCCTGTAATCCTGGCTACTATGCAGGCTGAGGCAGGAGAATAGCTTGAACCCGGGAGGTGGAGGTTGCAGTGAGCCAAGATCACATCATTGCACTCCAGCCTGGGCAACAAGAGTGAAACTCCATCTCAAAGAAAAAAAAAAAAGTCAGGAAGGACACATAGGTAGCTCCAATAGTATTATGATGTTCTAGGATTTAAGTTGAGTGATGGGTTTATAAATATTCATTGATCATTAAGATGCGTGACTCATGTGCACTTCAAATATTCTTTTGTGGGTCTCAAATATTTTATATTCAAAACTAAAAATGAAAATGAAAATACCCAAAGGTAGGCCAGGTGCAGAGGCTCATGTCTGTAATCCCAGCACTTTGTGGGGGCCAAGGCAGGAGGATCGCTTGAGCCCAGGAGTTTCAGACCAGCCTGGGCAACATTGCATGACCCCATCTCTACAGAAAAACTTTAAAAAATTAGCCAAGTGTGATGGCACACACCTGTAGTCCTAGCTACTCAGGAGGCTGAGGTGGGAGGGTCGATTGCTTGAACCCAGGAGTTTGAGGCTGCAGTGAGCTATGATCACACCACTGTGCTCCAGCTTGAGTGACAGAGTGAGACTGTCTCTTAAAAAAAAAAAGAAAGAAAGAAAGGAAAGGAAAGGAAAGAAAAGGAGATACCCAAAGACGAGGAAAGGCCTGGAACTAGTGATCAGAATGGAGTGGTGATTGGAGTGCTGCCTCTTGTCCTTTCTTCAGGATGGCAAAATGTTGGAGGGCACAGGCTGTGAAATAAAACCTGTTGGGTTTAGAGCTCAGCTCTGAAGAAAGGTAAAGGGAGCATATTTTCCTCTTGTTAGTGTTGTCCTCTTTGTATGTGATGCCTGGAACTGTGGCAGCCACCTTGTGCCTATGAGGGGAGACAGGCTGAGGCTCAGGCTGACAAACTGAAATACTGAAATACTGAAATGACAGAACAAAGCTGGAAGGGGCTGGGCACAATGGCTCACGCCTGTCATCCCAGCACTTTGGAAGGCCAAGGTGAGAGGATCATTTGAGGCCAAGAGTTGAAGACCAGCCTGGGCAACACAGTGAAACCCTATCTTCTCTCTCTCTCTCACACACACACAGACATACACACACACACACACACAGAGAGAGAGAGAGCTGGAAGGGGCTTGGGACTGAATTAGGATGACGTAATTAATTATGAACATTCTGTGTCTGGCATCTGCCAACCCCAGACTTTTTCCTTTCCTTTCCTTTCCTTTCCTTTCCTTTCCTTTCCTTTCCTTTCCTTTCCTTTCCTTTCCTTTCCTTTCCTTCCTCCCTCCCCTCCCCTCCCCCTCCCCCTCCTCTCCTCTCCTCTCCTTTCTTTTCCTTTCCTTTCCCCTTTCCCTTCCCCCCTTTCCTTTCTCTCCTCTCCTTTATCCCCTCTCCTTTCCCCTTCTCTCCCCTCCCCTCCCCTCCCCTGCCCTCTCCTTTCCTTTCCTTTCTTTTTTTTTTGAGACAGGGTCTTGCTCTGTTGCCCAGGCTGCAGGTAGTGGTGAGATCATGACTCACCGTGGCCTCAGCCTCCCTGGCTCAAGCGATTCTCCTGCCTCAGCCTCCTGAGTAGCTGGGACTACAGGTGTGTGCCACCATGCCCAGCTAATTTTTTTATTCTTTATTTTTTGTAAAGACAGGAGTCTCACTATATTGCCCAGGCTGGTCTCAAACTCCTGGGCTCAAATGATTCACCCACCTTGGCCTCCCAAAGGGCTGGATTACAGGCGTGAGCCACCATGCCTGGCCTTTTGCCTATTTTCTAATTAGATTATTGTTTTTCTTTTACTTTTTAGTTTTGAGAGGCTTTAAAAAATAAATATATATTCTAGATACTAGTCTTTTGTCAGATATGTGGTTTTCAAATATTTTCTCCTAATCTGTAGCTTGTCTTTCTGTCTTCTTCTTTTCTTTTCTTTCTTTCTTTTCTTTTCTTTTTTTTTTAAGATTGGGTCTTGCTTTGTTGCCCAGGCTGGAGTGCAGTGGCACAATCTTGGCTCATTGTAGCCTCGACCTCCTGGGCTCAAATGATCTTCTACCTCAGCCTCCCGAGTAGTTGGGACCACAGGCATGCAACACCATGCCTGGCTAATTTTTGTACTTTTTGTAAAAATGGGGTCTTGCCAGGTTGTCCAGGCTGGTTTCGAACTCCTGACCTCAAGTGATCATCCGCCTCGGCCTCCCAAAGTGCTGGGATTAAAGGTGTGGGTCACCACACCGGCCAACTCTTTATATCTTCTTAATGGGGTCTTCCACAGATTAAAAATTTAAATTTTGATGAAGTCCAACTTCTCAGCTTTTCATTTTATGAATCGTGCTTTGAGTGTCAAGTGTAAAAACTCTTTCCGAAGCCTCAGATCCCAAAGATTTTCCCCTATGTTCTTTTAAAAATATATTCTAGCTTCACTTTTTTTTTTTTTTTTTTTTTTTTGAGACAGGGTTTCACTCCCGTTGCCCAGGCTGGAGTGCAGTGGTGTGATCTTGGCTTGCTGCAACCTCCGCCTCCTGGGCTCAAGTGATCCTTCTGCCTCAGCCTCCCGAGTAGCTGAGATAACAGGTAAATGTCACTGCGCCTGGCTAATTTTTGTATTTCACCGTGTTGGCCAGTCTGGTCTCGAACTTCTGGGCTCAGGTTATCCGCCCACCTTGGCCTCCCAAAGTGTTGGAATTACAGTGTGAGCCACTGTGCCCGGCCTAGTTTTACACTTTAAATTTAAATTTTTGATCCATTTTGAGCGTAAGATCTGAGGTTTATATTGTGATCCACTTTTCTGCCTATAGATATCCAATTGGTCCAAACACCATTTGTTGAAAAGGCTATTCTTCCTCAATTGAGTTGGCTTTGCACCTCTGCCAAAAATCAGTTGGGCGTATTTGTGTGGGTCTATTTCTGGGTTTTCTATTGTGTTGCGTTGGTCTATGTGTCTCTCCCTCTACCAAAACAACACTGTCAGTTACTGTAGTGTATCCTAAGTCTTGAAATCAGCAGGCTAGTTCCTCTTATTTTATTCTTCTTTTAATTTTTAAAAATGTTTAATTTAATTTTATTTATTTATTTTGAGATGGAGTCTCGTTCTGTTGTCCACGCTGGAGTGCAGTGGCACGATCTTGGCTTACTACAAACTCTGCCACCTGGGTTCAAGCGATTCTCTTGCTGATTTAAATTTTTTTTTTGAGACGGAATCTCACTCTGTCACCCAGGCTGGAGTGCAATGGTGCGATCTCGGCTCACTGCAACCTCTGCCTCCTGAGTTCGAGTGATTCTCCTGCCTCAGCCTCCTGAGTAGCTGGGACTACAGGCACCCACCACCATGCCTGGCTAATTTTTGTATTTTTAGTAGAGGTGGGGTTTCACTATGTTGGCCAGGCTGGTCTCAAACTCCCGACCTCAGATGATCCACCTGCCTCAGCCTCCCACAGTACTGAGATTACAGGTGTGAGCTACCACGCCCGGCCTATTCTTTTTAAAATTGGTTTACTTATTCTAGTTCCTTTAGCGTTCATGTAAATTGTAGAATAATCTTGTCTATATCTGAAAAGTCTTGCTGGAGTTTTGAATAGGAATTGCATTAAGTCTACATATCAATATGGAGAGAACTGAGGTCTTTACTCCGTCCAGTCTTCCAATCCACAAATGCAGTGTGTCTCTCCTTTTAATTAGGTCTCCTTTAATGTTTTCCATCAGGGTTTTATAGCTTTCACTATATGAGTCCTTAGATTTCACCTAAGCGATTCTTTTTTTAAAAGTTATTATAAATGGTATTTTGGGGGGTTGGTGAGGACAGGGTCTTGCTCTATTGCCCAGGCTGGAGCGCAGTGGCGGAATCACAGCTCAGTTCAGCCTCCACCTCCTGGGCTCAGGTGATCCTCTCACCTCAGCCTCCCAAGTTGCTGAAACTACAGACACGTGCAACCATGCCAAGGTTTTTTTTTTTTTTTTTTTTTTTTAATAGAAATGGGGTTTTGCCATGTTGCCCAGGCTGGTCTCAAACTCCTGCCCTCAAACCATCAGCCTGCCTTGGTCTCCCAAAGTGCTAGGATTACAGGCATGAACCACTGAGGCTAGCTGTATTTTTTGTTTTGGTGTTCAAAAGAGATTTCTGGGCCAGGCGCAGTGGCTCATGCCTGTAATCCCAGTACTTTGGGAGGCTGAGGCAGGAGGATCACTTGAAGTCAGGAGTTTGAGACCAGCCTGGCCAACATGGTGAAACCTTGTCTCTATTAAAGATACAAAAAAATTAGCTGGGCGTGGTGGCAGGTGCCTGTAGTTCCAGCTACTTGGGAGGCCGAGGCATGAGAATTGCTTGAAACCAGGAGACGGAGATTGCAGTGAGCAGAGGTTGTGCTACTGCACTCCAGCCTGGGCAATAGAGAAAGACTCAGTCTCAAAAACAAACAAACAAGCAAACAAAAACAAACAAACAAAAAAACACCAAAAAACAAAAACAAACAAAAAACCCCCACACAACCAACAATCAAAAGAGATTTCTGTCTGTTTTGTTCACTTTTATGTCCCCAGCACACAAAACAGTGCCTGGCACACTTTAGGTGTAAGTATTTCTTGATAGAATGAGTGCATTTGTTGCTAATGTAGACAGTTGATCTTTGTATGTTTGTCTTATATACTCTCATCTTGCTGGACTCAGTGCTATGAGAATTTTTGTAGATTACTTGGATTTTCTATGTTGACAATTATGTCATCTGCAAACAGATTGTGTGTGTGTGTGTGTGTGTGTGTGTGTGTTTGAGACAGAGTTTCACTCTTGTTGCCCAGGCTGGAGTGCAGTGGCGTGATCTCGGCTCACTGCAACTTCCGCCTCCCAGGTTCAAAAGATTCTCCTGCCTCAGCCTCCTGAGTAGCTGAGAATACAGGCATGCACCACCAAGCCTGGATAATTTTTGTATTTTTAGTAGAGATGGGGTTTCACCATGTTGGTCAGGCTGGTCTCGAATTCCTGACCTTGTGATCCACCTGCCTCGACCTCCCAAAGTGCTGGGATTACAGGTGTGAGCCCCTGCACCCAGCCTGCTAACAGTTTTATTTCTTCTTTTTTGATCTAGTTGCCTTTTATTTCCTTCTCTTGCCTGATTGCACCAGATGGAACTTTCAGTACTGTGGTTGAATAAGAATGGTGATAGAGGACATCTTTGCCTTCTTCCTCATCTTAGGGAGAAAGCACTCAGTCTTCCATCATTAAGTTTTGCATTTTTTGTGGAGATGGGGTTTCACCATGTTGCCCAGGCTGGTGTTGAACTCATGAGCTCAAACAACCTGCCTGTCTCAGCCTCCCAAAGTGCTGGGATTACAGGCATGAGCCACCGTGCCTGGCCCCACAGCTGTAGGCTTTTTATAGATGTTCTTTATCAAGTTGAGGCAGTTCCCCTCCATTCCACTTTTTCTGAGAGTTTTTCTTTTTAATCATGAACGGGTGCTGAAGTATGGCAAATGCTTTTTCTGCATTATTTGATATGATCATGTGATTTTTCTTCTTCCACCTGTTTTGGTGGATTATACTGATTATTTTTAAATATTGAACCGGGCTTGCATCTCTGAAATGAACCCCATTGGGTCATGGTGTATAATTCTTTTGATCTATTGATGAATTCTATGCGCAAATATTTTGTTAAGAGTTTCTGCGTTAGTCGGGCGCGGTGGCTCATGCCTGTAATCTCAACACTTTGGGAGATCAAGGTGGGCAAATCGCCTGAGGTCAGGAGTTCGAGACCAGCCGGCCAACATGGAGAAACCCCAACTCTACTAAAAATAAAAAAATTAGCTGGGTGTCGTGGTGTAATGCCAGCTACTTGGGATATATATACAAATTTAAAAGCCAGTTGAGTTAGGGTTTTTTTTTTTTTTTTGAGACAGAGTCTCTCGTTCTGTCACCCAAGCTGGAGTACAGTGGTGAGATCTCAGCTCATTGCAAGCTCCACCTCTTGATTCATGCCATTCTTCTGCCTCAGCCTCCTGAGTAGCTGGGACTACAGGCGCCTGCCACTACATCCGGCTAATTTTTTTGTATTTTTCGTAGAGACGGGGTTTCACCATGTTAGCCAGGATGGTCTCGAACTCCTGACCTCGTGATCTGCCTACGTCAGCCTCTCAAATGAGTTAGGGTTTTCTATTACTTGCAGCCAAAATCATCCTTGATGAAACCCATGAAAAGGAAAGATGAGTTTCCCTCAAAGTTGAAGAACTCTGGCTCAATGGGCCTGCTCTGCCATCACCATTCCCCAAAGCTGCCACGGTATGAAGCTGTCAACGTTCTTGTGTTTGGTGTCCATGGGGTCGGAGAAGGGATGAATCATCTGGGGGCACCAGGCTCTTTCAACTGCCCCCTCTTGTGGCAACACCACTTCTTCAAACACTTGTCTCTTCAAAGTTTCACTCTGGCTTTTTCAACCCTTCTCTGCTTCCTCATATCCACTACCTGTCACCCTGCCCCTCTCCAAATGCATTACTTTGCCATCTACTTCACAGAAGCTGCTGGGTGGACCTTCCTCATCTCCTACCTGGCCCCACACTTGCCCTGCTCCCTGTCATGAGGGATGAGTGCCCTTTCTTCCTAACTTGGGCCGGTGCCTGGCCCTGGCCCCTCCTGTCTCATTCCTCCATAAATTGCCCCTCCCTTTTCCTCTATTTTCAAAACTTCCTTCCTTTTCTTTGTTTCTTTCCTTTTTTAAAAAACAGGGTCTTGCCCTGTTACTTGCAGCCAAAATCATCTTAAGCATCTTATTGCTGGTCTTACAGTAGAGCCCGTAGTGGACGATGCACTGGCTCTCGGAGTTTCTGTTCAGAAATGATACACACTTGGTCGAGCACAGTGGCTCATTCCTGAAATCCCAGCACTTTGGGAGGCCAACGTGGGAGGGTTCCTGGAGCTCAGGAGATTGAGACCAGCCTGGGCAACATAGTGAGACCCCATCTCTACAAAAAAATACAAAAAATTAGCCGGGTTTGGTGGCTCACACCTGCAGTCCCAGCTACTTGGGTGGGGAGGGGGATGGCTGAGGCAGGAGGATTGCTTGAGCCTAGGAGTTTGAGACTGCAGTGAGCCATGCTTGTGCCACTGCACTCCAGCCTGAGTGACAGAGTGAGACCCCATCTCAAAAAAAGAAAAGAAATGATACAAACCACTTTACTTCCTCTCCCATTTCACTGGCAAAAACACGTGACATAGCCAAGCCTGAGGTAAATAAGTCAGAGATTTATAATTTTCCCCAAGAAATTAATTCCTTGCTTTGTAAGGGAAGAATTAATTCCTTGCTTTGAATGACAAGGCAGTCTAATACATCCTACATTCATGTATCTCCAATTCTGATGTCAAAAAGGACAAATTAGTTTTATGATTGTGTATACAAACGAACTCCAGTTCAGATTCAAATTGGGCCACCTGACAAGCCAATAGCAGCAAAGACTTTGATCCTAAAGGTTTCCTTGTCATCTTCAGAACAATGATCTAAGGAAGGGATTGGCCAATGGAAACCCCCATGAGAGGAGCTAGTACAGTTGCCGGGAAGGCAGCACCACTGGGCTGCTCTCCGTGGTTCTGAACTCCACTGTCTGCTAGAGCAGGGTGCTTTGTTTCATCTCTACAAGCTGTTTTTGTTTGTTTTGTTTTGTTTTGTTTTTTGTTTATTTACTTATTTGAGATGGGGTCTGGCTCTGTCACCCAGGCTGGAGTGCAGTGGGTGATGACAGCTCACCACAGCCTCAATCTCCCAGGGGCAAGTGATGCCCCCCACTCAGCCTCCTGAGTAACTGGAACCATGTGTGGCTAATTTTTTTTTTTTTTTTTGTAGAGATGGATTCTTACTACATTGCTCAGGCTGGTCTTGAACTCCTGGACTCAAGTGATTCCCTCACCTTGGTCTCCCAAAATGCTGGGATTACAGGCATGAACCACCATGCCTGGCTAGAGTTTCTTTTTTAAAATTATTTATTTATTTATTTATGAGACAGAGTCTCACTCTGTTGCCTAGACTGGAGTGCAGTGGTGCGATCTCGGCTCACTGCAACCACCTCCTGGGTTCAAGCGATTCTCTTGCCTCAGCCTCTAGGTAGCTGAAATTACAGGCGTGCACCACTACGCCTGGCTAATTTTTGTATTTTTAGTAGAGACGGGGTTTCAGCACGGTGGTTAGGCTGGTCTCGAACTCCTGACCTCAAGTGATCCTCCTGCCTCGGCCTCCCAAAGTGCTGGGATTACAGGCGTGAGCCACCGCACCCAGTGTCCCCCGTTTTTAAAGTTTTTTTGGGCCGGGCGCGGTGGCTCATGCCTGTAATTCCAGCACTTTTGGAATTACACACAAGTGCTCCTGATATCTTGTACTGTATTACTTTTTTTATAGCATATATCACCTTCTAACTTATCATAAATGTGCTTATTTTTATTTTTTTATTTTATTATTTATTTTATTTTATTTTATTTCATTTTATTTTTTGAGACAGGGTCTCACTCTGTCACCCAGGCTGGAGTGCAGAGGCACGATCTTGGCTCAGTACAGCCTCCACCTCCTGAGCTCATGCAATTCTCTCACCTCAGCCTCCCAAGTAGCTGGGAACACAGGTGCACGCCACCAAACCTGACTATTTTTTTCTATTTTTAGTAGAGACGGGGTCTCGCCATGTTGCCCAGGCTGGTCTCAAACTCCTGAGCTCAAGCAATCTTCCTGCCTTGCCCATCTAGCCAGATTTGCTTTTTTTTTTTGAGATGGAATTTCACTATGTCCCCCAGTCTGCAGTGCAGTGGTGCAATCTTGGCTCACTGCAACCTCTGCCTCCTGGGCTCAAGCGATCCTCTGGCCTCAGCCTCCTGAGGAGCTGGGATTACAGGTGTGTGCCACCACACTCGGCTAATGTTTGTATTTTTAGTAGAGACGGGGTTTTACCATGTTGGTCAGGCTGGTCTCGAACTCCTGACCTTAAGTGATCTGCCCAACTTGGTGTCCCAAAGTGCTGGGATTACAGGCGTGGGCAACCGCTCTCAGCTGTGTCCTCTCTTCTTAAACCTCCAACTCTTCCTCCCACATGTCCACGCTCACGGATGGCTTTGTTTCTTCCACTGAAAACACAGAAGCCATAGAAGAGAAATCCCCTGTGCTCCCACCAGCAGCTCTACTTACTTCCCAGCGTCTAGGCCTAGATACTCTGCTATCCTCCTGTTCCAATATGATATGATCCCCAACCTCCTTTCCAAGCCCAACTTCTCCACTTGGCCTCTGTGTCCCACCCTCTCTCTCAAGAACATGCTCCACAGTTCTCCCCACATTCTTGCATCATCAGTTGCACCTTATTTAATGAAATTCTGGACAGGAACAGTGGCTCATGCTTGTAATCCCAGCACTTTTGGGAGGCTGCGGTGGGAAGATCACTGAAGCCCAGGAGTTTGGAGGCTGCAGTGAGCTATGATCGTGCATTCCAGCCTAGGTGACAGAGCAAGATGAAAGAAAGAAAGAAAGAGAGAGAGAGAGAGAGAGACAGAAAGAAAGAAAGAAAGAAAGAAAGAAAGAAAGAAAGAAAGAAAGAAAGAAGGAAGGAAGGAAGGAAGGAAAGAAAGGAGGGAGGGAGGAAGGGAGGAAGGAAGGAAAGGAAGGAAGGAAGGAAGGGGAAGGGAAGGGAGGAAGGAAGGAGGGAAGGAAGAAGGAAGGAAGGAGAAAGAAGAAAGGAAAGAAAGAAAGAAATTAGAAGAAGGAGAAGGAGAAGAAAAGTAAGTAAGGAAGGAAGTAAAAGAGAGAAAGGAAGGAGGAAGAGAGGGAACAAAGAAGGAAGGCAGGAAGGGAGAGAAAGAGAAAGAGAAAGAAAGAAAGAAAGAAAGAAAAGAAAGAAAAGAAAGAAAGAAAAGAAATTCTATCTCCACCCCTACCCCTCCAGCTTCTACTCCATTCCTCTGCTTGTCTTTTCAGCAACAATTGTCAAGCATTGTCTCCATCCTCTTCTTCTCTTCCTACTTCCTCTTGTCTCTACTTCCTCTTCCCCTGTGTCTCTTTTCCACACATTCCAATGAGGCTTTTGCCCCAACCACTGCAGATTCAGCTCTTGTCAAGACAACCAATGACCTCCATGTTGCTGAATCCAGGAGTAACTAACTTCTCAGTTCCATCTTTCCTGATGTGTCAGCAGTGGTGACATGGGTGATGACCCTCTGCTGCTGAGACACATTCTTCACGTCCTTCCATGGTCTAGGTCCCCTCCTGACACTGTCTGCTCCTCCTCGGTCTCTTTTGCTTATTCTTCCTCTCCCTCCTCATTTCTAAACACTGGCATCTGCCAGCCATGGTGGCTCACGCCTGTAATCCCAGCACTTTGGGAGGCTGAAGTGGGAGGATCTCTTGAGCCCAGGAGGCGGAGGCTTCAGTGAACTATGATATGGCACCACTGCACTCCAGCCTGGATGACAGAACAAGATCCTATGTTAACAAACAAAAACAAAGGCCAGGCCTGGTGACTCAAGCCTGTAATCCCAGCACTTTAGGAGGCCGAGGCGGGTGGATCACCTGAGGCCAGGAGTTCAAGACCAGCCTGGCCAACCTGGCAAAACCCAGTCTCTACTAAAAAATTCAAAAATGAGTCGGACATGGTGGCAGGTGCCTGTAATCCCAGCCTCTCAGGAGGCTGAGACAGGGAGAATTGCTTGAACCTGGGAGGTGGAGGTTGCAGTGAGCCAAGATCGTGCTACTGAACTCCAGCTTGGGTGACAGACTGGGACTCCATCTCAAAAACAGAAACAGGCTGGGTGCAGTGGCTCACGCCTGTAATCCCAGCACTTTGGGAGGCCAAGGCGGGCGGATCACGAGGTCAAGAGATCGAGACCATCCTGGCTAACATGGTGAAACCCCCATCTCTACTAAAAATACAAAAATTAGCTGGGCGTCCTGGTGCCCGCCTGTAATCCCAGCTACTTGGGAGGCTGAGGCAGGAGAATCACTTGAACCCAGAAGGTGGAAGTTGCAGTGAGCCAAGGTCACACCACTGCACTCCAGCCTGGCGACAGAGCAAGACCCTGTCTCAAAAATATATATATAAAATAAAATTAAAAAAAAAACAGAAACAAAAACAAAAAATCAAAAACACTGGACTACCCCAGGGCTCAGCCCCAGCCTTCTCCCGCATCTATCTGTGATGCAGTTGTCTATTCTCATGGTTTAAAACCCAACCCCACTGCTACAGTGATGACTCCTGGGGAAGATCCAGTTACTGATGCAAATTCTTCACCCCTCCCTCCATCTATACCCTCGCCACGGACTTGCCAAAGGCAGAGTGTACTTCTGTGCCCTTTGATGTTGGATCTGGCCATGTGACTGTTTTAAGCCCATGACATTGATGTCCAGAAGTGAACACCTGAGGCAGGTCATGTCCCTCCCCTGCTCAGAATCTGCCCATGGCTCCATGTCACTCAGGGTAAAGGGAGTGACCCGAATCATTCACTTTATATATTTAGTGACAAAGACCTTACGTGAGGCCCCCATGACCTGCCCCTGTGACCACTCTGACCTCATCTCCTCCCTTTCTCCGTCTACCTCTGTCCACTCCTTGCTATTCCTCAAATATTCCTTTGCACTGGCTGTTCCCTCTACCTCGAATGCTCTTCCCCCAGTATCACCATGTCTCCCTCCTTCTCCTCCTCGAGTCTTCGACCAAATGCTTCTGCATGAGGGTCCCCTGATCACGCTATTCAAAAGGGCACCCGCCTCACTCCATCCTCCCTCCCGGCTGTACTTGTCTCCATAGCACCTACTGGGCATGGCATTCAATCACTGCAATTATTATTATTATTATTATTATTATTATTATGAGACAGGGTCTCATTCTGTTGCACAGGCTACAGTGCAGTGGCACATTCTCAGCTCACTGCAGCCTCCACCTCCTGGGTTCAAGCAACTCTCATGCCTCAGTGTCCTGAGTAGCTGGGACTACAGGCACACACCACCACACCCAGCTAATATTTCTGGTACTTTTAGTAGAGATGAGGTTTCACCATGTTGACCAGGCTGGTCTCGAACTCCTGGCCTCATGCAATCTGCCCGCCTCAGCCTCCCAAGTTTCGAGGATTACAGGTGTGAGCCACCGTGCCTGGCAACTACATTTATTTTAAATTGTTTATTGCCTGTCTCCCTCTACTGGAGTGTAATCTCCACAAGGGCAACGTTTTCATCTACTTTATGAAGTCACTTGTAAAATTTTAAAATGTGGCTGGGCGTGGTGGCTCACGCCTGTAATCCTAGCACTTTGGGAGGCTGAGGCAGGCGGATCACAAGGTCAGGAGTTCGAGACCAGCCTTGCCAACATGGTGAAACCCCGTCTCTATTAAAAAATACAAAAATAAGCAGGGCATGGTGGCGTGTGCCTGTAATCCCAGCTACTTGGGAGGCTGAGGCAGGAGAATCGGTTGGACCCGGGAAGTGGAGGTTGCAGTGAGCCAAGATCACGCCACTGCACTCCAGCCTGGGTGACGGAGCAAGACTCTGTCTCAGAAAGGAAAAAAAAAAAAAGGGAGAGAGTGGTGTGACCTGTGTCATCTGGGAATGAAGCTTTAAGCACTAAGTGCCGGTGCCTATCCCACCTGCTTTTCCCTGGGATCAGAGACTGGCAATGAGCCAGGGATTAGCTGCTCTCTCAGCCTGGGTGAGGACAATGACAAGCACAGCACCAAAGTGTCCTGGGATGAGCACACGGTGTAAGCAGGCAATCAGCCTTCGCAGGCGTAAGCCGCTGAGACTTGAGGTCATTTGTTACTGCAGGAAAATGCAGCCCATTTTGATGGACTCATTGTCCCATAGGGTAGCTATGAAGATAAAAGAACACGTGTGTAAGGCTATTAGCGGAGAGTCCGGCATGCAATAAAGATGCACATGCCGGTAGTTGTTATTGGTATTCTTTTTATTACTGCCATTTTTATCATTCTTTTTATTACTACTACTTCTTTTTTTTTTTTTTTTTGAGACAGGGTCTTGCTGTGTTGCCCAGGCTGGAATGCAATGGTGCAATTATAGCTCACTGCAGCCTGGATCGCCTGGGCTCAAGTGATGCTCCCACCTCAGCCTCCCCAGTAGCAGGGGCTGTTCCCTCTCTACAGCAACCACACCGGGCTAATTTTTAAATTTTTAGTAGCAACAGGGTCTTACTATGTTGCCCAGGCTGGTCTCAAACTCCCGGGCTCAAGCAATCCTCCTGGCTTGGCCTCCGAAAGTACTGGGATTATAGGTGTGAACCACCACACCCAGCCTACTACTACTTTTGAGCAAAGTGACACCAGTCACTCGAATCTGCCCCTTGCCTACTGGAAGTCCCCTCTCCCAGCCCCCCAGAATCATTTTGGTTCCCTGAAGGACTTCAGCCAACACCCACCTTCGCAGGGGATCTCCTCCCCCAGTTATATCTCTTAGGGAATAAGGGAGATTTTAGGGCAGAGTTACTGTTTTCATTTCCTGTGCCTGCTGTAACCAATGGCAATGCACTTAGTGGCTTACAACACCACAGATGTGTTCTTTCAGCTGTGGAGGTCAGACGTCTGACTTGGGTCTTACAAGATTAAAATTAAGATGTCAGCAGGATTGGTTCCTTACGGAAGCCCCAGTGGAGAATCCATGCTCTTGACCTTTTCAGCTTCTTTTTTTTTTTTTTTTTTTCCTTTTTGTGCTGGAGTCTTGTTCTGTTGCCCAGGCTGGAGTGCAGTGGCACGATCTCAGCTCACTGCAACCTCTGCCTCCTGGGTTCGAGCAATTCTCCTGCCTCAGCCTCCAGAGTAGAGGGGATTACAGGCATGCACCACCATGCCTGGCTAATTTTTGTATTTTTTAGTAGAAATGGGGTTTCGCCATGTTGGACAGGCTGGTCTTGAACTCCTGGCCTCAAGTGATCTGCCTGCCTTGACTTCCCAAAGTGCTGGGATTACAGGTGTGAACCACCCTGCTCAGCCGACCTTTTCAGCTTCCAGTGTTGGCCTGCGTTCCTTGGCTCGTGGCCTCCTCCATCTTCAAATAACATCTCTCCAACCTCTGCTTCCATCCTCACCTTGCCTCCTCCTCTGTAGCCAAATCTTCCTCTGCCTCCCTCTTCTAGGGAGCCTAGTGATTCCATTTAGGGTCCACCCAGATCTTCCAGGACAACCTCTGATTGAACGATCCTGAACTCAATCACGTCTGTGAAGTTTCTTTTGCCAAATAAGGTCACCCACAGGTTCCGGGATATCTTGAAAGCCATTATCAGTGACCACACCCCCCTTCTTTCTACTGTACCCAGATTGTAGAAAGGCTGGATTCCACTTTTTCCTGGACATCTATGTCCTCTCTGACTCTGTCATCCCTTCAATGTGCTTCTTATTCCTTCAATCTGTGACATGGCCTCAATATCTGTTCTTCCTTCAGTAATAGGAAATTTGATTTGTGACCAGGCATACAGCTAACCCAAGGCCAGATCTTTTTTTTTTTTTTTTTTTTTTTTGAGATGGAGTCTCGCACTGTCGCCCGGGCTAGAGTGCAGTGGTGCGATCTCAGCTCACTGCAACCTCTGCCTCCTGGGTTCAAACAATTCTTCTGCCTCAGCCTCCTGAGTAGCTGGGATTACAGGCACCTGCCACCATGCCCAGCTAATTTTTTGTATTTTTAGTAGAGATGGGGTTTCACCACTTTGGCCAGGCTGGTCTTGAACTCCTAACCTCGTAATCCGCCTGCCTCGGCCTCCCAAAGTGCTGGGATTACAGGTGTGAGCCACTGCGCCTGGCCTAGATCCATCTTTTTGAGGCATTGAGTGCCCATCTCTAGCTAAGTTCTGGCAGCAAGATGTAGACAGGAGTGTCATGTACCATGCTCCTGGAAGAGCATTTCCTTCTTCTTCCCTCCCTCCCTTCCTCCACATGTTGACTGGGATGTAGATGGGAAGGATGGAGCTCAAGCAGCCATATTGGGCCACAAGAAAAAGCCACATTTGATGCTGGAGCAACAAGACAGAAGGAGCCTGGGCCCTGACACTGGAGCCCCAGACAGCCTTGGTAGCTGTCTCCCTTCATATGAAAGACAAGAATACTCCTCATTTGTAAAACAAAATACTAATTTTTGGGCAGAATAACAGCCCCCCGAGGTGTCCTCAGAACTAGCGAATATATTATGTTACACAGCAAGGAAGAGTTAAGGTTGCAGATGGAATTAAAGTCACTAATCATTATTTTATTTTATTTTTTTGAGACAGTCTCACTCTGTCACCCAGGTTGGAGTGCAGCGGTGTGACCTTGGCTCACTACAGCCTCTGTCTCCCGGGCTCAAGCGATTCTCATGCCTCAGCCTCCTGAGTAGCTGGGACTACAGGTGCATGCCACCACGTCCAGCTAATTTTTTGTATTCTTAGTAGAGATGGGGTTTCACCATATTGGCCAGGCTGGTCTCAAACTCCTGACCTCAAGTGATCTGCCCGCCTCGGCTTCCCAAAGTGCTGGGATTACAGGCATAAGCCACCACGCATGTCCCATTGATTTTAAAATAAGGAAATTGGGCATGGTGGCACGTGCCTGTAATCCCAGCTACTTGGGAGGCTGGCTGAGGCAGGAGAATTTCTTGAACCTGGAAGGCTGAGGTTGCAGTGAGCTGAGATCATGCCACTGCACTCCAGCCTGGGCGACAGAGCAACACTCCATCTCAAAAAAAAAGAAAAGAAAAGAAATTGACTATGCAACCAGGCTCAGTGTATCCTGGAGCTGAGTGGCTAAAAACATGGACTCTAGGCTGGGTGCGGTGGTTCATGCCTGTAGTCCCAGCACTTTGGGAGGCTGAGGCTGGAGGATCACTTGAGCCCAGGAGTTTGAGACCAGCCTGGGCAACATAGCAAGATTCTGTTTCTACAAAAATATGCAAAAATTAGCCAGGTGTGGTGGTGCATACCTGTAGTCCCGGCTACTCAGGCAGCTGAGGCAGGAGGATTGCTTGAGCCTGGGTAATCAAGACTGCAGTGAGTGGTGATCACACCACTGCCCTCCAGCCTGGGCAACAGAGTAAGACTCCGTGTCTTTAAAACAAAAAACAACAACAACAAAGGAAATTATCCTGGATTATGTGGGTAGGACCAGAGTAATTGTAAGGATCCCTTAAAGTGGAAGAGCAGGCAGCAGAAAAGGACAGAGTCATAGAGGGATTTAAAGATTCTCTGTTGCTGACTTCAACAAGGAAGGGGCCACAAGCTAAGGAATGCAAGTGGCCTCTAGAATCTGGAAAATGCAAGAAACAGGATTCTCCCCTGGAGCCTCCAGAAGGAAGGCAGCCCGATGACACCTTGATTTTAGCCAAAGGAGACTCATTTTGGACTTCCAACCTCCAGGACTGTGAGATAATGAATCTGTGTTGTTGTAAAGCACTGTTTGCAATCATTTGTTACGGCAGCAATAGGAAACTGATTCATAATTAATCCAAACTTCTTGCTTGAATCTTTCTCTGACTCTAAAGCTCCTGATTAATAAGAATAATAATAATCACACTTTGGGAAGTTGAGGCAGGTGGATCACCTAACATCAGGAGCTCGGGACCACCTTGGCCAATATAGGGAAACCCCATCTCTATTTTAAAAAATACAAAAATTAGCCAGGTGTGGTAGTGCACACCTATAATTTCAGCTACTCAGGAGGCTGAGGCAGGAGAATTGCTTGAACCCGGGAGGTGGAGGTTGCAGTGAGGTGAGATCGCGCCACCGCACTCCAGCCTGGGCAACAGAGTGTGACTCTGTCTCAAAATAAATAAATAAATTAAATAATAATCAAAACCATCATCCATGTCAGTAAACACACTGAGCACTTTCCATGTGCCTGAAATAACCTCAACCCACTATACTTTTTGCTTATGTAAGACACACAACAATCCCACAAAAAAAGTGTAAAGCCTTAAATACAAATGTGGGAAAAGGAACGAGGCTGAAAATAAGCCAGCTAACCATCTATCTTAAATGTGAGGAAAAGAACAGCACGCAAAACTCAAAGAAAAGGGCCAGGCATGGTGGCTCATGCCTGTAATCCCAGCACTTTGGGAGGCCAAGGTGGGTGGATCACTTGAAGTCAGGAGTTCAAGACCAGCCTGGGCAACATGGTGAAACCCCATCTCTACTAAAACTACAAAAAATTAGCTGGGCATGGTGGCACATGCCTGTAGTCCCAGCTACTTGGGAGGCTGAGGCAGGAGAATCCCTTGAACTTGGGAGGCGGAGGTTGCAGTGAGCTGAGATCGCACCACTGCACTCCAGCTTGGATGACAGAGCGAGACCCCGTTTCAAAAACAAACAAACAAACAAACAAACAAAAAACTCAAAGGAAAAAAGAATAAAGAAAGCAAGCATGAAAGATATAATAGGCTGGGAGCAGCGCTTCACCCCTGAAATCCCAGTGCTTTAGCAGGCCGAGGCAGGAGGATCACTTGAGCCCAGGAGATTGAAAGCAGCTTGGCAACACAGTGAGTGATCCCATCTCTACAAAAAGAAAAAATATTAGCTGGGCATGGTGGCATGCACCCATAGTCCCAGCTACTGGGAAGGCTGAGACAGGAGGATTGCTTGGGCCCAAGAGTTCAAGAACAGCCTGGGCAACAGAGTGAGACCCAGCTGTACTAAAAAAAAAAAAAAATAGCTGGGTATGGTGGCACATTCTCAGATACTCTGGAGGCTGAGGCAGGAGGATTGCTTGAACCCAGGAGGTTGAGGCTGCAATTAGCTGTGATCATACCACTGCACTCCAGCCTGGGTGACAGAGCAACACCTTAACTCAAAACAAACAAACAAAAAAAAGGTATAATAACCAAATCCACAATGGTAACTAATGCTATTTATCATTAATGAAATAAGATCAAATTAAAGAAACAAATGTACAATAGGAGAACCCGAACCCACAAAGCCAACTGTTAGTTATCATTGGCGAAGAGTCTAATAAAGATGTTGCAATTATAAGGCCAGATGCGGTGGCTCATGCCTGTAATCTCAGTACTTTGGGAGGCTGAGGCGGGTGGATCACTTGAGGTCAGGAGCTCGAGATCAGCCCCTGGCCAACATGGTGAAACCCTGTTTCTACTAAAAATACAAAAGTTAGCCAGGTGTGGTGGCGGGTGCCTGTAATACCAGCTACTCAGGGGGCTGAGGCACGAGAATCACTTAAACCCAGGAGGCAGAGGTTGCAGTGAGCCGAGATTGCACCACTGCACTCCAGCCTGAGCAACAAGAGCAAAACTCCATCTAAAAAAAAAAAAGTTTTGCAATTATAAATCAAAACTGATAGAGAAAAAATGAGGTCAGGCGTGGTGGCTCACACCTGTAATCCCAGCACTTTGTGAGGCTGAGGCCGGTGGATCACCTGTGGTCAGGAGTTTGAGACCAGCCTGGCCAACATGGTGAAACCTCGTCTCTACTAAAAATACAAAAAATAAGCCGGGCATCGTGGAGTGCACCTATAGTCCCAGCTACTCAGGAGGCTGAGGCAGGAGAATTGCTTGAACCTGGGAGGCGGAGGTCGCAGTAAGCCAAGATTGCACCATTGCACTCTAATCTGGGTGACAGAGCGAGACTCTATCTCAAAAAAAAAAAAAAAAAAAAAAAAAAAAGAAAAGAAAAAATGAGGGAGTCTCTGAGACTACTCTGGCTCAGAGAGTGCCTGATAAAAATTAATAACATTTTAAAAAATAAGAGAGAGCGAGACAGAATGTATCGATGACCAATATTAAGCAATAAGAAACAGGAAACCTCCCTACAAATCTCAAAACTCTAAGAACACGTAAGCAGTTTTTGTGTGTGTATTGTGTCCACTTCATGCATGAGGGAAACTGAAGCTTAGAGAGGCTGAGTAAGTTGCTCAAACTCACACAGCCCATAAAAGGCAGAGGCAGGATTTGAACCCACAGTCCTGGACCCACTCAATCTCTGTGCTATGGCGCCACCTCCTGAGCGCTTCTGGGTTCCCCCTTCCCGGGCCCTGCTACCAGCGAAACCCTGTCCCCAATCTGGGCTTGGCTTAGGGTTTTCACTCCCCACCCGCAGGGGCTCCTGGACCAACGCTATTGCAGCCCTGAAGAGTTTCAGATCCAGCTTCCTTCACCGGCTTCCTTCAGAATTTAATCTGAGTTTCCATCTCCATCGCTTCCCTGAGTTCTCTGGGCCTGGCTTCCCTCTGTATTCCTGCCACCTCCTCCTGGTGGCAGGTTCCAAATTTGGGCTGTATTCTTGCATTATCTGTCTCAGCTTAGACTGTCAGTTTGCAGAGAGCCTCGCCACTCAAGCAATGGCCCTCAGCAGCCTGGCATGCTCTGGGAACTTGCAGGAAATTCAGACCTAAACCCAGCCGGGCGCAGTGACTCACGCCTGTAATCCCAGCGCTTTGGGAGGCCGAGGCGGGTGGATCGCTTGAGGTCAAGAGTTCGAGATCAGCCTGGCCAACATGGTGAAATCCTGTCTACAGTGTGCCCCAGCCTGGGCGACAGAGCAAGACTCTGTCAAAAAAAAAAAAAAAAAAAAGGAAATTCAGGACCTAAACCCAAGCCCAAACCTGTTGAAGCAGAATCTGTAGCTTAAGACCTTTCCCGTCTCCCTCTCCCTCTCCCTCTAGGAGGTTGGCAGCACCTTAAAAGTTGAGTAGCTCTGGCCTAGACCAGAAAGGGACTGTGGGACCCCGGGAACCTTTAAGACAAGGCACCTCACCTGCCATAGGTGTATCTGAGAAAATGGAGGTGAGCTGTGTCCTGAGGTTAGCTGATGACCAATCTTTTGTCTGTGTTGCAGGAGATTCAAGTTCAGTCTGGGCATTTGGAGCTCCAGGCACTGGAGATGTTCCCTTTTCTAATTGCTAATGACAATATTTTTCTGTAATCAGGAGAATTACATGAAATATACTTTTAAAGGATCTAAACAAATTGAAGTATCAATACAGAAAATTCTAGACGTAGGCTGGGCGTGGTGGCTCATGCCTGTAATCTCAGCACTTTGGGAGGCCGAGGCAGGCAGATCGCTTGAGGTCAGGAGTTCGAGAGCAGCCTGGCCAACGTGGTGAAACCCCGTCTCTACTAAAAATGCAAAAATTAGCCGGGCATGGTGGCGTGTGTCTGTAATCCCAGCCATTTGAGAGGCTGTGGCAGGAGAATCACTTGAACCTAGGAGGCAGAGGTTGCAGTGAGCCAAGATCATGACACTGCACTCCAGCCTGGGCAACAAAGCAAAACTCCGTCTCAAAAAAAAAAAAAAAGAAAAAGAAAAAGAGAAGAAAATTCTAGGTATAATAAACCATTCGTGACATAGGAAGCCTCAGACTGAAGCCCTAGCCATCAGTTCTTAAACTTGAGTGTGCACTGGAGTAACCAGGAGGGCTTGTGAAAACCCAGATTGCAAGGCCCCATCCCAGAGTAGGGCTGGGGTGGGGGTGAGAATTTTAACTTCTAGCAAGTTCTGACAGGATGCTGATGCTGTTGGTCCAGGGAGTACCCTTTGAGAACCACTGTCTCCAAACCACACAGTTACGGCTGCTTTGGGATTATACTATCCCTTAAGAATTATATGGAAATAGCCAGGTGTGGTGACTCACGCCTGTAATCCCAGCACTTTGGGAGGCCGAAGCGGGCAGATCACAAGGTCAGGAGATCCAGACCATCCTGGCTAACAGGGTAAAACCCCATCTCTACTAAAAATACAAAATAATTAGCTGGGCGTGGTAGCAGGCACCTGTAGTCCCAGCTACTCGGGAGGCTGAGGCAGGAGAATGGCGTGAACCCAGGAGGCGGAGCTTGCAGTGAGCCGAGATCGCGCCACTGCACTCCAGCCTGGGTGACAAGTGCAAGACTCCATCTCAAAAAAAAAAAAAAAAAGAATTATATGGAAATAATCTGGCTGGGTGCAGTGGTTCATACCTGTAACCCCAACACATTGGGAGGCCAAAGCAGGAGGATCGCTTGGGCCCAGGAGCTAGAGACCAGCCTGGGCAACATAGCAAGACCTTATCTCTAAAAAAAAAAAAAATTTTTTTTTAATTAGCTGGGCCGGCCGGGCACGGTGGCTCACGCCTGTAATTCCAGCACTTTGGGAGGCCGAGGCAGGCAGATCATGAGGTCAGGAGATCGAGACCATCCTGGCTAACACGGTGAAACCCCATCTCTGCTAAAAATACAAAAAATTAGCCGGGTGTGGTGGCGGGCGCCTGTAGTCTCAGCTACTTGGGAGGCTGAGGCAGGAGAATGGCGTGAACCTGGGAGGTGGAGCTTGCAGTGAGCTGAGATCGTGCCACTGCACTCCAGCCTGGGCAACAGAGCGAGACTCCACTCAAAAAAAAAAAAAAAAAATAGCTGGGCTTGGTGGTGTGTACCTGTGGTCCCAGCTACTCAGGAGGCTGAGGCAGGAAGATTGCTTGAGGCCAGGAGTTTGAGGCTGCAGTGAGCTGTGATCGCACCACTGTACTCCAGCCTGGACAACAGAGCAAGACCCTGTCTCAAAAAAAGAAAGAAAATGTCATTCAGTGTCATATCTTTACAAAATTGTAATGCATTCTGATGACCCAGTATGAACTTAAGTACCGATCTGAGTATTTTCCTGTATTTATGCAACACACAGCATTTTCATTTAAATTATGTACAACCTATAATGTTGTTTATGTTCAAGTACCACCCTGATGGAGACAAATACTTCCGTTTTTCTTCTAGTGGCAATTTCACATGTATAAGCAATCTCTCTTTTTATGCTGTGCTGAAAAATGTCAAATCAAGGTTGTAAAACCTGAAAAGAGGATTCCTTATTATACAAACCAAAATATATCAGTGGATATGAAACAAACAAACCAACCTGTCATTCTTCCCATTGCATTCCTTTGTATGCCCCTGTTCTAACTCTTTTCACGTTGTGTTCGAATTATTGATTTATTTACCATCTGACATTCTCAAGGGCTCATGGTTCCTCAAGGGCAGGACATTCTCCTATTAGAAAAAATTGTGTAATAAGATGTTCGCTTTTCTACCATTTGTCTAGTTTGTGTTAATAAATACTGAGGAAATTGTTTCTGGATGAGGACGCTGTGCGCCTGTGTGTGTGTGTGTGTGTGTGTGTGTGTGTGTGACGTGTGCTTATGTGAACAAGTCAGATGTGTGTGTGTGAGATTTCACATGATGTGTGGTGGCTCATGCCTATAATCCCAGCACTTTGGGAGGCTCAGGTGGGAGGATTGCTTGAGGCCAGGATTTTGAGACCAGTCTAGCCAACAGATCGAGACCCCGACAATGTAAAAAAAAAAAAAAAAAAAAAAAGAGGCCGGGCGCGGTGGCTCACGCCTGTAATCCCAGCACTTTGGGAGGCAGAGGTGGGTGGATCACCTGAGGTCAGGAGTTTGAGACCAGCCTGGCCAACATGGCAAAACCCTGTCTCTATTAAAAATACAAAAAATTAGCTGGGCATGGTGGCGGGCACCTGTAATCCCAGCTACTTGAAAGGCTGAGGCAGGAGAATCGCTTGAACCCGGGAGGCAGAGGTTGCAGTGAGCTGAGATCGCACCATTGCACTGCAGCAGCCTGGGCAACGAGAGCGGAACTCTGTCTCAAAAAAAAAAAAAAGATTTCACAGGTGTGAGATTGTGAGATTTGTAGAGTGTAGGGCGGGAGTGGAGGAAGACTGGAGGCTTGTTTGTGACAATGGCTGTGTGTGGTTCCGTTGGGGGACAGGGGTACGTGTTGCCCCAGATCTGTGCATGTGTCTACCTTAGGATTCACCAGTGAGAATCCAGGACCATCAGTGGCTGGCTGTGTGATGCGTGTCCCTACTCCCTGCCCGTGTGTGAGGCGGGATTGAAAATGCTGTGCCCAGGCCCTGGGTCTCTGTGGGCTCTGTCAGACACGGGCTGTGTACTGTGCCTCAGTGGTTTCCGTGTTCCTTCCTGTGCCTGTGTCTGTCTCCCTGTCAGGGTCTCCCTAGCCATGTCGCTCTCTGTGTCTGAAGTTCATGGCCCTCCGGGGTGGGCAGGACTCTAAGTGACTCTGCTGTCCTCCATCCCTGTGTCTGGGGCGGTGCAGAGCCAGAGGGTGGGTGTTCTGTGCCCCTGGGACCAAGGAGGCTCTCTGGGAAGTCAGCAGCTGGAGATTAGATTTCAAGGGATCACAAAAGGAAATGAGAAAGAAGGATCCCTGGGCAGGGCCAGGCCAATGGCCAGGGTCTCAGAGCTGTTAGGAGAACAGTCATAGTAGCTCCCATGTATTGAGTACCTATCATGTGTTGGGCACTGTACTTCATGCTTTATGTATTTGCATTTATACTATTGTGTTAATGCAATATTGTATATTAAGTATTCATATTACATACATATACATATATATGTATGTATATATATTTCTTTTTTTCTTTCTTTTTTTTTTTCTGGAGACAGAGTCTCACTCTGTCACCCAGGCTGGAGTGCAATGGCACGATCTTGGCTCACTACAACCTCCGCCTCCCAGGATCAAGCGATTCTCCTTCCTCAGCCTCCTGAGTAGCTGGGATTACAGGCATGTGCCACCGCGCCCAGCTAATTTTTGTATTTTTTTAGTAGAGACAGGGTTTCACCATGTTGGCCAGGCTGGTCTCGGAACTCCTGACCTCAAGTGATCCTCCCGCCTCGGCCTCCCAGAGTGCCAGGATTACAGGCATGAACCACCGTGCCCAGCCTATATTATATTTATAAATAACAATTATATGGATTGTTCATAATGTATTATATCAGTTGTAAATTACTTTATAGAGACGTCTTTTTTTTTTTTTTTTTTTTTTTTGAGACAGGGTTTCCGTCTATTGCCCAGGCTGGAGCACAGTGATGCAATCACAGCTCAATGCAGCCTCGACCTCCTGGACTCAAGTGATCCTCCTGCCTTGGCCTCCTAAGTAACTGGGACTATGGGCATGTGCCATCATGCCTGGCTCATGAGACCTCATTTTCTATTATCCCATTGAAGGTAGGAGGAAACTGAAGCTCAGAGAGGTAAGTTCATTTTCCCAAGGTTGCTCAGCAAGCAGGTGGCAGAGTAAACATCCGAACCCACTTCCAAGTGTTTCCAGTCTTTGGCTCTCTACAACAGCCCTACCCCACCCGAGGTGGAAGCCACAGCATCTAAGGAGGACCAGCAGGGCATAGGTTTAGCTGAGTGACTGTGGATAACAGCAAATTGTTGGTGTTATGTTGTTGTGATGGTTGAGGTTTATTGAGTCCTTACTATGTGCCAGGCACTGTGCTAAAGGTTTTAATAATAATAATGATGCACCGGGTGCAGTGGCTCATACCTGTGATCCCAGCACTGTGGGAGGCAGGAGGACCGATTGAGCCCAAGAGTTCGAGACCAGCCTGGGCAACATGGTGAAACCCCATCTCTACAAAAAAAACCAAAAAATTAGCAGAGTGTGGTGGTGCGGGCCTGTGGTGGCATGTTCTCTACTTGGGAAGCTGAGGTGGGAGGATTGCTTAAGCCCAGGAGGTTGAGGCTGCAGACCTGGGAGACGGAGTGAGACTATCTCTTAAAAAAAAAAAAAAAAGATGGTGGTGATGATGATGGCAAATGCTCATATGGCACTTAGCAAAGGCCGATCCCTTCTCTAAGTGCTGTTATGTGGATTAATTCATTTATTCCTTTTTTTTTTTTTTTTGGCAGGGTCTCACTCTATCACCCAGGCTGGAATGCAATGGCACGATCTCAGTTCATTGCAGCCTCGGCCTCCCAGGTTTAAGCAATTCTTCTGCTTCAGCCTCCCAAGTAGCTGGGATTACAGGCACCTGCCACCACGACCGGATAAGTTTTGTATTTTTAGTAGAGATGGGGCTTTGCCATGTTGGCCAGGCTGATCTTGAACTCCTGACCTCAAGTGATCCTCCTGCCTTGGCCTCCCAAAGTGCTGGGATTACAGGCGGTGAGCCTCTGCGCCCAGCCCAATTAATTTATTCCTTATACCAGCACTCTGAGGTAGGTACCATCAGCGTGTCCCTGAGGCCTTCATGTGCACAGCTTGTAGAGGAGCTGGGATTTGGACCCAGGCAGTTTGACTCCATGGACTGTCCTCCTAAACCACATCCCTTCTACCATCTCCTGCAACCTTTTCAACATTCGTATGGCGTAGGAGGAAACATTACCCATTTCACAGATGAGGAAACCAAGGCCCACACCTGTACTGACAGAGCCAGTGGACCCTTGTCTCTCTAATCAGCGCATCCACACACTTGACCCTGTTTTGGGAAGAGGCTGGGAACTCCAAAGAACCTTGGAAGGGCTTTGGCCAGGCTCCCAGAGGTCCGGGTCCCTGTTCAGCCCGAGGGTTCCAATCTCCCTCTCCTTCCTATACTGCTCTAATTTTTCCTTTGCTTGTTTCTTTTCTCTTTCTCTCTTTTTTTTTTTTTTTTTTTTTGACAGAATCACTCTGTCACCCAGACTGGAGTGCAATGGTGTGATCTCGGCTCACTGCAACCTCTGCCTCCTCGGTTCAAGCAATTCTCCTGCCTCAGCTTCCCGAGGCTCTGTGTGTCACCGTGCCCAGCTAACTTTTGTATTTTTAGTAGAGACAGGGTTTCACTATGTTGGCCAGGCGGGTCTCGAACTCCTGACCTCAAGTGATCCACTCACCTGGGCCTTCCAAAGTGCTGGGACTACAGGCGTGAGCCACTGCTCCCGGCCCTTGTTTCATTTCTATTGGCTGATTGGTAAGAGCTCATTTTATATGATAGGAATTGAGTCTATTTTTCCCTGGATGGGTTTGTGGGTTTTGTTTTGTTTTTGCTATATGACAGTTTTTACAGTTTTATACAGCTCAAAATCTATAAAACAAGATTGAAGTTTTATAGATTGAAGATTTCCAACCTTAGTTAAGAAAGTCTCCTGGCTCCTGGGGTGGGAGTTGCAGGCTGTTCCCTCCCTCTCCCTCTCCTAGGCCTGTCCTTAGCATGTGGGAGGGAGGAGTGCATTTCTTGTCAATTTGTATGCACTCTTTTTTTTTGACGCGATCTCGGCTCACTGCAACTTCCACCTTCTGGGTTCAAGTGATTCTCATCCCTCAGCCTCCCGAGTAGCTGGGACTACAGGCATGTGCCACCACGCCTGGCTAATTTTTGTACTTTAAGTAGAGACGGGGTTTCATCATGTTGGCCAGGCTGGTCTCGAACTCCTGGCCTCAAATGATCCACCTGCCTCAGTCTCCCAAAGTATTGTGATTACAGGCGTGAGTCACCGCGCCCAACCTGTGTGCACTCTTTATATATTATAGCTTGCAATGCTATGCTTTTGAAATGTTGCAAATATCTCCTCAAGCCTTTGTACACTGTCTTGCAAAAGGTTTTTAACGTGTTATGCAAATACTGCTATCTTGTACTTCACAGATTCTGGATTGCCAGCCTTGGTTGGGAAGATTGCCCAGTCTGAGCCTGGTGGGGGTGGGGGGTGGGGCGTTGGGCTCCTCCCCATCTCCTTCTCTACCTGCCCCCCCCCGCCCCACCACGAGGGCCTCTATCCTTATCTCCAGCTTCTCCTTTCCCAAGGTCCTGCCTCCCAGGGAGGGAGCCTGCCCAGCCAGGAGGCCCCAGCCTCCCACTCCTGCCTCCCCCTCCCAGTCTTTCCTTATTTAGAATAAGGGTTGTTCCATTCCTTATCTTTTTTTTCCTGTCTTTGTTGCCCAGGCTGGAGTGCAGTGAAACGATCTCGGCTCACTGCAGCCTCGAACTCCCGGGCTCAAGCGATCCTTCCGCCTCTGCTTTGTGAGTAGATGGGACTACAGGCCATGCCACCACGCTGAGCTAATTTTATTTTTCAGTAGGGATGGGATCTTGCTATGTTGCCCAGACTGGTCTCAAACTCCTGGGCCCAAGCGATCCACCCGTCTAGGCCTCCCAAAGTGCTGGGATTACAGGCGTGAGCAACCAGCAAGCCCCTTGTCAATTTTTAAGAGCTCTTCCCATTTCTGTCTATTAACCTATGCCACCCTCTGTGTTGCAAATGACTCCTCCTCAAGTTCTGTCTATTGTCTCTCTTTATAATGTTGTTGGTCACCTAACATCTTAAGGTGCTAAGTTGTATACACAGCGTCCACCTTGTACTCAGGGTTGTGGGCTTCCGACCTAGGTTAGGCAGGTCTCCCGGCTCCTGAGGGAGGGGCGCCCTCCCCTTCCCTCGATGAGTCCTTATCTCGCAGCTTGTCCCTTCCCACGGGTCGGGCGCATAAAAGCGCGCGGGGCTGCGGCAGGGCACTGCCACCATGTCCCCGCTGCGCCCGCTGCTGCTGGCCCTGGCCCTTGCCTCCGTGCCTTGCGCCCAGGGCGCCTGCCCCGCCTCCGCCGACCTCAAGCACTCGGACGGGACGCGCACTTGCGCCAAGCTCTATGACAAGAGCGACCCCTACTATGAGAACTGCTGCGGGGGCGCCGAGCTGTCGCTGGAGTCGGGCGCAGACCTGCCCTACCTGCCCTCCAACTGGGCCAACACCGCCTCCTCACTTGTGGTGGCCCCGCGCTGCGAGCTCACCGTGTGGTCCCGGCAAGGCAAGGCGGGCAAGACGCACAAGTTCTCTGCCGGCACCTACCCGCGCCTGGAGGAGTACCGCCGGGGCATCTTAGGAGACTGGTCCAACGCTATCTCCGCGCTCTACTGCAGGTGCCCGGCCGCCCAAAGCTCCGAGCCCACCCCAGGCCCAGGCCCCAGCTCCGCATAAGCCCCCACACCCACCACCCAAGCCCCGAGGCTGCTCCACACCCCTGAGCTCCCGACTGTAACAGGGAGCACCAGGCCTCCCTAGAACCAGTCCTGGAGGCCCCCATCTCAGAGTCCTCACCCAAACCAGGTCCTCCTTCTCCTCACCCCCAGCACCCGGTCCCCACTCCACCTGCAGCCCAGGCCCCTGGGACGGAGATTTCCGCCCCAGCTCTGAGATTCAGAGCCAACCCTCCACCTTCTGGAATCTTCCGCCTACCCACCCGCCCACAGCTGTACTTCCCAGAGAGGGCTGGCTAATTCTGGGGACTGAGAGCTCCTAGACCCCCTCACCCTGGAGTCCCCAGAACCAAAGCCAGCCCCCACTCCCCAGATCATCACATCTCAAAGCTCCCAGACTCCAAAACTAACCCAGACCTCAAGACTCCAGACTCGATTATAGGAACACCCAGTGTAGCCTTCATGCTCTCCACTCCCCTAGACCCTCCAGACCAGCCTCAGCCCTAAAATCAGTCCCACAGCCCACCCCCAAGACCCAACCCTGGAGGTCCCTGAGGCCACCTTGCACTCACAGACCTGGGACCTAGATCCAGCGGTGACACCCTCCCAAACCCTCCCCAGCCACTCCTGTCCCCCAAGAGCTCCAAGGAGCCCCCAGCTCCAAACTCCCAGGCTAGGATCCCTGGTTCCTGAACTTGGAGCCTCAGACCCAGACTCCCCAGCCCCCACCCAGTCTCAGGCTTCTAGAACTCACCAGACTCTGGGTCTCTGAGAGCCCCTGGAAGGAATTCTTGATTACATTTCAGGTGCAGCTGATGCATTGCTGGTCTCTCATCTGCAGCTTCCACAGAGTGCCAAGCCCCTCACTCAGCCCATCCCTGGGCTCTGCTCCGGGGCCCCAAGACCCAGGAGGAGGAGCGTTCTGCCTGCCCCCTCCCACCTCCCCTGCAATACAGCCTTTGTGCAGTTGTCCCCGTCTGTCATCTGCTTGTCCCTGGGATGCAAGGACCGGGTGGGATGGAGGAGACAGCAGGGTGGTTGGGCCTGGGTCAGCCCATACCCAGGACAATGCCATGGATAAGGACACGCCATCGACTCGGACATGGTTTTAGGTGTGCACGAAGACACACGCCCACAGAAGGACATGTGAGTGAACTGCAGGGGAACCTTGGGCTGATTGTTAAATATGAAACATGCCCCATCCTTTTCAGTAATAGCCCTTCCTTAGCCCTGGTGTGGTGGCTCAGGCCTGTAATCCTAGCACTTTGGGAGGCTGAGGTGGGCGGATCACCTGAGGTCAGGAGTTCAAGGCCAGCCTGGCAAACATGGTGAAACCCCGTCTCTACTAAAAATACAAACATTAGGGCGGGGTGCGGTGGCTCACGCCTGTAATCCCAGCACTTTGGGAGGCCGAGGCAGGCGGATCACGAGGTCAGGAGATTGAGACCATCCTGGGTAACACAGTGAAACCCCGTATCTACTAAAAATACAAAAAAATTAGCCAGGCGTGGTGGTGGGCGCCTGTAGTCCCAGCTACTCGGGAGGCTGAGGCGGGAGAATGGCTTGAACCTGGAGGCGGAGCTGGCAGTGAGCCGAGATCATGTGACAGAGCGAGACTTCATCTCAAAACAAAACAAACAAACAAACAAACAAAAAAACCCCACAAACATTAGCCAGAAATCGCTTGAACCTGGGAGGTGGAGGTTGCAGTGAGCCGAGATCGTGCCACTGCACTCCAGCCTGGGCAACAGAGGGAGCACTCTGTCTCAAAACAAACAAACAAACACTCTTCCTTGAGCCGTTTCTGGCCTCCAGGGGCCTCCGGACTCCCTCCATGGTTCCTGCAGGGGACAGCAGGGGGCCTTCTAGTACCCAGCCCTGCACTAGGGCTAGGATCTGCAAGTGATCAGATCAGGACTTAGAGGTTGATAAATGCTTTTAATCCCCACATTCCACACACGGGGGACGCTGTCATTCACATTTTCATATTTCTGTTCTGGTCGCAGTCTGTGTCCTCACCACCCTCATGAATGAGGGACTTTGATAGATGCCTGGGTTTGTGGGCTCTGCGGTAGCTGGAGGAGATACACAAAGGGTCCTCGGAGGAGGGTGTGGGACAGCTTTGAGGGGACAACCACTGCAGACACCTGGAGGGAGCTAGGGGAGATTCTGAGACTTAAGAGACATGGAATGGCTGGGCGCAGTGACTCACGTCTGCAATCCCAGCACTTTGGGAAGCCAAGGTGGGCAGATCACTTGAGGTCAGGAGTTTGAGACCAGCCTGGCCAACATGGCGAAATCCCGTCTCTACTAAAAATATAAAAATTAGTCGGGGGAGGTGCTGTGCACCTGTAATCCCAGCTACTTGAGAGGCTGAGGCAGGAGAACCACTTGAACCTGAGAGGTGGAAATTGCAGTGAGTCGAGATCGTGTCACTACACTCCAGCCTGGGTGACAGAGTGAGATGCCATCTCAAAAAAAAAAAAAAAAGTAGGTAAGTGGAGATGCTAAGGGGAGATGTGTGAAGAGATCAGAGGTCAAGGTCAGTTCAGAAGGACCCCGGGATGTGAAGGTAATGGAAGATCAAGGATCGGGGCGGTTAAATGGGACAGGAACTGAGTGAAGTGAATGGCTTCATTCCCCTTTCAACACACATTTGCTGCCACCCACTCCGTTCACAGCCCTGGGCTGGGTGGTGCTGGCAACACAGCAGTGAGCATTCAGTTTCAGTGAAGTTCAAAGAAGCAGAGACCAGCCCTCAGCATCCTTGGGCACAGGTGTCTATGCATTCTCTCAACAGAGATCTACAAAGCATCTGTGCCAGAGCATCTGTCGGGCACTGAATTTACAAGGAGTGGCTCCGCCCTCATGGGGCTCAGACAGTGCTGGGAAAATGCTGGAGTCCACCGCTTAAGGGTGTGTGAAGCTGTCCATCAAGTGAGAAGCCAAGGGCCAGGGAGAAATAAGAGGCCTAGGAGGTGACTAAGAGTTGGGGCTCCTAAAGGTCAGGGAGGTGCTGTGGGGTCAGGACAGAGGAGCCAGCCAGTCACTCCCGGAGCTGCACAGACACGGAGGAGTCGGTCACCCGTGTCCGCCGCAGCCCACCAGGCTCCATGCGGTTCTTGGCCTTGTGCAGGAAGTGGATAAAGCGCACACCGGGACCATAATGGCGGAATACGTGGGACACCTGTGGTGACAGCACCTGGGGTTAGGGAGGAGCCCTTTTTGAGGACCCGCGGACCTGTTCTCCTCCCTCTGTGAGGTCTTGGGACAAGAACACACGTCTGGGGTTGAGGGCCCCGGCGCGGAGAGTCTCACCTGGACCCAGCGGCCAGGGGGTCCTCTCCCAGAAGTTCGGGGGGCCACGTGGTGCTGAGCAATGACCGTGCGGCGGTCGGCCGCCAGCAGCCAGACATGCAGCTCATAGACGCACGCATCCAGCCGGCTGTCCTCGAACCTGCAGGCGGAGTCAAGGCCTTCAGCTGTCACTGCAGTCTCAGCTACCCAGCCCCAGCCCCTGGCCCCATTCCCCATTCAACACACATGCTGCTACCCATGCTGTACACAGCCCTGAGCTGGGTGGTGCTGGCAACATAGCAGTGACCAAGACAGCCCCACACCCTGCCACATGGGATTCACAGTCCAGTGAGGGAGGCAGGCATGCCACCAAACATGACAGCCAGGAACGGCCAGGTTTGGGATGGGGAGCACGGGCAGAGGGGTCAGGGCCAGGATGGGGGGACCCAGGCAGAGGAGTTGGGGACAGAACTGGGGACACAGGCAGAGGGGTTGGGGTCGGAATTGGGGACCCAGGCAGAGGGGTTGGGGCTGGAATTGGAGGCACAGGGCACTGGAGAAAATGCACGTGACCCAGCTGAGGGGTGATCAGGGAGGGCTTCCTGGTGCAGCCATGTGGAAGTGACTCCTAAGGAATAAGAAGGAATTGGTCTTGAGAATAGAGGGTGACAGGCTTTTAAGAAATAAGGAATAGGCTGGGCACAGTGGCTCACACCTGTAATCCCAGCACTTTGGGAGGCCAAGGCAGGCAGATCACTTGATGTCAGGAGTTCGAGACCAGCCTGGGCAACATGGTGAAACCCCATCGCTACTAAAAATACAGAAATTAGCCAGGTATGGTGGCGCGCGCCTGTAGTCCCAGTTACTTGGGAAGCTGAGGCAGGAGAATCGCTTGAACCTGCGAGGCAGAGGTAGCAGTGAGCTGAGATGGCACCACTGCAGTCCAGCATGGGCGACAGAGTCAGCTGTCTCAAAAAAAAAAAAAAAAAAAAAAAAGAAAGAAAAAAGAAAAAAAAAAGAAAAGAAAAAGAAATAAAGATCAGCCTCAGTAACCCCCTGGCACATTTCAAAATCTGAAAGGCTCAAACAGAAGGGGCCAGGGAGGTGGGCAGGGCAGGACCCTGTAGCACCAGGAGGGTCTTGGTGAAGGGCTGAAAGCAAGGGGAGCTCAGAGTAAGGCTCATGCTCTGGGCAGCCCTGCGCGATCACGGGGTCAGGCTGGCAGGGGAGGGGCACGCACCAGTCCATGACCGTAATGGCTGGTTGTTCGTCATCCAGCAGCTCCTCCCACAGGCCCTCGGCCAGAAGGTCCACACACTGCTGCTTCACTGTCCAGCTGTGAAAGAAGGGCCGGGAGAGGCGGGGTCTGCGATCTGCCAGGATCCAGGGAGCAGGAAGCCCTGTCTTAGTGCTTTCTTAGGGATAGCTTGGGTCCCCACACGTGGGGTGCTCCCTCAGCACCTTCCACTCTCAGTTCCCACGGGCCCCTCTGAGGGCAATGCATCCTGAACCCCATGCTACAGACAAGGAACCTGAGGCTGAGGATGGAGACGTGTCCAAGGTCAAGCAGCAAACATGTGGCAGAGCCAGGATCCCAACCCTGGCCTGTGTGACCCTGAGCCTCCAAGTCACACCAGCTCATCTACTGTGCAGGAGCAAGGCTCTGTTTCATGGAGGACAGGGGCCTGGGGTGACTCTTCCCCTCCCAGGGAAAGAGCCTTAGAATAATTACAACAATAACAAGAATAGCCAGGCGCGGTGGCTCATGCCTGTAATCTGAGCACTTTGGGAGGCTGAGGCAGGCAGATCACTTGAGGTGAGGAGTTCGAGACCAGCCTGGCCAACATGGTGAAACTCCGTCTCTACTAAAAATACAAAATGAGCTGGGCATGATGGCGCACACCTATAATCCTAGCTACTCAGGAGGCTGAGGCAGGAGAATTGCATGAACCTGGGAGGCAGAGGTTGCAGTGAGCTGAGATTGCGTCACTGCACTCCAGTCTGGGCAACAGAGTGAGACTTCATCTTAAAAACAAAAACCAAAAACCAATAATAGCTGCTATTGACTGGTGCTAGCCAGACCTGGCCGGGCCCTATGCTGTGTGTTTTACAAGCATTCTCTCTTATGCTAACCCTGTTTACAGAGCAGGAAATGGAGGTCCAGAGAGGCCAAGTCAGTTTCTCCAGGTCTCACAGTGAGGAAGGGTGGAGCAGGGAATGGAGTGTAAGCCACACTGGCCCTGGCGACTCACCTTTGGTTCTGCTGGAGCTTTTCAGTTCTAATGTACCAGCCACGGAAATTGCCTGCAGGTTGGGGAGCAAAGGGTTAGGACACCCCAACGCTGGAGGACCCTCCCCACCCTCAGCAACCTGGCCCTCCAAGCACTTACCCAGAGTTTCCAGGGGTCGCTGGGTGGGACCAGTAGGGGGTGCTGGCTCATAAATGTTGATGCCTGAAATGGACAGGTGAGTGGAGCCTCTGGGCAGCCCCTCCATCTTCCACCGCCTCACCCCTCCCTACCCGCAGGGCTATACACTGGAAGGGCAGGAATCTGTGCCAGGTCAGGGAAGCCCGGCAGGGATGAGTGAGTCAGGGCTCTGGGCTGGGGAGAGGGCAATGCCAGGGGTAAGTGGGGTGTGGTGAGACAGACAGAGACAGAGGGACAGAGAGAAGAACCCAGAGAAAGAGACAGGCCAAGAGTTTGAAACCAGCCCAGCCTGGCCAACATGACGAAACCCTGTGTCTACTAAAAATACAAAAATTAGCCAGGCATGGTGGTGCATGCCTGTAATCCCAGCTACTCGGGAGACTGAGGCAGGAGAATTGCCTGAGCCTGGGAGGCGGAGGTTGCAGTGAGCTGAGATTGCACCACTGCATTCCAGCCTGGGCGACAGCAAGACTCCGTCTCAAGAGACAGAAACATAGGCAGAGGGGGAGAGAGAGAGGAGGAGAGAGAAAGAGAGATGGAGAGGTGTGAGGGAGAGGTGTGAGAGAGGTAGGTAAGAGACATGACAGAGAGACAGGTGGTAAAATGGAGAGGCACAATGACAGAAAAAGAGACAGAGGGATGCAGAGAAATGCATAGACAGAGAGAGACAAAGAGGTAGAGAGATAAGGAAACAGGGAAAGAGGAAGAGACAGACGGTCAGGGTGGTGCCTCCTGGCTGCTCTGGGCCCTTGCGCACCTTCGGGGTTGGGCGAGCGCAGCAGGTTGCGGTAGAGCGGCCGCCGCAACAGGAGCAGCTTCCAGGTGAGGCGCTGGGGCAGCTCCAGGCCCCCGCTCAGCGGCCCCCACTCCTCCAGCAGCAGCTGCCGGGCGTGAGCCTCGGACGGCTGCGCCGGCTCGGGGAGCTCGGGGGCCTCCGGGGCTGCGGGCGATGGCAGCGACGGCGGCGAGGGCAGTGGTGGCGGCGACGGCGGCGGTGAAGGCGACCGTGGCGAGGGAGGCAGCTCCTGGAGGCTCGCGGGCCCATCGGCTTCCATCCCGCCACCGAGCGCGTGTCCCTCACGCACCTCCTCCATCCCTCGAGGCTGCGCGACTGTCCCGGTTTCACAGGGCTGGGGTTAACTGGGAGCGGGAAGGGGCAGGGCACCCTGGCTGACATTTAAGAGAGGGGCGTGTCGGGGGAGGATCTTGTCCCTCGGACCCTCCTCCCTCAGACCCAGGAGTCCAGGCCCCTAGCCCCTCCTCCCTCAGACCCAGGAATTCAAGACCCCAGCCCCTCCTCCCTCAGACCCAGGAGTCCAGGCCCCTAGCCCCTCCTCCCTCAGACCCAGGAATTCAAGACCCCAGCCCCTCCTCCCTCAGACCCAGGAGTCCAGGCACCAGCCCCTCTTCCCGCAGACCCAGGAATCCAGGCCCCCAGTCCGTCCTCCCTCAGATCCAGGAGTCCAGGCACCAGCCCCTCCTTCTTCAGACCCAGAAGTCCAGGCACCAGCCCCCTCCTTAGGTCCCCAGACTTCCTGCCCCAATTTTCCCAGGGCCAGCTGAGGACCCAGCGTGAGCCTGACAGAGCGTGTGACTAATGTGCTAATGCCAGGGCTCCGGGCTGTCTAATGGGACCCGTGCACCTCATTAAGATCCAGCATGGCAGGATTAAGAGGCTAATTAACGAAGACCCCCCTCCTCCCCCTCCCCACTCTGCAGAGGGGGAGTGGATGGATGAGCTGAGGTGCAAAGGGAAGGTCCTGCCTCTGCCACTTCCTTCTCTGTCCTCACCTGGGACACCCCCTTGGGGCCCTGACACATACTGTCCAGAAAACCAAGGTGAGGAGAGCAGAGAGACACCCAAAACCAGAGATGAGGAGCCTCAGAGATGGGGGACCCCAGGGAGGCACAAAGATGGCAGTGAGAGGGAAGCAGTGATCCCAACTGGGTGTTCTGGGGGCCTGCACCCCTGCCTGGGACTGGGGTGGGGGGCTGCAGAAGCCTCCCCCATCAGAGGTCACGAGGAGGTGGGAGCAAGGGACGGGGCACAGGTGGGGACAGGAGGTCAGGTGTGGAGGAAGTGGGGTGGCAGAGGAACCTGTAGCGCCAGATTCCCACAGCCACTTCCTGCCCGTGGCCACATCCCTCTACCTGGCCCAGGTAAGCTCAGCACTGAGCGCTTGCTTCTCTCTCTCTCTCTCTCTCTGATGGAGTCTCACTCTGTCACCCAGGCTGAAGTGCAGAAGCACGATCTCAGCTCACTGCAACCTCCGCCTCCCGGGTTGAAGTGATTCTCCTGCCTCAGCCTCCCGAGTAGCTGGGATTACAGGCATGTGCCACCACACCCAGCTAATTTTGTAGTTTTAGAAGAGACGAGGTTTCACCCTCTTGATCAGACTGGTCTCAAACTCCTGACCTCAAGTGATCCACCTGCCTTGGCCTCCCAAAGTGCTGGGATTACAGGCGTGAGTGCTTTCTACTGAGCGCCTCTAAGTTCATTTCATTCTCCTACAAAGACAAGGTGGGTGCTACTATGACTGGCATTTTATAGGTAAAGGAAAAGTAACAGCAAACATGTGTGTGCAGCTGTGTGCTGGCGGATGCCCTCTGGGACGGGTCTTTCCAATACAACAACCCTGTGAGGGGTGCCATGGAAACAGAAGCTGCCTTCCCAGGCTGGGTCCCATATAGTCCCAGATAACTCCACATGCTTTCACAGGCACTTCCTGCCCCAACGCTCAGACACTCACAGACACTCAGCGGGTGGGGGACAGAAGTCACGCCCCAGTGATAATGATCATGTAATTGAGGCTGCCCTCATGCCAGGCATTGCACTAAGTCCATTAGTTGCAATGGACTTAGGTAATTAATTAGGCAATTAATTCAGTCTCCACATCCACCCTAGGAAGTAGCATGACTAGGAAGTCATGTGCATTTAGCAGATGAAGAAACTAGGCACAGAGAGGTCTAGTAACTCACCCAAGGTTGCACAGCTGGTACACAACGAGTTAGACACACTCGCATACAGAATCTTAGAGAACATACACAGGGACACAGATTCAAATTGCCCCCAAGGGCTGAGTGTGGTGGCTCACACCGGTAATCTAACACTTTGGGAGGCTGAGGCAGGAAGATCACTTGAACCCACGAGTTTGAGACCAGCCTGGGCAACATGGCAAGACCCCATCTCTACAAAAAAATTAATAAATTATCTCAGTTTGGTGGAACACACCTGTGGTCCCAGCTACTCAAGAGGCTGAGGTGGGAGGATCGCTTGAGCCCAGGAGGTCAAAGTTGCAGTGACCTGAGATCGCATCACTGCATTTTAGCCTGGGTGACAGAATGAGATCCTGTCTCAAAGAAACAAAAAACAAAAACAGGCCAGGCGCAGTGGCTCACACCTGTAATCTTAGCACTTTGGGAGGCCAAGGCAGGCGGATCACTTGAGGTCAGGAGTTCAAGACCAGCCTGGCTAACATGGTGAAACCCCCATCTCTACTAAAAAAAAAAAAAAATACAAAAAAAAAAAAAATTAGCTGGGCATGGTGGTGCGTGCCTGTAGTCCCAGCTACTCGGGAGGCTGAGGCCGGAGAATCGCTTGAATCCAGGAGGCAGAGGTTGCAGTGAACTGAGATCGTGCCACTGCACTCCAGGCTGGGCAACAGAGCAAGACTCCATCTCAAAAACAAAACAAAACAAAAAACAAATCGCCCCTGGGAAGAAACATGGGCTCATACAGAAGCAAGCAGGAGATGATGGTTACATTTATTGAGTCTTGGACTCTTTGAACCTCACAACCCTGCAGAGTTGGGAACTGGTAATTGTATCTCTATTGACAGATCAGGGAACTGAGGCAAGAGAGGTGAAGTGACTGCCCTGGAAAGTTGGGAATTAACCAGTGCCCAGCGGGTGGGGAAAAACCAGGGGAGGGAGCAGATCAACAAATACTGCACCTGGAAGTCCCCAGCAGATTCCCAGGCAAACACTGGCAGAGCTCACAACACACGCACGACCAGACACTCCCACCACCACCACACGCACACAAACCCACGCCCTTGTCCTGGCTGCCCACCCTCCCTGCCTGAGACCTGTCATCGCCATGGGGGAGGAGGAGAAGGAGAAGGAGGGGTGTCTGGTGAGTGTAGTCAGAGCTGTGCCCAGGTCAGAATCCAGGGCAGGGAGTGGCTGGGAGCCGGAGGAGACTAGGACAGAAGGGCAGCCAGGAGTCTGTAGAGTGGCTGGATGCGGTGGCTTGTGCCTGTAATCTCAGCACTTTGGGAAGCTGAGGCGGGCAGATCACTTGAGCCTAGGAGTTGGATACCAGCCTGGGCAACGTGGTGAGACCTCGTTAGCCAGGCGTGGTGGCACATGCCTGTAGTCCCAGCTACTTGGGAGGATGAGGCAGGAGGATTGTTTGAGCCTGGGAGGTGGAGGTTGCAGTGATCTGAGATGGCGCCGCCACTGCACTGCAGCCTGGGTGATGGAGCGAGACCCTGTCTCAAAAAACAATAATAATAGGCCGGGCTCGGTGGCTCACACCTGTAATCCCAGAACTCTGGGAGGCTGAGGTGGGCAGATCACTTGAGGTCAGGAGTTTGAGACCAGTCTGGCCAACATGGTGAAACTAAAAATACAATCTCTACTAAAAATACCAAAAATTAACCAGGCATGGTGGTACATGCCTGTAATCCCAGCTACTGAGGATAATCACTTGAACTGGGGAGGTGGAGGTTGCAGTGAGTCAAGATGGCACCACTGCACTCCAGCCTGGGCAACAGAGAGAGATTCTGTCTCAAAAAATAAAAAATAAAAAGAATTGAAAAAAAAATAATAAAGGAAAATAAAGAAAACTAGAGTCTGTAGAGATTGACATCCCCTCCTGCCTACCCCTACCCTGGCTGTGGTTTTCACATGATCTCCTTTCTGGGTGCCTCGCTCACATCTGTTCCACACACACCCATACACATGACAGCCACAGGGGTTGGACTAAAGCCTGAACTGTGTCACTCCCCCAGTTAAGCCCTCCATGACTCCCCAGTGCCCTCAGGAGAAAAATCCCATCTCTTTGGCCAGCATCCAAGGTCCTGGGTTTCTGGTCTCTGCCTCCAGGACCTGTTCTCTTGCATCTCAGGGCTTTTGTGGTTCCCAAACTCAGCGGTTCCCAAACTTTAGGGCAGGTTCTGTCAGATTCACCCAGGGAGCCTCTGAGAAATGTGCATTTATTTCCAAGGAGCCGGCTTCAGTAATTGTGATGGGCCCCAGAATCTATGAGAAACCCTTTTACTTCAATCCAAGGGATCCAGGGCCACAGCTGGGCCCTGCAAAGCCAAGTGCATTATTATTATTATTATTATTATTATTATTATTATTATTTGAGTTAGGATCTTTCCCTGTTGCCCAGGCTGGAGTGCAGTGATGCTGATCACAGCTCACTGCAGCCTCGGCCTCCCAAAGTGCTGGGATGACAGGGGTGAACCACACTGCACCCGGCCTCCAAGTGCATTCTAACAATAAGTCCCAAACGTCCCCCTCTCTCCAGCAGGGGGATGGTAAAGTCCCTAATATGGGGGTTCAGCCCCGACAGGCTATTTCCCAAATACGTCAAAGCCTGGGTGACCAACACAGTCCCTCTTCCCCAAAGCCACGTCTCATATATCACGAAGTACAGAAAGCACGAGCAGTGGTATGACCACGTTGGAAAAGGATTGCACAATTTCTTTTCTTTTTTTTCTTTTTTTTAGACAGAGTCTTGCTCTGTCGCCCAGGCTAGAGTGCAGTGGCGTGATCTTGGCTCACTGTAACTTCCCGACTCCCAGGTTCAAGCGATTCTCCTGCCTCAGCCTCCTGAGTAGCTGAGATTACAGGCATGCACCACCACACCCAGCTAATTTTTTTGTATTTTTAGTAGAGATGAGGTTTCACCATATTGGCCAGGCTGGTCTTGAACTCCTGATCTTGTGATCCACCCGCCCCGGCCTCCCAAAGTGTTGGGATTACAGGCATGAGCTCCTGCACCTGGCCGACAATTTCTTATAAAACAAAAAATATGCACAACCTACGACACAGTGACCCTGCTCTGAAGTAGTTAGCCAAGGGAAATGAAAACATTGTCCACACAGAGACCTGGTCACGGTACTTTTTCATAACAGCTGCAAACTGAGGGGAACCCGAGTGCCCAGCAACGAGTGGGTGCATAAACTAACTGGAATGGCCACAATGGAGCACACTTCAGCAAGGAGAGGAATCACCTTTTTTTTTTTTTTTTTTTTTTTTTTTGAGACAGGGTCTGGCTCTGTCTCCCAGGCTGAAGTCCAGGGGCACGATCTCGGCTTAATGCAACCTCCATCTCCTGGGCTCAAACGATCCTCCTGCTTCAGCCTCCCAAGTAGCTGGGACCACAAACACACACCACCAAGCCCAACTAATTTTTGTATTTTTTTGTAGAGACAGGGAGTCTCCTCATGTTGCCCAGGCTGGTCTCGAACTCCTGAGCTCAAGCAATCCTCCCGCCTCGGCCTCCCAAAGTGTTAGATTACAGGTGTGAGCCACCACGCCCAGCCCAGGAATGATCTATGGGTACATACAAAACACAGATGACTCTCAAACACATTGTGATGAATGAAAGAAGCCAGGCAATACAGTGATACATTTTTAAAATTTATTTATTTTACAAATTTTGTATTTTTTGTAGTGATGGGAGTCTCACTGTGTTGCCCAGGCTGGTCTCACATTCCCGGGCTCAAGAGATAGTCCTGCCTCGACTTACCAAAGTGCTGGGATTATAGGTGTGAGCCACTAGGCCTGGCCAGTGATAGATTTTAGAGCATAAAGAAAAAAGAAAGCCGGGCGCGGCGGATCACGCCTGTAATCCCAACGCTTTGGGACACCGAGACGGGCGAATCACCTGAGCTCAGGAGTTCAAGACCAGTCTGGCCAACATGATGAAGCCCTGTCTCTACTAATAATACAAAAATTAGCCAAGCGTTGATGCACGCCTGTAATCCCAGCCACTCGGGAGGCACGAGAGTCGCTTGAACTCGGGAGGCAGAGGTTGCAGTGAGCCAAAATTGCACCACTGCTCAGTGTCGCCTTGGCGACAGAGTGAAACTCCGACTCAAAGTAAATAAATAAACAAAAGAACAATAAAGAAAAAGGAAAGAAAGAAGCCAGACATAAAAGAGTACCGACTATGTGATTCCAGTTATCTAAAGTTCTGGAAAAAGCAAAACTAATCTAGAATCAGATACAGCAGGTCTGTAATTTCACGAGGCTGGTGGGGCTTAACTACAAAAAGGCACAAGAGTAAATGCTGTGGGCTGATGAGAAAGTTCCATTTTAATTGCAGTTGTCATTATATGGGTGTATACATTTGTCAAAATTCAGCAAACTGTAGATTTAAAATGGGCGTAGTTTATTGTATGTAAATTATACCTCAATAAGAAACAAAACAAAAACAGTATGCCAATTCTCTCTATGTTGCTAATAAGAAAGTATCTACGAGGCAGTTATTAAGTAGAAGAGCAAGATATGGAACAGTGGGCCTTGTGCTTCAAAATGGATGCCGAAGAAGAAAAAGAAGAAGAAAATATACATACATATATATATATATATATATATATGTATATAAAATGAAGATTTGTCAGATCTCTTCCAGAAAGTGACTCTGCGGGCGAGATCTGGTGGCGTCCGAGACAGGCAAGGTGGGGACAATGACTTTGTACTCTATGTCCTTTGAAACTTTTGGATTTGGTATCACTTATGCGTATTACTTCTTTTAAGTATTACACTTTTTTTTTTTTTTTCCTGAGATGGAGTCTCGCCCTGTCACCCAGACTGGAGTGCAGTGGCACGATCTTGGCTCACTGCAACCTCCACCTCCCGGGTTGGAGCGATTCTCCTGCCTCAGCCTCCCGAGTAGCTGGGATTACAGGCACCTGCCACCACACCCAGCTAATTTTTGTATTTTTACTAGAGATGGGGTTTCACCATGTTGGCCAGGTTGTTCTCAAACTCCTGACCTCAAGTGATCTGCTCACCTCAGCCTCCCAAAGTGCTGGGATTACAGGCATGAGCCACTGTGCCCAGCCTATTACACTTTTAAGTGTAATTTTTGAGACAGTCTCACTCTGTTGCCCAGACTGGAGTGCAGTGGTGCAATCTCGGCTCACTGCAACCTCTGCCTCTTAAGTTCAAGCCATTCTCCTGCCTCAGCCTCCCCAGTAACTGGGATTACAGGCATGTGACACCACGCCCAAATAATTTTTTTTTGTATTTTTACTAGAGACGAGGTTTCACCATGTTGCCCAGGCTGGTCTCCAACTCCTGATCTCAGGTGATCCACCCACTGTGGCCTCCCAAAGTGCTGGGATTACAGGTATGAGCCACTACATCCAGCCTAAGTGTAATTTTTTTTTTGAGACAGGGTTTCTCTCTGTCACCAGGCTGTAGTGCAGTGGCACCACCATAGCTCACTGTAACCTCAACCTCCTGGGCTCAAGTGATTCTCCCACCTCAGCCTCCCAAGTAGCTGGGACCACAGGCACACACCACCATGCCCAGTTAATTTTTAAATGTTTTGTAGAGATGGGGGTCTCCCCATGTTACCCAGGCTGATAAAAAATATAATTTTTATAAAGCAAACAAGGTCCGGAGCCTCTCATTGCTTTCTACCACCTGTTCTTTCAACAGATGTTTATGAGATGCCTTCAATGGCCAAGCCCTGTGCACTGGGGTGTAATGTGGTGAAAGAACAGACACCATTCCTGTCCCCACGGGGCTTGCAGCCTTGTGGGGGAAGGGATGTCAATTAACTAGTTACAATTCAACAAGTAACTAGTTAATTGACAAACAGCACTAAGTGCCTTGAAGGTGAAGAATGCGCTGTCAGGGCAGAGAAGAGCAGGTGGAAGCCTTGCCTAGTTGGGGTGGTCAGGGAGGGCTTCTCGGAGGAGGTGATATTTGAGCAGAAACCTGAAGAAGGGGAAGGAATTAGCTGCACAAAGGCCTAGGAGAGGAGCATTCTGGGAGAGGAAACAGTCAGTGCAAAGGCCTTGAGGTGCGACGGGGTTTGGTGGGTTGGGGAAGAGCACGGAGGCCAGTGTGGGGTGAAGAGAATGAAGGGGAGATGAGGTCAGACAGAATGGGGCAGCTCTTTGAGGGGGTTCTTGGGAAATCAAGTACTCCATGCATATATGTGAAGTACGAGGTATCCGCAGGGGTGATGCCAGGGGCAACTGGATGTACCGGCTGGAGTCTGAGAGAGGGGTCGGGGCTGAGATGAAAATCTGGGAAGCATCACCTTGTCGACAACCAGGGAACTAGATGAAATAATAAAAGCCGGCCAATGGCCGGGCATGGTGGCTCACACCTGTAATCCGGGCACTTTGGGAGGCTGAGGCAGGCGGATCACTTGAGGTCAGGAGTTCAAGACCAGCCTGGCCAACATGGCGAAACCCCGTTTCTACCAAAAATACAACAACTAGCGAGGCATGGTGGTGCATGCCTGTAATCCCAGCTACTCAGGAGGCTGAGGCAGGAGAATCGCTTGAGCCTGGGAGGCAGAGGTTGCAGTGAGCTGAGATAGTGCCACTGCACTCCAGCCTGGGTGACAGAGCAAGACTCCGTCTCAACAAAACAAAACAAAACAAAAAAACTGGCCTGGTGCAGTGCCTGTAATTATAGCACTTTGGGAGGCTGAGGTAGGAGGATGGCTTGAGCTCAGGAGTTTGAGACAAGCCTGGGCAACATAGCGAGACCCCTGTCTCTACCAAAAACAAACAAACAACAACAAAAAAAAACAGGCATGGTGGGAAGTGCCTCTGGTTCCACCTACTTCGGAGGCTGAGGTGGGAGGATCACTTGAGCCTGGGAAGTCGAGGCTGCAGTGAGCCAAGATCGTGCCGCTGCACTCCAGCCTGGGTGACAGAGACTGTCTCAACAAAACAAAACAAGTCACCTTGTCATACGGCACACACCCTTCTTGCTTTTTTCTGCCTAACAAGATGGTTTGGTGATTGTTCTCTACTGGTACAAAGAAAGAGAGCTGGGCCATCCCCAGGCCAGATAAATTCCCCTTCCCTGCTATTCTCTATCACACCCCATTCGTCCTTTCTTGCATTCAGCATGCTTTGTAAATACCTCTGTGCGTGTGGCTGTCACTGGATCACAGTCTCTCACCCTGCCCGAATGTCATCCTCACCAGGGCAGGGCCTTGGGCAGGTCTGTTTATTGTCTGTCCCCAGCCCAGGGCTGACCTGACGTTGCTCTGCTTGCTGGGCAGGGAGGGCAGGAAGGCCCGGCTGGGCGGCAGGAGGAAGAGGCTCTGACCCAGCCGAGGCACCGCTTCCAACTTGCCCAAGCCTAGCTCCCACTGCACCTGCTGCAAAACCTGTCACCCCCAGGAGTCAGCACGTCCTGGGGCCCAAGCCTGCTGGTAGAGGGGGAAGGGCAGGGGTCCTGGAGGGTGGGCACCTGGGGCTGGGGGAGCAGATCCTGGGCTCTCTATCAGGGCTGTGGAGGGTGGGAAAGTGCAGCCAGGTCGGGAGGGGGCAGGGGTAGTAGAAAGGTGGGCTGGGGTGGGTGCTGTCTGCCCCAGATACAAACCACAGAGGTTTGTGAGGTTGGAGGGGCAGTGAGCCCACTTCACCCTGCAGGGGGCGACAGAGAGGCAGGACTGAGGTTGGATAGAAGGAGGGAAGAGTGTGGACAGGGAGAGGCAGAGACAGCAACAAGATACACAAAGAGCCAGAAAACAGGAAGAGAGGGCCCCTGTAATCCCAACACTTTGGGAGGCCAAGACGGGAGGATCGCTTGAGCTCAAGAGTTCCAGAACAGCCTGGGCAACATGGTGAAACCCCATCTCTACAAAAAAGAAAAAAATTGGCCGGGCACGGTGGCTCACGCCTGTAATCCCAGGACTTCGGGAGGCCGAGGCGGGTGGATCACGAGGTCAGGAGATCGAGACCATCCTGGCTAACACGGTGAAACCCAGTCTCTCCTAAAAATACAAAAAAATTAGCTGGGCGTGGTGGCGGGCACCTGTAGCCCCAGCTACTTGGGAGGCTGAGGCAGGAGAATGGCGTGAACCCGGGAGGCAGAGCTTGCAGTGAGCCGAGATCACGCCACTGCACTCCAGCCTGGGCGACAGAGCGAGACTCCATCTCAAAAAAATAAATAAATAAAAAATAAAATAAAATAAAATAAAAAAATTAGCCAGGCGTGGTGGCACATACCTGTAATCCTAGCTACTTGAGAGGCTGAGGTGGGAGAATCACTTGAGCCCAGGAGGCGGAGGTTGCAGTGAGCTGAGATTGTGCCACTACACTCCAGGCTGGGCGACAGAGCGAGTGAGACCTTGTCTCAAAATAAAATAAAAAACAAAATAAAATAAAAAACACCAAACGACTCCAAGCCCCCTAAATGTCCAGTGACAGTGGCTGTTCCTATCATTCATGGTTCCTCTGTTCAATGGAATATTACACAGCCGCTAACAGGATCAAAATTGCTTTTTATGTACCAGCAGGGAACAACCACCAAGATACATTGTTAAGTAGGAAAAAGTAAGGGGCAGAGGGATGTGCCCGTTATGCCAACATTCAACATTTTTTTTATTTTTATTTTTTGAGACAGACTCTCTGTCGCCCAGGCTGGAGTGCAATGGCACAATCTCGGCTCACTGCAACTTCTGCCTCCCGGGTTCAAGTGATTCTCCGGCCTCAGCCTCCCAAGTAGCTGGGATTACAGGCGCAAGCCACCATGCCCGGCTAATTTTTGTACTTTTAGTAGAGACGGGGTTTTACCATGTTGGTCAGGCTGGTCTCGAACTCCTGACTCCAGGTGATCCACCCGCCTCAGCCTCCCAAAGTGCTGGGATTATAGGCATGAGCCACCGTGCCTGGCCCATTATGCTATCTGTATGAAGGAAAATACATGTCTGTATATGCATGTAAGTATTTCCTGGTACATGCAGACATATCTGGAAGGAAGCACAAGAAACTTGTATCAGTGGCTGCCTCTGGGGAGCAGAACTGAGAGGCTGGGCATGGGGAAGGAGGTAAGGTGGGAGGGAGGCTGATTTTCCCATTTATTCCCTTTGGGATCTTTTACATTTTGTACCATGGGCTTGGGCCACCTGTTCAAATAATGAAAAAGACTAAGCAGGAGAATGAAAGAGAGAGACAAAGGAAGGCAGAGACAAAGACGTAGGAGGAGGCTGGGCGCGGTGGCTCATGCCTGTAATTCCACCACTTTGGAGGCTGAGGCGCGCAGATAACTTGAGGTCAGGAGTTCGAAACCAGCCTGGCCAACATGGTGAAACCTCGTCTGTACTAAAAATACAAAAATTAGCCGGGCGTGGTGGCCTGTGCCTGTAATCCCAGCTACTCAGGTGGCTGAGGCAGGAGAATTGCTTGAACCCAGGAGGCAGAGGTTGCAGTGAGCCAAGGTCTCGACACTGCACTTCAGCCTGGGCGACAGAGCGAGACTCCATCTCAAAAAAAAAGAAAAGAAAAAAGATGCAGGGAGAGGAGGGAACAGAGAGTTCACCTTCGTATAATCCAGCAGTCCCCAAGCGTGGCTCTGAGCTGCCCCCGTGTCCCCCAAGGGCAGTCCAGGACCCTGCTTGCTGCCCCATCTCATCCCCCAGCCAACACCTCTCCACCCCAAGTCTCCATGGATCACCCTAGGACGACAGCCTCCCTTTTGGAGTCTGCGGCTTGGGGCCTGCCCTCCTTCCGTGACCAGCCACCTGGGAAGACACAGGCACTTCTCTGTTGGTAACTGTGGTCCCACAAGTGGGGTAGTGAAGGGAGCCCTGACCCACTTCTCAGTGCTGCATGGTGAGGATATGCAGGAACTCCCAGGCCCGATGCCAGGATTCGAATCCTGCCTCTATCACTTTCTGGCTCTGTGACCTCAGGTTGACATCTTTGTTCCTGTCTCTCATCTGTGAAACAGGCCAAGGAAGGTACAGTAGTTCCGCAGAAGGCGGCTACGAGGGTCATGTTTCCTGGGCTGCGATCACAAATTCCCAGCGTGGTGGCTTGAAACAGCAGCCATGTATTCTCTCAGTTCTGGTTTGTTGTTGTTGTTGTTGTTTTGAGGACGAGTCTCGCTCTGTTGCCCAGGCTGGAGTGCAGTGGTGCGATCTCGGCTCACTGCAATCTCTGCCTCCCAGGTTCAAGCAATTCTCCTGCCTCTGCCTCCTGAGTAGCTGGGATTACAGGTGCCCACCACCACACCCGGCTAATTTTTGTGTTTTTAGTAGAGACAGGTTTTCGCCATGTTGGCCAGGCTGGTTTCGAACTCCTGGCCTCAAGTGATTCACCTGCCTTGGCCTCCCAAAGTGTTGGGATTACAGGCGTGAGCCTCCATGCCTGGCTGTATTCTCTCAGTTCTGGAAGCCGAAGTCTGAAGTGCAGGTGTGGACAGGGCTCTCCTCCCTCTGAAGCCTTCAGGACAGATTGCTTCCTGGCCCCTTCTGGCTTCTCCTGGAAGGCCCCTGGCTTTTCCTGACTCATGGCTGCTTCTCTGTGTGCCCCAAATCTCCTCTGCATTTCTCTAAAGGACACTTTTCAGTAGATAAGAGCCCACCCGGATACACCAGGGTGACCTCATTTCCAGATCCTTAACTCAGGACACATCTGCAAAGACCCTTTTCCCAAATAAGGCCACACTCACAGATTTTCCGTGGACCTATCTTTTTTTGTGAGTGGGGGGGAATCTATTTTTTTTTTTGGTGGGGGGAACCTTTTCCTTGGGGGGTGGTAACCACTACAGGAGTTAAATGGCGCAAAACTAGGAGCTTAGCAAAGCCCCTGAACACAGCCAGACTTCGATCAATGTTTTTTGTTTTTGAGATGGAGTTTCGCTCGTTGCCCAGGCTGGTGTGCAATGGCACGATCTTGGCTCACTGCAACCTCCACCTCCCAGGTTCAAGCAGTTCTCCTGCCTCAGCCTCCCGAGTAGCTGGGATTACAAGCGCCCGCCACCATGCGTGGCTAATTTTTGTATTCTTAGTAGAGACGGGGTTTCACCATGTCGGCCAGGCTGGTCTGGAACTCCTAAACTCAGGTGATCCACCCACCTCTGCCTCCCAAAGTGCTGGGATTACAGGTGTGAGCCACCTTGCCCAGCCCATTCTCCCATTCTCAATCCTGGCTGTATGTTAGGATCACCTGGCTTATTTTTATATTAAATACCTGTGACCAGGCCCCAAGCCACACAAAAGGGAGTTCCCCTTTGCTTAGAGAACCAAGCCTCAGTGTGGCCTTCAAGGCCTTCATTTCTCCCAAGATCTGCAGTTCATTCATTCTTTCCCTCACCCCTCTCCCTCCCCAGTGGCAGCCATGCTAATATGCAAATGAGTCTCCTAACCTTGCAAAATGAGGACCATTGTTTTATGTCCATAATTTGCTATTTATACACCCAGCCTTGTATTATGAATCTTATTATTGTTTTTCTTACCTGCTGTCTGGACAGGAATTTTGGGGGTGCACCCCTTCTGTTTAGCCACCCACTCCCCTGGGGTGGACATGCCCCTGCCTCCAGCTCCACCCCACAAATAATGCTACAGTGAACGTCCTCATCGACTCTTCCTCAGGTCCAGAGAGTTTCTTTGGGAAGTCACCCGGGTGTGACTATTGGAATCATTGGGAGATACATATGTGCAACACTTGACTAAGCTGGATCTGTTTTTATCAGACTCATGGTGTAAAATACCGCCGCACGGTTTGAACGTGCATGTCTCTGATGACTAACGAGTTTGAGCAGCTGTGAACACCCTTACTGGGCTTTGAGTTCTTTCTTCTCTAAATTGCCTGTTCATATCCTTTGCCCATTGTCCTGTTATGGCTGGTCTCTTTTTCTTGTTAAGAAGATATCTTATCAGTGCTAGACTCTGCAAATATTTTTCCCCATTCTGATACCTATTACAAATGAAAATTATTTTTTTTTTGAGATGGAGTTTTGCTCTTGTTGCCCAGGCTGGAGTGCAGTGGCGTGATCTCAGCTCACTGCAACCTCCAACTCCCGGATTCAAGCAATCCGCCTGCCTCAGCCTCCCAAATAGGTGGGATTACAGGCACCCGCCACCATGCCTGGCTAATTTTTTTGTATTTTTACTAGAGATAGGGTTTCACCATGGTGGCCAGGCTGGTCCTGAACTCCTGACCTCAGGTGATCTGCCCACCTCGGCCTCACAAACTGCTGGGATTACAGGTGTAAGCCACCGTACCTGTTGTTTTTTGTCTTTTTTTTTTTTTGACAGAATCTCACTCTGTCACCCAGGCTGGAGTGCAGTGATGTGATCTCAGCTCACTGAAACCTCTGCCTCCTGGGTTCAAGTGATTCTCATGCCTCAGCCACCCGAGGAGCTGGGATTACAGGCGCCCACCACCACGCCCGGCTAATTTTTGTTATTTTTAGTAGAGACAGGGTCTCACTTTGTTGCCCAGGCTGGTCTCAAACTCCTGACCTCAAGTGATCTGCCTGCCTCGGCTCCCCAAAGTGCTTGGGATTACAGGCGTGAGCCACTGCACCCGGCCCCTAGCATGATTATTAAATCTCCTGATTGTATATGAAGCCCTTGTACACATCTGGGTCTGCCTCTGGGTTCTCTGTTCTGTCACTAAATCAGAAAGTCCAGGGTGAAGCCCAGCAAATCTAATGAAAGAGCAAGAGTGGAGAATCCTGACTGCATGGTAATAGAATTTGTGTTAGACACACACAAACACTACATTTTCCAACCTCCCTTGCCTCTGGGTGAGGCTGCGTGACTAAGCTCTGGCCAGTGAAGCAATGGCAAAACCTCTGGGTCGGTCCTTAAAGAGGAGTGCCTTCCTCTCCCCGTGCCCACTTGGGAGCATAAGGAATTCTCTAATACGACATGGGAGAGGCAGGTGTCCCAGGAGGAAGGAAAAAGACGGAAGGACCCTAGGGTGCTGATGACTTGGAGTCCCACAGAGGTGGGCCTTTTACACGGGAGGGCAGTCGTGGATCGCAGGGGTTCTCAAACGTGAGTGGGCACCGGCATCCCCCGGAGGGTGTGTTAAATACAGATCACTGGGCCCCACCAGCATCTGATGCAGCTGGGGTGGCACACAGGGATTTATTTGCGTGTCCAGTAAGCTCCCAGTGATGCTGCTGGTCTGGGAACCACACTGTGAGAACCGCTGGTCTGACCTGGTTGCATTGTTTATTTTGGGGCTCTGTAAACACACCTCCAGCCCCCAGGCGGACGAATCCATCCCTGTGCCCCTCCTGGGCCTCCGGGCCCCTCCTCACCTCCGGCACCTGTCGAGAGTCATTCATTCCCGTGGAGTGCCTCAGCTGGTCAACTAAATGTGGGCAGAGTGGATCCTCTGGCACCACCCTTGTCCTAAGCACTCCCCTGTTCCGCTCCAGGCGGACGCCTGAAACATGGATCTGTAGACCCCCCGGGCCGGTGGGGTCAGGAAGGGTCTGCCAGGAGGAGGCTCCTGGGTGGGAGTCCAGGGTGGGAAGCTGGAAGAAGCCATTCTGCTCTGGCCAGACAGAGGCGAGAGTGGGGTTTGGGGAATGCCATTGGCCCCTCTGTTCCTCTAGCCACACAGGTGGCAGCAGCCTCCTTCCTCTAATGATTGCTGGGCACTTGGCACTCTGTGGCTCCTCCAGCCTTCTCAGAGCTTTGTCATGATCCAACCACCGGTACCAAATCCCTGCCATTTGAAACAACTCTAGTTGGGGTCTGTTTTCCTGACTGGCTCTGGCAGGAGGCAGCCACGTGGGGAGGAACGGGGCCTCGGGCAGCTTTCACCCCACGCCACCCAAAGCCATGCCTTCAAACTGCAGTGAGCGGGCTGGGCACGGTGGCTCACGCCTGTAATCCCAGCACTTTGCGGGGCCAAGGAGGGAGGATCCCTTGAGGCCAGGAGTTCGAAACCAGCCTAGGCAACATAGCAACATCTTGTCTCTAAAAACAAAAAACAAAAAACAAAAAAACTCAAAACAAAACAAAACAAAACAAACCTGCAGTGAGTGACTGAAGGCACCAAAACCAGCAGAGTTACCGTGGGGTCACAGATGTGGCTGGGCGAGGGAGCTCCCCGTCTCTGAGCCCGTGGTTTCTTCAGCAGGAGAGTGGAGCTCCTAGAGCTAGCTGTTCTCAGTGCCCGTGGGGTCGCCGGGCACCCTGGCTGTGAGCCTTGCGTTTCTGAGATGCTCTGTTCTTTGCCGTCCTTATCTGGGTCTGGAACCATGGTCACAGAGGCCTCCTGAGCTGCTATCTTTCTGGAACAACTTGTTCACAAGGTAGAAGGAATTACCTGCTCCTTCAAAGTCTGGTAAACCTCATTTGAGGCCAGGCATGGTGGCTCATGCCTGTAATCCCAGCACTTTGGGAGGCTGAGGTGGGTGGATCACGAGGTCAGGAGTTCAAGACCAGTCTGGCCAAGATGGCGAAATCCAGTCTCTACTCAAAATACAAAAAATTAGCCTGGCGTGGTGGCAAGCGCCTGTAATCCCAGCTACTTGGGAGGCTGAGGCAGGAGAATCGCTTGAACCCAGGAGGCAGAAGTTGCAGTGAGCCAAGATCGTGCCACTGCACTCCAGCCTGGGCGACAGAGCGATACTCCGTCTCAAAAAAAAAAAAAAAATCTCATTTGAAAGTGCATTCAAGCCTGAAACCTTTTATTTATTCTGGAGTGTGTGTGCAGTGAGGAGACAGTTATTTTGGTCTTGTTTTCTATTTCTTCTTTTGCCAATGTTAGCATTTTTTTTTTTTCCAGAAAGGCATCCACCTCACCTAAGCCTCCAATACATCGCAGAGAGCACAGCTGCTTGCACCGCTGGGTTTCACTCTGTGATGATCCATCTAGGCTGTGTTTGCACTTGGCATAGGCCCTGCCACACACACAGTGCTCTGATTCTTGGGGTCAGGACCTGTGAAGGGTGGGAGGCGTGGACTAACCTGGAATCTCTGCCCTGGCCACTCACTTCCCGAGAGGACCAGGCTGAGGTCTCTGGTGCTGATGACGCCTGGCTGGCTTTGGGGACGGAGGCTCACTCCTGGCTCTCTCCCCACTCCACTGCCTCCCTGGGGGCTGGGGAGGATGCAGAAAGTGGAGCCCAACAGGGCCTGAGGCGCAAAGTGCCAGGATGCAGCTGCAGCAGCGATGGTGGCATGGCCACCTCCATGCCAGTCAGATTCCCCCCAGCGTGGGCTCGGCTCTGGGCTCCTGCGTGGAAGGACACACTTCACAGGGTGTCTCTCCGAAGCCAGCAGCTCCAGGCCAGTCAGCCTCAGTCAATCCCCAAAAGCCCATCTGCCCACTGACCAATTTGCCAAATGGCCTTCAATTTACTAACTTGGGTTAGCTCCTACTCACCAAACGCGCTCAAGACAGCCTTTAAAAGGTTCCAGGAAATTGCAGATTTGGCAAACTGGGATCAGTCTGCACATGGACTGTGGCAAACTGGCTGCTTCCAGGGGTGGGGACAATCCTGCCCCATTCTGGGGAGTGGCAGGCTGGGGGAGCTTACTGGCTGCTATGACCTGAACTCCCCACTCCCCACCCCACCCTTGCCCTGCCTTGGCTGGAATCGTGGTTTGCTCCCAGATCCAGACCCTCTCCCTGCAAATTCCCACCCAAGACAGCCGGGCAGGGCCCCCTGCCCCCCACACATCGCACACAGACACAAAACAAGACAATGTTTTAATTGTAAAACTAACTCGAGGCAGGGGTGGGCGGGCTGGGGCTGCGCTGACCGGGCAGGAACCTGGTTCTTCAGGCAGTGGTTCTGCCAGGGCCACCCCGCAGGACAGGGACCATCTGTCCCCCAATAAGGGCAGGGGCTAGAGTGTTATAAAATGACAATATAAATAGACTTCTAGAAAAGAGGAGGCTGTCCAGGTGCAGTAGTCATTTGCTGCAGGGGCTGGAGAGGGTGGGGGGCCCTGACCTGTCTCCCCATCCAGCCACAGAAAGGGGGCGCAGGGCTACGGGAAAAGGCCACTCTTCGGACATTCATGATCGACCCCCACAATGGCTCAGGGGGAGAGGGGGCTGGGTGTCAGGCAAGGCGCCAGACACCCCTTGCAGGCTGGAGGACGGGGTGGCTGGACCTTTGCACACACACACATGCACACTCACACGCGTGCACACACTCATACATGTTCACCTCTTAGTGTTCTCTCCACCCCCAGCGACCCCCACTGCAGACTTCCAGTGATGGGAGGGCCGCTGCCCTTCCTGGAGACAGAAGAACATGGGGGAGGGCCTGTCCCAGAGGGTGGGGGTCCTGGGAGCCTCGCTTGCTCCCACGAGTCCCTGTGTTTTTCTAAAAGTCACGAGATCAAAACTGGAGTTCAGTAGTAGGGTCTCATCTACCCCCAGCAAGGAGGGTGGTGCCACGCGGAGCATCTCCCGGGCTGGGAGGAGTGGGAGGCCTGGCCCCCTACTGGCCTCAGTGGGGCGGGGGTGACCCGGGGGGCTCTTTGGTTGAGGGGAAGGGCGCTGGGCCTCATCTGGTGCGGTTCTGGCGCATGAGGGGCACGATGCTGGCAGGCGGCCCTGCCTTGGCCAGGAATGGGTGCTTCAGCAGCTCGGCTGCCGTGGCCCGCTGGGCAGGGTCTCGCACCAGCAGGCGGTCCAGGAAGCCCTTCAGGGATGGCGACACCTGTCGAGAAGGAGGGGAGGGTCAGGGGGCGAGGCTCCCCACTGTTCATTTGCTGTAGGGCTGCAGTGTCCGCCTCTGCCAAGTCGGCTGGCGGCATGTACTGTGCAGGAGGGCAGGGGGCGGAGGTCATGGGTGTCTAGATCTTGGGGTGTAGACGGGACAGGGACAGTGATGGCACCTGTGATGGCGCTTACTATGTGGCCCCAGAGGAAGTGACAAACCCTGGGGGCTCATGTACTCCCTATTTCCATGGTTTAGCAAGAAGCTGAAAGCAACTGGGGCCCAGAGGTGCCCCTTTCCCTCCTGGCAAGTCCTCCACTAGGAAGGTCCCGGCCCTGTCCTCCACTTCTAAACGTGCAAATCTCTCTAGGGCTGGGTGGGGCCCAGGGCAATGGTGAGGGTGCAGAGGGCCTGTGGCTCTGCTGCCTCTGTCGCCCAGGCCCCACAGAGGGGGTCTGCACAGACACATGAGGCCCGGGGGTGGGGGGCCCAGCACACAGTAAGCGCCATCCCAGGCGCCATCATTGTCCCCATCCCATCCACACCCCATGCTCCACCTGGAGCCCTGCCACCCGCCAGCTGGCGCACAGTTTCCCAGCCAGGGAGGGGCCTACCTTGTGCAGGTTCTTCAGTCGGGGTGGCAGGTTGTCCCGAATCATCTTCATGGCTTTGAGGGGTGGCTCGTTGAAGTAGGGGGGCTCTCCGTCCACCATCTCAATCACCATTATCCCCAGCGACCAGATGTCTACCTGGGGCGGGAGAAGGGACAGCAGGGCTGAGCTGTTGGGGGATGGTGGGTCCTGGGGAGGCCTCAGGCAGGGACCGCTCCAGCGCTGTCTCTGCCTCTGGCTCCTGGAGTCCTTGGCCCAGAACTCCCTCTTGGGCACCCAGCCAGCAGTCCACAGAGCACTAGTCCTCCAGGGAGCCCCTCAAGAGAGCTGCCCCCCCAGCACCCACCCCTCTTCTTTCTGTCAACTGCCCCCAGGTGTCCTCCCTCCCTCAGCCCAGGTAGCATCCACTGGTGGGTTCAGGACCCATGCGGCCTCATCACCACAGTGGAGACACAGTGATTGGTTCAGAAACAGGCACAGGACCCAGGCTGAGCCAATCAGAGCCAACCTGGGGACTTTACCCAAAACACCCAGGGAAAAAGAGGAGCCCATAGGTGGGAGACACTTCCCAGAGCTGCCGGGACCAGCTCTGCTCCCACAAGGGGAAAGCCGGCCTGTGAAAACAATGCTCAGAAGGCAGAGCCAAGGCTGGGCGCGGTGGCTCACATCTGTAATCCCAGCACTTTAGGAGGCCAAGGCGGATAGATCACCTGAGGTCAGGAGTTCAAGACCAACCTGGCCAACATGGTGAAACCCCCATCTCTACTAATACAAAAATTAGCCAGGCATGGTGGCGGGTGCCTGTAAAACCAGCTTCTCGGGAGGCTGAGGCAGGAGAATCGCTTGAACCCGGGAGGTGGAGGTTGCAGTGAGCTGAGATTGCACCACTGCACTCCAGCCTGGGCAACAGAGCGAGACTCCATCTCAAAAAAAAAAAAGAAGAATGAATACATGCATGCCTGCAGTACCTCCTTGTCCAGAGCACCATTCCTGGCAATGACTCCCCAGACTGGGCCCCATCTCCCGCCAGCGCTGCAGCTGGAAAATGGCAGCGTACGCTGTCCACGGCGGGACAACCAAGCCACCCCGGGGCTCACCTCTGGCCCGTAGGGAAGGCGGGAGATGAGCTCTGGGGCCATCCAGTAGGGCGTGCCGACCAGCGACTTCCTTCGGGGCACTTCCTTGCTCACCTGGGCGCAGAACCCAAAGTCTGACAGCTTCACCTGGGACAGGGCAGAGGCAGTGGGGTCAGAGGAGCTGGCACAGCAGGAGGGCGAGCAGGGGCGTCTGCCTGCGTCATTCCTTGGCTTCAGACACAATGTGCGGCCCAGAGGTCAGAGCTGGGGTCTAGGGTCAGAGCTGGGGTCTAGAGCCAGACCAATGGGGAGCTCCACCACCTCCTGGTGGGGGCCCTCGGGCAAGTCACCTCCCCCACGATCCCCCCATTTCCCTCCCTGACAGCCTCTGGGGCTTTTGGGGACACTGGCCTGAGTACTGCAGATAGCAAAGGCAGGGCCGGAGCTGGGAACAGGGGTGGCCCCAAAAGCCTGTGCCCTGGGGCCCTGCTGCCCTGGAACAAGTCTTTAGTTCGGTTGGAGCAGAAAGTAGCCCTGCACTAGGGCCGTGAGGGGACACAGCCTGCCTTTGCGACAACCAGGCCTCTCACACCTTCTTAGGAACTGTGGGTCCCTTTCCGATTTTTGAGGATTTCTATGGGTCTTCCTGCCTCCAGCAAACATCCCCACAACCGTGTGTGGACAATCTCAGGTGGCCCATAGACATCGCCCCCAAAACACATCTATAGACATCTGGAGATTTTCAGACTGTCAGTGACACAGAGCTCTCTCTGCCTCTGCCTGGACTAATGGTGTGGCTTAATCTTCCTTGGGGGAGGGGATGGAGTCATCCACTTCTGCAAGCATTTCATTCAAGTCAAGGGCCCTCTCTCACAGAAAATCATGTCCACCCGACGTTATAATTGTCACAGCCTCAGATTTGGAACCTCAGTCCAAAGCATGGAAGACAGGACTGGGGTCCATGGACCGCCCTGGGTGCTGGGCAGGGAGCAGCTTTTCAGTGGAGGAAGAAGCCTGTGGCGGGGGCTGCGCTGTCTGCCCAGATCCCTGCCCCTGGGCCCAGTGTCCTGTGCTGATGGCAGAGCCCCCGCCAGCCTGTGCCCTCCCACTGCACAGAGTCCCCACTGAGCTGGAACCTGACTCTGGGCTGCTCCACCAGGGAGGGACGAAGTTCCCAGCTCCTCAAGACACAGACCTGGGGGTCAGAGCTCACCTACCCTCACAGGGGATGGGAAGAGGCAGGGAAGCCCCGCAGCCGGAAACCTGCCGCCCCCGTACCCCGCCGCCCGTCCCCTCACCCTGCCATCATGGGTCAGCAGGATCGAGTCGCTCTTGATGTCCCGGTGGATGACGCCCTGGGCGTGGAGCACCGACAGGGCCTGCAGCACTGCAAGGCACACGGCCGCGATCTGCTCCTCGTTCATCCTGCGGGGTGGGGTGGGGGGTGAGCAGCCAGCTGGACAGCACCCCGGGGTGCCGAGGGGGACGCAGCCCTGCCTTGCAGTGGGAGGAATCTGAGACCACTCGACCCCACTCTGGAGTGGGAGGAATGGAAGACACGACCCCATCCCAGGGGCCCGGAGCACAGCTGGTTTGGAGATGTGGCCCCACCCCTAGTGGTCTGGAGGGGACTTGGTCGTGTCACAGGAGGGGTCTGAGGCCCCAGAAATACCTGGTGTGGGTGACGATGTCGGTGAGGGCGCCTCCTTCCAGGAACTCCATGACCACCCAGAGCTCGTCCCCCACCAGGTAGCTGTTGTACATCTCCACCACATTCTCGTGCTGGTAGTCCCTCATGATTACCACCTGTGCAGGGGCTGGGTCAGTGGTGGAGGGAGGCGGGAGGGCTGCCAGTGCCAGACCCAGCCACCGCCACCCCCCTGGCTCCCCCTGCAGTTCCACATTAAGCTTGTGCTCACTGGGGCCACCTGGACTGCCCTCCCCTACTGCCACAGCCACGTGGGCCTCAGAGCCAGCTTGAAGCCCACGCCTCCCTTCTGGGGGCGCGCCCCCCTGGGCACACGCCCATCTCAGGTCAGTCCTGGGCTAGTGCTGGGGGGCAGGTGGGAAGAGAGCGTTCAATCACAGGGCTGAGACCCGGACAAGGGCAAGGATGAGAGAAGAGGCGTGTGTCGGCGGGAGGATGAGGAACCCAGGCGAGGAGCTCCATGGTGCAGCCCGGCACTGTGATGGGCAACGGGGTCGAGAGGGGCCTCACACACCCGGCAAAGGGACCTGGGCTTCCTATCGTCAGGGTGCTACGGGGCACTGCCAGGGTCTCTAAGGAGGGACGGGGAGGGGGTGGGCCTGAACGTCAGAAACATACTCTTGGTGGTTGTGTGGGCTGTGCCGAGGGACACCCAGGAGTGGAGGCCAGGGCGGGGCACAGGGAACCCAGGAGGGGCAGGTCTGGAGGACACTGTACCCTGGAGCCCAGGCGGGCCTCAGTGGGTGCGAGGGGCCTGGAAGACACTGGGTCGGGGGTCAGTGGCCCGAGGAACCCTGGGTCTGGGGCTCAGGGACAGAGATGTGGGTGAGGGTGCTGTGAGGACAGAGGCAGGGACCCAGCTGGGGCGGACGAGACGGCCTGGGGAGGGAGAAGAGTGAGGGGAGGAGGGGAGCCTGGCCCAGCACGGAGGAGTGCAGGGAGAGGAGGGAGGAGGGGAGGGAGGGTGGGAGGGAGGGGTGGGAGGACCAGCAGGGCGGCAGGGCAGCAGCGCCCGCACCTCGTTGAAGAGCAGCTCGCGCCTCTGCTGCTTGCGCAGGTCCATCTTCTTGACGGCCACCAGCTTGCCCGAGCTGCGCACGGTGGCGATGCACACGATGCCCGTGGAGCCCTCGCCAATCTTGATGAAGTTGTCCAGGTAGGAGCGGGGGTCGCCTGGGTCCACCACCAGCTGCAGGGCAGCCCGGAACTGCTCATGGGATACTCGCTGTGGCTCCCGCTGTGGTGAGCGGGGGCCAGGGGGCCCAGGAACAGCAGGGGCGGCGGGGGTGCAGGCTGGAGGGGCCAGCTGGGGCTCTGAGGCGTGGGGTCCCAGCACTCCAGGGCTGGGGGCACCTCGGGCTCGGGTGGGAGGCCGGGAGGAGGAGGAGGAGGACTGGGGGATGGCCAGGCCCCCCGCTGATGGCCCGTTAGGGGCCACGTCATGAGGCTCCCCCTGAAACAGAAGAGAGGTAGCTGTCAGTGATGGGTGCCAGGGAGCAGCTCTGCTCCCTAAGCAGGAGAGAGACCCAGCGATGGGACAGACACATGGGTGGTCAGGATGAGATGCACGGTGGTGGGGCGGGGCTGGAAGGTGGGGACAGAGGAGCAACGGGCAGGGGACAGTGGGGGCCCTGGGGCGGGGGATGGGTTACCTGGGCACCCCGGGATGGGTGGTCCGTGTCAGCCCTCGGGTAGGTGTTAAAGGGCCGGCCAGCTGCCAGTTTCGCCCCACTGGCCAGACCAGCAGGCTGGGGGGTGCCGACATCAGGCCCGGAGAGGGGGCGTTTGTCCCGGGAGGACTCCTGGGGACCCCCTGAGCCCTCCCTGGAAGACTTGGGCCTCTTCTCTGGCCCCGCCCGTCGCCTGTCACCACTGCCGCCACCCGCCTCGCTGTGACCGGCGAACCGGCCTCGGCTGCCTGCCTTCCCTGGGCCCCCTCTGGCCGTGGTGGCCGGCTCCTCTGGCATCCCATTTTCCTGGCGGGCACGGGCGGGCGGCGGCGGGCTGTCTCTCCGCAGGGAGTTGGAGCGTGTCACCGACATGTTCTCAAACTCGTCCAGCAGCAGCGTGAGGGCCCCATCTTTGGCACCTTTGCTGCCCCGCACGATGGTCTGGGGTCCCAGGCAATGGTGGGTGGGGGCCCAGCAAGGAGTGGGGCACACAGGACGTGCATCCGACACGCAGGGACAGGACAGCACGACACACACAGAGACAAGACAGAGACGCAATGAAGAGATGCCATGGAGTGACAATGGCATGGGCAGTGCAGCCCCTCCCCTCCCTGGGGACACAGCTGCAGGGGCCAGAGGAGTGATCGCCATGGCCAGGCTGCTGCCCCCTGGGCTCGGTGGGACCCTGGAGAGGCCCCCCTTGTTTTTCTCCTGTTCCTCACACTGGTGGAATAGTCCTGCCCTGAGGGGTTTGGGGGAGGAAGGGCAGAAATTGACCCACCCCATAATCAGCCCCGAGGGCTGCAAATGACAGGGCGCTGGGGCCAGGGCCTGGCCTGGCACTTCCTCCCATGTGGGCGCCAGTGTTCCTTAGCCCCAAAACCACACTCTCTGCTCCCATGAACAACAAGGAGTGGGGGACAGGGAGAGTCAGAAAGGCCTGGTCCCAAAGTAGAGGGCAAGGGGGTCCCAGGAGCCGGGTGGCAAATGCAAATGCAGATGGGGACCAGGCAGAGCATCCAGTGCATCCCGAGTCACCCGGTCCCCACCCTCTGTGGTCTGAGTCGTGTCCTGCAGGCCCCCTCTGCCCCCGTTCCATTTCCAGACACACGGGTGTCTCCCCCACCCCCGCCCCCCTGCGCCCAGGGCCTCTCCGCTGGCGGCTCCCTCTGCCTGGAACATCAGCTCTCAGGGTCCCTGTGGCTCCCTCCCTCCACTCCTTCAGGTCTTTGCTCAAAACTCAGCTTCTCAGTGAGGCTTCTGCTGGCCTCCCATCATCTAAAATGCCAGCCCCTGCCCTCCCCGGCCCCTGCCCTGCCTGCATTCTACCTAGAGCACCTAACAGCAGCTGATACAGAGCACACAGGCATCTGTCTGCTCCCGGCTCTGCCTAGTGCATGCTCTGGGCAGGGATTGTTTTTTCCTGTCTGCTTCGGGTCCTGCTCCATCTCAGCACCTAGACCAGCATCTGGCGCACAGCAGGGGCTCAGTGAACTTTTGCTAAACCACGTAGTGAGTGAGGTGTCTGTGCAAAGGCCACAGTGAGCTGAGAACGTGGGCCCTGCTGACAAGGACCCTGCCCGGGGCTGCCAGATGTCCTCCAGCCGGAGGCCTGCCTCTAATGTGTGGAAAACACTGATCCCACGAAACCCGGACCCTGCCTGGGGCTGCCAGGCATCCTCCAGCCAGAGGCCTGCCTGTAACGTGTAGAAAACACTGATCCCACAAAATCCGTGGTCTGCCGCTGCCCTGTCTCTCCTGGCCGTGGCTGTCTGCCTGAAGCCGGGCCTTGCCCAGGGGCCCCAGGAAGTCAAGGTGGACACAAGGCCAGACTTTGCTGTTAGAACAGGGCGTTGAGGCAAGAAGCAGTGGCTCACGCCTATAATCCCAGCACCTCGGGAGGCTGAGGATCACCTGAGGTCAGGAGTTTGAGACCAGCCTGGCCAAAATGGCGAAAACCCGTCTCTACTAAAAATACAAAAATTAGATGGGCATAGTGGTGGGCGCCTGTAATCCCAGCTACGCGGGAGGCTGAGGCAGGAAAATCGCTTGAACCCAGGAGGCGAAGGTTGCATGAGCCGAGGTGGCGCCACTGCACTCCAGCCAGGGAGACAGAGCAGGAATGTCTCTCAAAAAAAAAAAAAAAAAAACCAACAGGGAGTCGAGAAGGTCCTGGGAGGCCTGAGGCCCGGTCAAGGGCAGCAAACACAAGTGCCTATGGGGCCCCAGGACAGTGCTGGCCACAAGGCCCCATGTGTGAATTCAAGTGCCCTGCCTCCTGCTGGGACAGTCACAGGCAGGCCTCACATCTGGCAAGCCAGGCAGGGGCTGGGTTTTTGGAGACACCTTGGTGGGGGCAAAGCCTACATGCAAGTGGCCACAGAGCCAGGCAGGGCGTGGAGCTGAGGTGGGTCGGGTGCGGCCTGTGGCCCAGAAGAGCCAGTGCCCTGCCCGTGGAGGCAGCTGCCACTCGCCTCCAGCTGGTCTGTCACCAGATGCCAGAAACGGCTTTGGAAGTGAAGTCTGTCACTTTCTCAGTGGAGGCAAAGAAGTCAAAGCATTCAAAAGCACCCTGCAAGGACCACACGGACCCCTCAGTGGGCTACCACATTGAGGCTGCACTTGTGTCTATGGCCAACTTGTGGGCCTTGGGGCTTCTCCCCGCCAGGCTGGGCTGGGCACCGGGAGGGTGAGTCCCCAGGCACACCCATCTCCACCCGCTGGATGCAAACCTGGCCGAGTTCCCCTTGGCCTGCGGCCCCTCCTGGTCCCCACTGACCATGGGAGAGAGTCCAGGCTCCAAGGCTGGCTTCAGAGGCCCAGCACGGGCTCAGGCCAGGCCAGCCTCATGCCAGGCCACACCCAGACACCGGCTCCACAACTCTTATGATTTCACATGGAGGCAGCAGAGGGGTTAAGAGCACGGGCCTTGGAAACAGACATTGGTTCAAATCCCAACCTTGCCATTTTGCTCTAGATGGCAGGAAGAAAAAAAAAAACCCAAAACCAAAAAGCCCCCAGCGTTTCACAGGAGTGATTTTCTCCACTAAAGCCCGGCTTCCCCAGCATCTGCTGGAATTTCTCCTCCTCCTCCTCAGCCCTGGGCTCTGCCTCGGTGTCCCCTCCTCCCAGAAGCTTGCCTGGACCCCTGGTCTGTGTCAGGTGCCTCCTCCGGGCTCCCCCACCCAAGCCCTGACCACTTGGGGCTGTCACCCTCTGGGAATGGGTCTGTCTTCCACTGCCAGGAGCTCTGGAAAGGCTCAAGGTTGGGTGAGACAGGAGTGTGGTCCGGGGTACAGCAGCATGGCCCCCGGGACATGAGTCTGCGGGAGACAGCAGAGCTTGGAGGCTGGTGTGGGGGCTGTCAGATGGGCCGTGGGGGAGGCTCAGGTTGGGGTGGCATGGGTTCTTAGGACTTGGAGCCAGTGGGTGGAGGGTGAAAGGCCAGCACTGGACCCAGGATAGGGGTGGAAGGCTGGGGTTTGTCTCCATTTCCATGTCAGTGAGGAGGTGTCGGTCACAGGGTCGAGTGTGGGGTTGAGGGCCAGGGCCACTCGGGGGTTGGGGTGGGCTGGGGGAGGTGGTGGTGGGTGCCACATACCTTGGGGGCCCCGGGCTGGATGGAGGTGATGCAGGCGGGGTCGACGAGGGGCTTGGGCCGGCGAGCCGACTCCTCGATCAGGCTCTGCCACTGGCGGGGCAGCCCCGTGAACTTCTGCTCGTGCTGGTCGAAGCCCGTGTGCACGCGGTGCTCGAAGTTGGACGGCGCGGAGATCTCCACCCGCTTCTTCCTCTTCCCAAACATGGTGCCGGGGACTCGGTGCGGCCTGCGGGAGGGAATCACGGTGGGTGAGTGAGAGCCTGCCCATGTCTCTTCCTCCTCTGCCCCTGCTCTGTCCCTCCCATCCTCATCTTACACCGGGACCAACAGGAGGCAGTAGCCTCCTTCTGGGTCTCCCTGCCCACCCCCTGCGCCCATCTGTGTGGCACACACAGCCAGAGGGTACCCGTGAGCACCCGAGCGGTCACGTCCCTCTGCTCAGAACTTTCCTGCCGCTCTGTCTCCTGCGGGCCCACAAGGCCCCATCACCTCTCTGTTCTCACCCCCCCTGGAGACCTCAGAGCCTTTGCACGGGCTGGCCCCTCTGCCAGGAGCTCACTTCCCAGTGTCTGCACAGGGCTCCCCGTCCCCTCCTTCAGTTCTCAGAGCAGCAGTGACTCCTTTCCTGACCACCCCAAGGCAAAGAGCCCCGTGTCCCGCCGTCCCCCCGCTCTACATCACAGTCACAGCCCGGAACTCATGGAAATCCTGTTTGTTGTTCCTTCTTAGGTTCATGAGTGCAGCATCCACACCGCACCGCTAGAGTGTCAGTGCCACATTCTGGCTGGGTCTCGTCTGCCCCGCTTCCCCACATCCCCTGCTATGCCTGGTACATGGTGTGTACTGGATGGACGGTCACTGATGGCCTGGCCACTGCCACTGGTCCAGCCATGAGTCTGGGCTGGGGACGCCCACACCTTTGGATATTGACTCAGCACAGGGTTACTGATCCCCTGGGTTAAGAGGGCACCCCAGGCAGCCTTGTCGCGACACTCCCCTATCTTTAGGATCTGTGGTCTTCAATCGGGCCCTTGACACAGTACCAAGCACAGAGCAAATGGTCGACCAAAGCCACTTTAAAAAACAAAGGGGCTGAGGAAGAGACATTCTGATGGCGGCATCCCATAGAGAGCCTGGAGAAAGATGGGAGGGGGAGCCAAGAGGCCAGAGTTCGACTCTCCATCACATGCTGCCGTGACCTTGGGCAGGTGACAACCTCTCTGTGCTGTGGATGAACCCCCACAGGGCTGCTGCGAGGGGTAATGGGTGACTGGGAGCAAAGAGCTTGGTGCAGGGCTGGGCAAATATGGGGGGCCTATCGGTGGGGACCACTGTGATGGCTGGGGCGGCTCCCACAGTGCCTGTGGGAGGAGGGGCCCAGGTCCTGCTCCCCCCTAAGGCCCCACCCCAGCTGCCCCGGGCCTGGGCCCTGGAGTCGCACACACCTGCACACACCTGGTCTGATGCTGGTGGGACAGAAGTGCCCTCAGGCAGGTGACCACTCCTCTAGGGGCTTCGGGTTACTCATCTGTAAAATGAGAGGAATGCATCCATTCACTCACTCATTCATTCATTCATTTGGGAATAACTCAGCAATGGGCCTCCTCTGTGGCCACTGCAGTGACCCAGACAGCCTTTGACCTCATGGGAAATTCGTGTGGGGCAGACAGACCTGTCCCCATGCAGCAGCTGCCCAGGGTGGTCAGGGCTGGGGGACGGGAGCACGGGACCCAGTCTGGAGGGACGCGGGGTGGGCAGCAGGAAGGCTTCCAGGAAGAGGGGAAGAGTTGAGACCAGGGGACGAGGGGACATGCAGGTGGAGTTTCTGTTCTGTCTTGTCCCAGCTGGCTCCCCCGCGCCTGGCACAGCGCGTGGCACAGCAAGTCCTGTAGCCCTAGTGAGAGGACAGAGGACGCGCAGATGCACGTAGCCCCTCCACACCTACTTCTCCTCCCGGCTCAGGCTGCCTTCCTGGGAGCAGCTGGGAAAGGTGAGGCCCTGCCCAGAGCTAGGACCATCCATGGGAGCCAGCCAGGGGAACCGGTTTGGCAGCGGGAGCCCCGTGGGAGGGGGGTGGGGGCCCGGCAGCCAACCTGTCTCAGCTGGTCCCAAGAGGCCAGCGGGTGGTCAGAGCCGGGCCTGGCCAAGGCTCCCAGGGTTGGCCCAGTTTCCCTGCTTGCCCTGGGGCCCAGGATGGAGGGCGGACGGGGGGCCTCCTTTGTCTCTGCCCAGCCCCTTCTCTGAGCCCAATGCTGGCGCCCTGAGTGCTGCCCACCCCTCCCTCGTGGCCTTCCAGCCCAGCCCACCCCTGGTGGCCCTGACCTACTCTCTCATGGCTTTCTAGGCCCAGCTCCCAGGGTCATCCACATACCCCAACAGTCCCCATTTGCCCACTCTGCCTGCTGTCATTCCAGATCTGCGTCCCATGTCCTCCGGCCTCTCCGTCCTCCCAGATGTCCCTCCACCCCCTTTGGCCCCATGCCCAGCCCAGGCCTCTTCATCGTGAACCTGTCGCCCCGCCCCATCCCGCTCCCTCCCCACTGCGGGGCACTAGGCAGTTCCCAGAGCCACGGGAAGAGGATCAGCCATGTGACCCCTCACTAAGCCCGGAGGGCGGACAGCGGGGCAGACCCTGAGGTGGGGGACACCTGGGGACGGGGCAAGAGCAGCCTGGAGGGCGGGCGGCTGGCCCAGCTGGCAGCATGGGGTCTGGGGGATGTCCTCCGACGCCTGGCCTCCTGCCCTCCCACCCATAAACCCCCAAGGGAAGGGGGCAAGGGGCACGCCTCCGGATATTTGCCTGGGGCCACCCCTTCCCTCTGGGCACTGCACAGAGGGCAGGACAAACAGAGGAACTGAACATGTTTATAATGACCAGGCAGGGACCCCACCCTGGGCCGTCCTGTGCAGCTCCAAGCCCTGCCGGCTTCCCCAGCAGGCGCTCCCTTCCCAACAGATGCTCCTGACCTCATGGGGGCCACAGAGGCCGTGCCAGGCCTGGGAAGAGGGAGAAGAGCTAGGCAGAAAGGCTGGGCTTGCCCAGGTGCAGGGAGGGAAGGGTGGGGGCTGGGCTCCCAGGCCAGCTCCAAGCTTGGCAGTCAGGCTGCCTAGGGCTCCAAACCCCAGCAGGGCTGCCACGACTGGCCCTATATGACCTCACTTTCTGTGTCTGTGAACTGGAGCTCTAACCCAACCTGGGGACCTCAATATGTGGCCCTGGGTGAGCAACTCAGCCACGCTGTGCCTCAGTTTCCTCCTCTGTTCAAAGACGGCGATAATAGTAGCTGCTTCGTGGAGTATTTATTTATTTATTTTAAACGGAGTCTTGCTCTGTCGCCCAGGCTGGAGTGCAGTGGTGCGATCTTGGCTCACTGCAACCTCCGCCTCCCGGCTTCAAGCAATTCTCCTGCCTCAGCCTCCCAAGTAGCTGGGATTACAGGCGCCTGCCACCACGCCCAGCTAATTTTTGTATTTTTAGTAGAGATGGGGTTTCACCATGTTGGCCAGGCTGGTCTGACCTCTAGTGATCTGCCTTGGCTTCCCAAAGTGTTAGGATTACAGGCGTGAGCCCTGCGCCTGGCCTTCCTGGAGTTTTTATAAGGAATTACGCAGAACAGAGGGCACGGAGGGCCTGGCCCAGAGACAGTGGTTGGGATCAGAACCAAGGCAAATCACACACACAGTAAGTGCTCAGTAAGTGCCGGTCACCATTCCAATAGCAGCCAGCACTTACTGAGTACCTACTGTATACCAGCCCTCTTCCAGGCACTTTACCCGGAGTCCCACATATGATCCTGGAGGGAGGGGCCATTAATAAGCCCCGGATTACAGACAGGGAAAACAAGGCACAGAGGGGGACCTCATTAACCCAGGTGGCCCAGCTAGGGTGGCAGAGTGGACACCAGACTCCAGGCCTGTCTGCAGAGATTCGCGGGTTCCGGCCCTGCTGTGCGTCTAATCCCGTTCCATCCTCACAAGCATCCTCATCCCAATTCATGAATGGGAAAACTGAGGCCCAGAGAAGGGAAGGCCCTTGTCCAGGGCATGGACAGGAGAAGCAGCCAGTGAGAGGCAGACATGAGAAGCAGCCAGGATTTGAACCTGGGCGGTTGTGTATGGAAGGCACTGAAGGCTGGGCTCTTACCTGCCTGTCCTGCTGCCCTGGAGGGCTGAGGTGACACTGTTGGTTTTGTCTATTATTATTTTATTTATTTATTTATTTATTTATTTATTTATTTATTTTGAGAGGGAGTCTTGCTCTGTCGCCCAGGCTGGAGTGCAGTGGTGCAATCTCAGCTCACTGCAACCTCCGCCTCCCGGGTTTGCGCCATTCTCCTGCCTCAGCCTCCCCAGTAGCTGGGACTATAGGTGCCCACCACCATGCCCGGCTAATTTTTTTTTTTTTTTTTTTGTATTTTTAGTAGAGATGGGGTTTCACTGTGTTAGGCAGGATGGTCTCGATCTCCTGACCTCATGATCCACCTGCCTCGGCCTTCCAAAATGCTGGGATTACAGGCGTGAGCCACCGCGCCCGGCCTTATTATTATTATTATTATTATTATCATCATCATCATCATCCTCTCAAGGCTGGTCCTGGCCTCCCCTCTCCCTCCGTTCCCATTCTTTCTGTCTACACCCAGACCTTGCCTTTCCTCTCCTGCCTAGTCTCTGCTGAGTGAGGGTCCCTCCCTCCTGTGTGACCTGTCCTGGACCCCACGGGTAGTGGGAGGAAGCACAAAGTGGGCCCCGGGGCCCCCACCTCCCCAATGGCTGTACACCAGCCTTTCCCATGGGCCTGTGCAGCAGGAAAGATGCTTAAAACCAACCCCTCCCACCAAATGTGGCCTGAGGCTCAGCTCGGTACTCCCACCACCATCGCCACCACCACAAGGGACCCATGGCCCAGAGCAGACGCTGACGCTGAGCTCGCAGGCGCCCTCAACCACGGTGGAGTGGCCATTCTGAGCCCCATTTTGCAGCTGTGGAAACAGAGACTCACAAAGGTAAAATCTCTCACTAAGCTCACCGAGCAGAGCTGGGCCTGGAAGCCAGAGTCCTGCCCATTCCAGAGTCCTGCCCACTCCAGAGTTCACAGCCTTAAACCCTTTGCTGGCCCCCAAAATGCCTCCTCGTGGCCTGAGAGTCCCCACAGGATGCGCCCATCACCATGCTGCCCTCCTCTTCTCCCAAGCACCCCTGTACTCACTGTGCCCTGGCCACACAGGTCCCCCTGCTGTTCCTCAAATCCTAGACATGGTTCCACCTCAGGGCCTTTGCATGGGCGAGTGCCCCACCTGGAACTCTCCTCTCACTGATCTCCCACCTTCCCTGACTTCCCAGGCCCGCCTGTGCTCACAAGCCCTGCTCCTGTCCTGTCGCCCTCTACACCTGTCTCTGCTTTATCTTTCCTCAGGGCTCTTACCACATATATGGCGTGCTTGTGTGTGTGTGTATAATTCTTTTTTTTTTTTTTTTTTTTTGAGACAGAGTTTCACTCTTGTTGCCCAGGCTGGAGTGCAATGGCATGATCTTGGCTCACTGCAACCTCCGCCTAGTGGGTTCATGTGCTTCTCCTGCCTCAGCCTCCCAAGAAGCTGGGATTACAGGCGTCCGCCACCATACCCGGCTAATTTATGTATTCTTAGTAGAGATGGGGTTTTACCATGTTGGCCAGGCTGGTCTTGAACTCCTCACCTCAGGTGATCCACCTGCCTCAGCCTCCCAAAGTGTTGGGATTACAGGCGTGAGCCACCGGGCCCAGCCATATGTGTAATTCTTTAGCATCTGCCTCTCCCTTAGAATGTGTCAGCTTCACAGGGCAGGGACTGTCCTCTGTCTTACCCCCTCGTAGCCCAGGGCAGCACACAGTAGGGACTCCGTGGAATGATCGTCCCTGTCCGCTGCATTATTCCCCTGCTCAGAGGCCTTGGACAAGGCCCAGCAGCACCCGGGAAATCTTTCAGATAAGCAGCTGGGACCTGGGGGCAGTAGTCCCAGAGCAGCAGGAAGGTGCAGCCTTCTGCCCCAGCCGGGGCACAGATGCCTCTGAAGTCCAGTATTTGATCCCAGAAATGCAAGCGCATTTTGTATCCTACTCTAAAATGTTTATTTCAAATTTTAAAAAATCTTTTGAATTCTTTAACATGCGGGACAGGCAGCGTTGACCTGGCCTAGCAGACACTTCAGATTTTCCAGTCACCCCCTGCATCCTCTGACCTTTTCTGGGAGGAAAAGGGTCCCACCACCCCCATTCTCCCCCACAAGGTTAACTGGCCCAAATGGAAAAGCAAGATCCACCGTGCGACAAAGCTGTCAGTGTCAGCAGACGTGAGCGTGCAAAAACCCTTACCTCCTGCCCCGCCCCCTCCAGGCTCTGATCAAAGCTGCTGCCCCTGGAAGGGAGGGGGCTGGCCCACCCAGAACACAGGGGCCCAGGGGCAGAGCAGGGGAGGTGGCCAGGACCACAGGCATCCTTTCATCGTTACCAAAATGAAACTCGAATCAGGAAGGGGACCCAGACCGCTCACTGCCTCCAGCCTGCACTCAGCCTTCCACCATTGGGTCCCACTCACCACCCTGCCACAATCTTCACCTACCAGCTCTGGGAGGGCCCCTCCCTGCCTCAGTTTACCTCCTACCTTCTGGCATGTGCTTTGATGGTGGAGGCGCTGGGAGTTTGGCTTCCCGTCCCGGCACAGCAGGCTCCTCGCTGTCCTGAGTCCCCCAAGCCATTCCTGCCTCCAAACCTTGGCTTAGCTCTTGCCCCCATCCTGCACGGCCCCCAACCCTCCTCTAACCACATCTCTCTTCAGGCCTCCCACACTGAGCCTCGTTCCTCCAAGGAGTCCTCAGGTTTGGGACCGACACATCCCCAGAGTCTGCCTTAGCAAACACCTACTCCACCCACAAGTGACCCGATCACACCCACCCACGCATCGACCCACGCACCCGTCCATGTCTACCAAGGGCTGACTCTGCTGGGCCTGGGGCCCATAGCAGTGCACCCAACAGTCAGAAACATCCCTGTCCTCGCAGCACTCACATTCTAGAAGGAAGGAGGCAGTCAATGTATGAGATAAATCAGAAAAACATCTACTAAGTCGGGTGAGAAATGCTGACATAGAAAATAACGCAGCAATCAGAAAGGAGCTGAGGGGAGGGGAGGCTGGAATTCTCAATAAAGTGGTCAAGGCCGGGCACGGTGGTTCACGCCTGTAATCCCAGCACTTTGGGAGGCCAAGGAGGGAGGATCGCTTGAGCCCAGGAGTTCAAGATCAGCTTGGGCAACCTAGTGAGACCCTGTCTCTACCCCAAAAATAAAAAATAAATAAAAATTTAGCCAGGTGTGGTGGTGTGCGCCTGTGGTCCCAGCTACTGAGGAGGCTGAGGCGGGAGAATCACCCGAGCCTGGGAGGTCGAGGCTGCAGTGAGTGATCGTGCCACTGCACTCCAGCCTAGGTGACAGGGTGAGACCTTGTCTCAAAAATAAGAATAACAGGCTGGGTGCAGTGGCTTATGCCTGTAATCCCAGAACTTTTGGAGGCCAAGGCAGGCAGATCACTTGAGGTCAGAAGTTGGAGACCAGCCTGGCCAACATGGTGAAATCCCATCTCCACTAAAAATACAAAAAATTAGCCTGGCGTGGTGGCAGGCGCCTGTAGTCCCAGCTACTTGGGAGGCTGAGGCAGGAGAATCGCTTGAACCTGGGAGGTGGAAGTTGCAGCGAGCCAAGATCGCACCATTGCACTCCAGCCTGGGCGACAGAGTGTGAGACTCCATCTCAAAATAATAATAATAACTATTATTATAAAATAAAGTGGTCAGGCAGGCCTTGCTGAGAAGGGGACACGTGAGCAGGGACCTGCGTGAGGAGGGGAGAGGGAGCCATGTAGGGCTCTGGAGGAAGGGCAGCCCAGGAGGAAGGAACAGCCAGGGCGGTAGGAATTTGCTTGATATGGTCAAGGGACAGCGAGGAGGCCACGTGGCTGGAGCAGGGTGGGCGAGGGGGCAAGTGGAAGGACAGGCCAAGGAGGTAATGGGGCAGATCGTGTGGGGCTTTGGGGGCCACCGGGAGGGCCTGGTCCTTTCCCGAGTGAGACGGAGTTGCAGGGGTCTCTGAGCCCAGGAGGGCCACCGCCTGACTCAGGAGTTCACAGGCTCCCACTGGCTGGGAACAGTCTGTGGGGGCAGAACGGAAAGGGGGACCAGGGAGGAGGAGGCTGTGATGGCCCAGTGGAAATCAAGGGGGCAGGACCTTGTGGGGGCTGCAGAGGGGGCGGCATGAGCAGGTTCTGGGCACACTGTAAAGGTGGAGGTGGCAGGACTGGCCGAGGGCTGCAGCGTGAGCTCATAGGCAGGGGCTTGGCCTGGTCTTGCTCCATGTGGCACCCCCAGCACCTGGCGCGGAGCCTGGCGCAGTCAGCCTAGGTCCGTTCCCTCCAGGGCCCTCAGCGTTGCCTCACACATTACAGTTGTTTGCCTGTCTGTGGCCATCTTCCTCGCTAAGTCAGTGACTCATATGGACAGGGACCGCGTTTTGGTTCATGATGGCTGCATTTCAGTGCCTACAGCAGGGCGTGGACTCACAAGGGCTCCCCTTCGTGGCTGTGGACTTGCCCAGGCTGTGCCAGGCACACAGACCAGGCCACGCGGAGCCCTCTAAACAGTGCTGGGTGCTGGGTGGGGAGTCCTCTTCCTTCCTGTTCCCCAAACCAGGAAACTGAGGCCGAGAGGGGAACTCACTGCCCAGGGCTATCCAGTGCCAGGTCACAAAAGCAGCCACTCTGTCCCACAGAGAAGGCAAGTCAACATCCCCCAGCCTCCTGTTCCCCAGTGGTCCCGGCTCCAGCCAAGGCCTCCACTCTAAAGAAAGGACCTTGGAGGTTTATGGGACAAAAACAGGAAGGGACAATGTCCCTGACAATGACCAGACCAAGACCAGAAAAGCCACCGTGGTTAGAAGGGAATCTGAAGACATTACACAAATGTACACACACAGTTCTACAGGGCTTCCCACTTTGGCTCAAACACTGATTCAACACGGCCCTGACTGGGAGGGCCCTGCCAACCTCGCAAACCTCATCTCCTCCCCTCGCTTCTCTCCAGCCGCGCTGGCTGCCTCCGTGTATGTCTTGGACTCATCACAGCTGTTCCAGCCTCCGGGCCTCTGCACCTATCTTCCCTCAGCCAGAACTGCACTGCTCAGCCTTTCTTGATATTCAGGTCTTAGTGCAAATAAAACCTCCTCCGAGAGGCTGCCTGACCCCTGAACAAAATGTGCACCTCGCTTTTTATGTCTCTGTGGCACTTACCACCCCCTGGCATCCTACACCTACTGACTGGCAGTGCCCCCAGCAGAATGTCAGTGCCCTGAGGGCAGGGACCTGTCTGTCTGTCTGGTTCTTGCCGGCATCTAGAGCAGTGGCTGGAACACAGTAGGTGCTCGAGACATATCTGTGGAACAAATGGGTGATGCCATTACCAAAGTAATGAGCCTGGTCCCTGAGGAGGCGCAGGGCACGGGGATGGGGCCGAGACAGACACAAGTCCCTGGGCCTCGTACACTCACTCCCTGGAAGTCTGACCTTGACGCCTGGGGAGAAAATGGGTCTTCAGAGACTGAATCTGGCTGTTCAGCAAGTAAGCTGGTGTGTGTCCCAGCACCACAAAAGGTACCCCCACTGTGAACGCCCAGGCCCTCCCCACTGCAGGGGGGCCCACCCAGCCACATGGCCTACGCTGGGAATCTCAGGAAGTGGCAGCGTATCCTGGCAAAAGCCAAATCACATGGGGGGTGCCTCTGGAAATCCATGAGCCCCCACAATGGGTAAAAGCCCATAAAGACACAGATCCAGTGGGGGGGACGCCTTTGGAAGTGGGGCCTGGATTCAGCAGCGTCTGTGGAGGGTGGAGGGGGCAGCCCTGCTCTCCTTCGTTCCTCCAGGTATAGCGCCGTCCCCGCCACCAGGCCTCTGCATGGACTGTGCCCTTAGCCTGGGTCCTGAAGAGCCCCCTGCCCCCTCAACCTTCACCTTGTTATCCCTTCCTCTTCCTTCAAACTGCAGGTCCATGGCCGGGCACAGTGGCTCATGCCTGTAATCCCAGCACTTTGGGAGGCCGAGGCAGGTGGATCACCTGATGTCAGGAGTTCGAGACCAGCCTGGCCAACATGGCAAAACCCCATCCCTACTAAAAAAATACAAAAATTAGCTGGGCGTGGTGGCATGTGCCTCTAGTCCCAGCTACTTGGGAGGCTGAGGCACGAGAATCACTTGAACCCAGGGGGCGGAGGTTGCAGTGAGTCAAGATCACGCCACTGCACTCCAGCCTGGGCGACAGAGTGAGACTCTGTCTGAAAAAAACCCTGCATGTCCCGTGCCTTCCCCTTGACAGCATCTGTCACAGCTGTAATTTTACCTTTGTCCTTATAGTCCTTAATTAGTATGTCTCCTGCAATGAACGGGCAGCCCCACGAGGACAGGGCCTGTCTCTCCTAGCCACTGCTTTGTCCTCAGCAGAGGCCTGGCGCAGTACAGGGGCTCAGCAGGCCTGTACTGGTGGTTAAGAGCCGACTGCCCAGTCCCAGGTACTGGCTCTACTACTCCAAGCTGTGTGCCCCTGGACAAGTGACTCAACCTCTCTGGGCCTCAGTGTCCTCATCTGCAAACTGGGGGTAGTGATAGTCCCTACCTCCTGAGCATGTTGGACGAGCGAATAAGACGACACATGTAAAACATTTACAACAGTGACTGGTGCCGAGTGGGGCCTCACTGCAGGCTCGCTGCTGTTATCATTACTGCCATTCTTGCTGCTGAATGATGAATGAATGAATGAACAAACACACTACAGAGGATGCCGGGCATGGTCCCTTCTGCCGAGCAAATATGCTAGTCTTACCTTCTCCAGGGTTGGGAGGGAGGAGCCTGATGGGCTGTTATTGTCTGATAACAGGTCTGCCTCTCCCACTGGACTGGGAGACCCAGGAGGGCAGGGCCTGGGGCCATCTCTGTGTCCCCAGGCTTGCCCAGCGCAGAGAGTGTGGCTCAACGAAGAGATGATGCTTCCTTTACCCAGCTAGGCCCAGGCTGGCGCTCAGAGCCCCCAGTGATGCCAGGGCCAAGCCCTCCTGCCCCGAATCTGGCCCAGCACAAAAGGGCACAGACACAAAGGGCACTGCTGGTGCCCTTCACCCCCCAGAGGTACTCAGGGTGGGGATGGACACCACAACAGAGAGTGTGTGGGAGCCCATACGGCCTGGGAAATCAGAGCAGACGTCATTTATTCCTCGCCTGAGGCTGGGCAGGGGGAAGGGGGTGATGTGGCAGGAAAGAGGCCCTGCCCCTCTCAGGCTCCAGCACCCAAGCCCTCTCACTGTCTACCTCCCCTGCCATGCAACACACAAGGCCGTGCACAGACGCCAGGACATACACCAGGCAGCAACCACGGCCTCTCCTCACAGACCCAACACACAGCAGCGAGCGAAGCCATCCCGCAACACATGCATGCTCACACATGCGCGCACACACATGCACACACACGCACACCCACACATGCACATACATGCACGCTCACACACATGCACACTCACAAACATGCACACATGTGCACACACGCACGCTCACACATGCACGCACGCACTCACACAATGCTCACATGCATGCACACACATGCACACACACACATGCATGCTCACACACACGCTCACAAATACATGCTCACATACATGCACACTCACACACATGCATACACACATGCATGATCCCTAGACACAGATGCATGTGAGGACATGCCAGAGCATGCAAGATGTCCGCAGCTGACACCACATAGAGCCGAGTCCTAAGACCATCACACAGACATGCAGATACATACCCAGCCACACAAACCACAGGCCTCCAGGCACATGAACTGGTCACATGGAAAGCTCCCGGGCCATTCTTCTCCAATATTTATCTTAGGCCAAAAAAAGAAAACTTCCCGGCTAGCCGGCAACAGCAGCAATCCACCCTCAACCCTACAACATCCTGAGCACCTCGCGGCGGCCCGTACAGGACCATGGGCTCAGGAGGCTGGTGGCCAGGGGTCAGTGCCTTGCTTGCCGTGGGGCAGGGGAAAAGGACATTTACCAAGAGCCTCCGTTCATGTCTCTAGAATATGGGGCACCAGCAGAGCGTGCCCCAGAGGGAGCTTCTGAGACTTCAGTGGGAGAAGGTGGGGGAGCGGCTCTTAAAGCCAGCCTGGCTCAGAGTACATGCGCAGCAAATGGGAAGGCCGCGGCTCAGCCAGCCTGCACATGGGCCCCAGAAGAGCCATGGATGGACCGTGGACTGCGACCCTTTCATACACACTGCAAAGACTCGTGCACCCAGAGATGCAGAGACTCCCAAAGAGATCCACACATAGATACACAGGGACACGTGTGTATACACACAATGCCGCAGACACTCCATGACTTCGAGGGAAAGCCGCACTGCACCCCAGGACACACACGCACCTAGGAATAACCCCCAAGATACAAAGCTACACTAGGAGGCACCCCCCCGACCCCAAAACCACACACAGTAGGCAAGGAGACCTCCATGGACCTAGGCACACCCAGTCAACTCCAGGGTCACCCAGAGTGACTGAGTGAGGCACAGTCTCACGGAAACTTCTGCCCTCGTGCAAGCCAGACCCCAGGAGCGTGCTCCCACAGAGAGGCTCAGGGACCTATGCTCAGATGCCTGCAAGTCCCCAGCAGACAGGCACCTGCCATCTCGCACACATGGAAACACAGTGACCCCGCTCCAACCCCAAGAAAGGTGTGGCCTTCGCACATGCTCACACTGGCTCCAGTGGCCAGGGGCAGACCCTCCTTCCCTGGCAGCCAGTCTAGCCCTCCCCCTCCCCTCCCGAGGCCTGGCCAGCTCACCTCCACCACGCTCTTTCCCACTTCCTGGGCCACCCTCAATGGGGCGGGCCTGTGGACAGACAGGCTTCCAGCTGGGAAAGCAGAGTAGATCCAGGGCTCCCCAGGCCCTCAACATGGGCACCCACCGAGGAGGGCTGCCTGGGCTCTATGCTCCAGCCTGCAGGGCAGCGGTGGTGACGCGGCCAGGAGTTGAGCCTCGGCTGTGGTTTCCACCCACGGAGGGCGGGAGGGAGGCGGGGCTGGGCCTGGAGCTGGGGTGGGTGGGCCTGGGCCACGTGGCTCATAGCTGCCTGGACAGAGGGCAGGGCTGGGCGGGGACCCCAACCACAGCCTTTGCTTCAGCAGGGTCAGCCTCCCACCAACAGGCACACCCCGCCTCACCCCCCTATGCCAGGCTAGGTGCCAGGGGCTGGAGGGGGTGACTACACAGCAAGGCTGAGTACCTGCAAGCGGCTGGCCAGGCGGCTAAGGGGCAGCCAGGTTTGAAACAAGGGACCAGGGTATGTACGTGGGGGTGGCTGGGGAGTGACAGGGGCCACTAGGTGCAGGATAGAGCCCTGGGGAGAGGGGTGGGTGGGCTCTCTGATATGGAGGCAGAACTGGAGAGCTGGAACTTGCTTCTCCTCCACCCCGACCAAGGCTGGGATTCTAGCAAGTGCCCAGCATGGGCTGGAGGAAAGGGGCCACTCTGCCCCCCTCACCCATGAGGAGGAATCTGAGACTTAGCCTGACCGGGGGAGGGGCGAGGTCAGGGGAGACCACGGTGAAGCCCCCATATCGCCATCCTGAGGTGTGAGAATAGGGCCGGGAGGTGTGGATGGCAGGAAAGGGAGGAGGGAGAGGAGGCCAAGAAGGTGGAACGCCATGCTGGCGCCGCCTCACCAGGATGAAACTAACCCTGCTGAAAAAAGGCAGCTCAACGTGACAAGGCCATATTCTGGGCCAGGCCCTGCTCTTGGCACAGGCATGGGCTCCGGGGCTTTGCCTCACTGCTGCCCTAAATGAGACAGGTCCTTCAGCAGGCCCCTTTCATCATGGAGGAAACTGAGGCGCGGAGAGGCGGAGTGACTTGATGCCCGAGGGGAGGTCAGGCGCTGGGACTCCCAGGCTGGATGTCTGTCCCGGTGTCTGTGCCCTTAACCAGCTGCTCCAAGCATGAGGCTGATGTGATCAGAACCCCCGTTCAGGAACAGAAGAAAAAGATGCTCCACAGCACCCCTCCCTCCCCTTCAAATCCCACCTCCAGTGCAAAGGCTGGCCCGAGGCAGAGCTCGCAGGTGTAACTGTTTCTCCTGTGAACACTGTCTGTTCCCCTCGAGGCCTCCGGAGGGCTGCTTGGTTCATCCCTTCTCACCCTCCGGCCCCACTTGAGGCACCTGCTCCTCCACGAAGCCCTCCCTGCCACCCCAGGCTGGGTCAGGTATCCTCTGGGCTCCAGCCCTGTGCACTCCACCCTGCACCTCCCCATGCCAGCCCTGAGCACCCAGGCTGTCACTGTCTGCAGCTTGCCCGCCTCTCATTCATTCACTGAGCTCCAGGCACATACCAGGCACACCTGTGGGAGGCCCTGATAGTTCAGCACTGAACAAACTCCACAAAACTTCCTGCCCACGGGAGTTGACACCCTAGAGGGGCTCTACCAGGGACTCCAGTCTGGTAGGCGGTAGGGACCAAGGCTGCTGGGTGCCCGGACCCAGGATGGGCACCCAGGCCATGGTGAATCCAGGGACAACAGTGAGCAAGCGCCCCGGCACACAGCAGACAGACGCACCTGGGTCCTTCCCACTACCCTGCTCTGGCACACCCCTGCCCCTGCAGCCAACTCCTCAAGGGCAGATGTTATCTCCACACACAGAACGTGGGCTGGGAGGCCAGCGCTTGCTCTCAGGGCCTGGAACTCCCATCCCCACCTCTGTCCACCCCCTGTCACAGTGAGGAGGAAGTCCAAGGAGGGGCTGGGCCAGGCTCTGGACCACAGCAGGGCAGGTCTAGGGGCCTAGATCCAGAAGTCCCAGATCTCAGGCCACTGCCTCCCCATGGGGTGGGGGGTGGGGCATTTGTCGAGTAACCACCCGCAGAGGAGCCACGTGGGGCAGCTCTGCAAACCAGACGGGCAGGTTTGGGCTCTGGCGGGGAGTGGATGGGGATTGGACAGCTCTGGACAGCCACAGGAAACGAGGTCCCCAATGGACGGAGAGGGAGCTGCACTGGGCGATTCTCAGTGATTCTCACTTTACCACATTTACACTCATCTACCCCTTTTCCTTCTTTTCCTTCTCTCTGTCTTTGTAATACAGGCACACGGTTCAAAAGACAAAAGGCACCAAAGGGTAAACTGTGACAGGATGTCCTCCTTCCACCCTGGCCCAGCTCAGCCCTGGAGGCAACCGCTACTAGACTTTCAGGTTTTTTCTTTTCCTTTCTGAGAGATCCTACGTGTGTGTATGGGTACACACATGATTACCTGCTTTTTAAAAAAACAAGAGAAATGGCAGCCACATGACACACAATATTCTGTACTTTGCTCTTCTCGAAAACATTCCGTGGCTCTCCCACGCTGCTGGCATTTGGCAGGAGCTTAGCAGCATCGAGTGGAAGTGGGGACACACGCTTGACCTAGCAAGAGCTCTCCTGGGTACACACTCCAGCATAACGCAGGCCCATGGGGCAGGGAGCACACGCGAGAAGAGACTAGAAACAAGACAAATGCTCGTCCCCAGGAGGTGGTGAATGAAGGCTCCATGGCACCGCACATGATAGGGAGAATGAATGAATGAATGACTACAGCTACATGTGGATGAGCATCAAAGAAGACGCCACACAGAAGAGGCAAAAACATCGAACAATACTCCATCCTCGGACTTTAAGGTTCAAAGCCAGGCAAAAGGAAACTGCTTCAGGCTGCATACAGAGGTGGCAAACAGAGAGAAAAGCAAGCATATGATGGCCTCAAAAGTCAGGAGAGTTGGACTGGGCACGGTGGCTCATGCCTGTAATCCCAGCACTTTGGGATGCCGAGGCGGGAGGATTACTTGAGGCCAGGAGTTCGAGACCAGCCTGGCCAACATTGTGAAACCCCATCTCTACATTTTTAGAGAATTAAAATTAAGGCCAGGTGGGGTGGTTCACACCTGTAATCCCTGCACTTTGAGAGGCCAAGGCGAGTGGATCGCCTGAGGTCAGGAGATCAAGACCAGCCTGACCAACATGGTGAAGCTCCGTCTCTACTAAAAATATAAAAATTGGCGTGGCGTGGCGGTAGGCGCCTGTAATCCCAGCTACTCGGGAGGCTGAGGCAGGAGAATCACTTGAACCTGGGAGGCGAAGGTTGCAGTGAGCCGAGATGGTGCCGCTGCACTCCAGCCTGGGTGACAGAGTGAGACTCTGTTTCAAAAAAATAAAACAACAACAACAAAACACAAAAATTAGCCGGGTGTGGTGGCACATGCCTGTAATTCCAGCTACTCGGGAGGCTGAGGTACGAGAATTGCTTGAACCCAGAAGGTGGAGGTTGCAGTAAGCTGAGATTGTGCCACTGCACTTCAGCCTGGGTGATGGAGTGGGACTCTGTCTCAAAAAAAATTAAAATTAAAAAGAGTGGATGCTTCTGGGGGAAGGGAGGGACTGGGAGCTTTTGGGGGTTGGGGGAGGCTGGCACCATCTGTTTCTTCACCTGGAGGGGTGGCTACATAGATTTTTCCCTTTATAGTAATTGGTTTTGCTATACATTTATGTTTTATGCAATTTTCACTGTGTATCCTAACAATTTATAATTATGATTTGAAAGAAAAAAATTGATATATCTATACAATTCTCCCTCGGTAGCTGAGGGAGATTGGCTCCAGAACCCCCGCAGGAGGTACCACATCCAGGGATGCTCACGTCCCTCAGTCAGCCCTCCATAACCGCGGATGGAAAAGCTGGCCCTCCATAGTAAATTTTCAGTCCTTCGTTGGTTGAATGGGTGGGTGCAGAACCCGTGATCCTGAGGGCCCATGATACCCAGGGCCAACTATATATACAGCAGTTCCCCTTATCTGCAAGGCGTATGTTCCAAGACCCCCAATGGGATGCCTGAAACTGTGGATAACATTGAACCCGATTGCCATCAGTTGGAACACGTTTCTGTTCCTGTCTTCCACCCCCCCAAACGTAATGCCTTTTTCATCTTAACCAAGCCCTTATGCCCTGTGGCTGTTGACTTTCGCAGTTTGAGGTGTGACAGTAAACCCAGCACAAATTCTTTCCCTTCTTCGCAATTTCATGGATAGAAGGTTCGTTCTTACTGTAAAGCTTAGTAACCTTAGCATACAATTTTTTTTCTTTTCCTTATTAGGTTCAATACTTTCCCCTTTTTCACTTAAAGGAAGCACTTTACAGCTTCTCTTTGGCATATCCAAATTGCCAGCATCGCTACTCTTGCACTTTGGGGACAATGTTAAGTGAAATAAAGGCTACCTGAACATAAGCACTGTGATACGGCAACAGTGGATGTGAGAACCGAGAAAGCTACTGAGTAGCCACAGATGGGTAGCACATACACCATGGATATGTGGGGTAAGAAAGGTGATTCACGTCCCGGGCGGGACAGAGTGGGATGGCTCAAGATTTCATCACGAGGCTGTGCAGTGGCTCCTGCCTGTAATCTCAGCACTTTGGGAGGCTGAAGCAGGAGGATCATTTGAGCCCAGGAGTTCGAGACCAGCTGAGCAATATAGGGAGACCTCGTCTCTACAAAAAAAAAAAAAATCACGATAACTCAGAATGGTGCACAATTTAAAATGTATGAGCTGTTGGGCCGGCGCAGTGGCTCATGCCTGTAATCCCAGCACTTTGGGTGGATTCCTTGAGGTCAGGAGTTTGAGACCAGCCTGGCCAACATGGTGAAACCTTGTCTCTACTAAAAATACAAAAATTAGCTGCGCGTGGTGGCGCATGCCTGTAATCCCAGCTACTTGGGAGGCTGAGGTGGGAGAATCGCTTGAAACCAGGAAGCGGAGGTTGCAGTGAACTGAGATGGTGCCACTGCACTCCAGCCTGGGTGACAGAGAGTCCATCTCAAAAAAATAAATAAATAAAACATATGAATTGGTTATTTCTGGAATTTTCCATGTACTTTTGGGCCATGGTTGGTCACAGGTAACTGAAACCACAGACATGCTGCATATATATGTGGGTCTTGGTGATCTTTCCCTGCCTTGATCTTGGCAGAGCACTGCCTTGCTGCTTTGGCAGCTGTGTGGAAGGACCGTGATGTCTGGAGCCAGTCCCCATCGGGCCAGAGTGGTGGTTTCCTGTCTTTTGCTCTTATAAATGGTGCGGCAACACTCACTGTGTGCAGCTGTCATTTCACAGGTGTGCAAGTTTGTCTGTGGGTAAATGTCCAGTGAAGTTCACCACTGCCAAGTGGCCCTGCGTGAGGCCTGTCCCCACTCACAGCCCCTCGGCGGTGCCAGGGCCTATCTCCCCTCGGCCTTGCAGCACGGGGCGTGGCCAGTCTCTCTGATCTCTGCTGATATGTGAGGTGTGGCCCCCCTCAGCCTAGTTTTCATTTGTATTTTTCTATTTAGTAGGGTTGAGCATTTTTCATATTTATAAAAGCCATCAGAATGTCCTCTTCCGCTAAGTGTCTATTCAAAGCCTTTGCCTTTTTCTGCTAGGTCAGGGAGACCTTTGTAAATCTAATCTGATTGTATCCTCTCCTGCTAAAAACCTACTCAGGCCCACAGAGCTAAAGCCGTCTCCTCACCGAGGTCGCGCCCACCTCTCTGTCCTCATTTTTGCACACTCTCCGCCCCCAACCACCTGCTCCGGCCACAGGCAGCCTCCTTCCCACGTTCATGGCGTCCACCGACAGAAATCTAATGCACGTCTGTCACGTGCCGCCTGTGCGGGGGCAGAAGTGCAGTGTGGGCCCTACCCCATCAGGCTTATAGTCAAGCACCACACGCAAAAAATGTGAAAGTCCAGCGGACACACACTGGCTGGAGGGATGGGTGGGCAGCAGGCCTGAACGGGGACGGTGTGGTGGAGGCAGATCATGAGAGAGCAAGGGGAGACAACGTGGGTGCCAAGGACAGGCCTGGGTTTTTACATTTTTTTAATTTTTATTAATTTATTTTTTTTAGAGACAAGGTCTCACTACGTTGTCCAGGCTGGTCTTGAACTCCTGAGCTCAAGCCATCTGCCCACCTCGGCCTCCCCAAGTGCTGGGATTACAGGTGGGAGCCACTCCACCTGGTCCAGGCCTGGGTTTTACAGATGTAACTTTGGTTGCCCTGTGAAGGACGGAATCAAGGGGCCTGAGTGGGCGTGAGGATGAGTGACAAGGAGGCAGCGCTGTTTGGGCAACTGTGAGGCAGCCAGGACAGTGGCAGTGGAGAGAGGGGGACAGACCTGGGCTATGTCTACCAAGAAAAGGCAATGCTCGCTGATGAGTCAGACACGGGCTGAGGATGAGGTGGTGTCAAGGACGACTCTGAACCTAGGCCCAACACAGTGCCATCTTCTACACGCGGAACCCTAGAGGAGCTCCAAAATGCCAGCTCCCAGAGCTCTTTTTTCAAGAGCTCAATCTTGAAAAAGAGAAAAGAGAGAGGAAGCCAGAGGAATCCCTCTCCCAGCGCTGCAGCAAGTAACCCAGATGGGGTGGGACAGTCACAGCAACAGAGCAGCGGAACAGGACAGAGAACTCAGAAACAGATCTACACCAACATACCTAGCTGGTTTCAAAAATTTATTTTTATTATGGTAAAATATACAGCATATTTATCATTGTTAACCATCTGTAAGTATACAATTCAGTGGCATTAAATATATCCACAATGTTGTATAACCATCACCACCATCTATATTCAAACATGTTTATCATTCCAACAAAAACTATGTACCCAATAAACAACAGCTCCTTGTTCCCCTCAAACCCTGATAACCTCTGTTCTACTTTCTTTCTCTCTATATATACATAAACATATATTTTATTATTTATTTATTTAGAGACAGAGTCTCTCTCTGTTGCCTGGGCTGGAGTGCAATGGTGCAATCTCAGCTCACTGCAACCTCCGCCTCCCGGGTTCTAGCCATTCTCATGCCTCAGCCTTCCATGTAGCTGGGACTACAGGCGCCCACCACCACGCCCAGCTAATTTTTTATATTTTTAGTAGAGACAGGGTTTCATCGTGTTAGCCAGGATGGTCTCGATCTCCTGACCTCTTGATCTGCCAGCCTCGGCCTCCCAAAGTGCTGGGATTACAGGCGTGAGCCACCGCGCCTGGCCTATATACATATATTTTAAAAGAGACCGGGTCTCACTATGTTGTCCAGGCTGAACTCAACCTCTTAGGCTCAGGTGATCCTCCTGCCCCCGAATAGCTGGGACTCCATGCATGCTTTCTGTCTCTTTGTATTTGCCTACTCTAGGTCCTTCGTACAAGTGGAATCATAGAGGATTTCTCCTTCTGTGTCTGGCTGATTTCACTAAGCATAATGTTTTCAAGACCATCCACATGATAGCTTTCTACCCAAAATTCCATTCCTTTTTATGGCTGAATAATATTCCATCATGTATACCATCTTTTGTTCCTCCATTCATCCACTGATGGACACGGAGCTGTTTCCACCTTTTAGCTCTTGTGAATAATGCTGTGATGAGCCTGGGTGTACAAATATCTGTTCGAGTCCCTGCTTTCAATTCTTTTGGACGAACAGTTGGGAGCGGAATTGCTGGGTCACAAGGTAATTCTATGCCGAACAGCGACAGCACCATTTTACATTCTCACAAGCAATGCACGGGGCTCCAATTTCCCCACATCCTCCCAACACTTGTTATTTTTGTTTTTTTGACAGCAGCCATCCTAGTAGGTGTGATGTAGTATCTCATCGTGGTAACTGATTCTTGTGAAAGAAGCCTAAGCAATTCAACAGAGGAAAGACAGCATTTTCAACAAATGCTGGCTGGAACAACTGGACATCCACATGCCAAACGGGGGAAAAAAAGAAGTTTAATCCAAAACTTATACTTTGTACAAAAATTAACTCATAATGGATCACAGACTTAAATGTAAAACTATCAAACTTTTATGGAAAAAAAAAAAGCAGGCAGGGTGTGGTGGCTCACGCCTGTAATCCCAGCACTTTGGGAGGCTGAGGCAGGCGGATCACGAGGTCAGGAGTTCAAGACCAGCTTGGCCAATATGGTGAAATCCTGTGCCTACTAAAAACACAAAAATTAGCCAGGCATGGTGGTGGGCGCCTCCCTAGTCCCAGCTACTTGGGAGGCTGAAGCAGAAGCATCACTTGAACCCAGGAGGCAGAGGCTGCAGTGAGCCCACTCCAGCCTGGGCAACAGAGCGAGACTCTCTCTCAAAAAAAAAAAAAAAAAAAAAGCAGAAGAAACTTATTTGGTACCTAAGACAGGGCACAGGGTTCTGAGACTTGACAGCAAATGCACAATCCATAAAAGAAAAAAATTAATACAAAATTAAAAACTTTTGCTCTGCAAAAGTCCGTATGAAAAGTATTAAAAGACATGCTACAAACTGGGAGAGAATATTTGCAAACCACGTATCTGACAAAAGACTAGTATGTAGAATAAAGATCTCGCCAGGCACGGTGGCTCACGCCTGTAATCCCAGCACTTTGGGAGGCCGAGGCAGGCGGATCACCTGAGGTCAGGAGTTCGAGACCAGCCTGGCCAACATGGTGAAACCCCGTCTCTACTAAACATACAAAAATTAGCTGGACGTGGTGGCACATGCCTGTAATCCCAGCTACTCGGGAGGCTGAGGCAGAAAAATCGCTCGAACCCGGGAGGCGGAGGCCACAGTGAACCGAGATCACACCACTGTACTCCAGCCTGGGCGACAGAGTGAGACTCCATCTAAAAAAAAAAAAAAAAGAGAGAGAATAGATAAAGATCTCATATGAGAACCTGGTGGGGCTAAGAAAAAAAAAAAGAACAACAGTGAAAACTCAAAACTCAACAGCAAAAAAAAAAAAAAAAAAAAAAAACCCGAAAACAAACAATCCAATAAGAAAATGAGCAGAAGACATGAAGAGACCTTTGACTGAAGAGGATACACAGATGGCAGATAAGCACGTGAAAAGCTAATCAACATCATTACCATTAGAGAAATGCAAATTAAAGCCACAATGAGTTATCACTGCACACTTATTAGAAGAGCTAAAATAAAAAATAGTGACAACACCAAATGCTGGTGAGGATGTGGGGAACCTGCTGCTGGTGATAATATAACATGGTACAGCCACTCTAGAAAATGGTTTTGATGGTTTTCTTAAAACATGCAACCAGCACGCTGCCCAGCAATTGTACCTCTGGGTATTGGCCCCAGAGAAACAAAAACTGACATTCACACGAAACCCTCTTTGTCGAGGTTTATAGTGGCTTTGTCTGTAATAGCCAAAAAATTAGAAAAACCCAGATGTCCTCCAACGGGAAATGGTTAAACAAACGGTGGGGCATCCAGACCACGGAATACTACTCAGTAGTCACTATCAGCACCACAATGCGGATGCACCTCCAGAGAATCATGCTGAGGGGATAAAGTCAATGCAAAAAGGGTGCATACTGGGTGGCTCCATTTACATAACATTCTTGAATTGACAAAATCCTAACAATGGGGGAATAGACAGATGAGTGGTTGCCAGAGGTTAGGGATGGGCAGGGGAAGGGTGTAGCTATGAGAAGGTATTAGGAGGGATCCTTGTGACTGACAATGTCAATGTCAATGACATTGTCATTGACAATTGACAATGACAATTGTCAATTGACAATGACAGTGTCAATGTCAGTTGACACTCTGGTATCTGGTACTACAGTCTCGCAGGTGTTACCATTGGGGAAAACTGGGTAAAGGTGCGCCAGACCTCCTCTCTGTATTATTTCTTTCTTTTCTTTTCTTTTCTCCCTCTCTCCTTCTCTCCTTCCTTCCTTCCCCCCTCTCCCTCCCTCCCTCTCTCCCTTTCTCCCTCTCTCTCTTTCTCTCTTTCTTTTGCAACAGAGCCTTAATTCTGTTGCCCAGGCTGGAGTGCAGTGGTGCCATTAACAGCTCACAGCAGCTTCAACCTCCCAGGCTCAAGTGATCCACCTCGGCCTCCCAAGTAGCTGGGACTCCAGGTGCACAGCATCACAGCCAGATAAGCTTTTCTATTTTGTGAAGAGATGGTGTCTCCCCAGGTTGCCCAGGCTGATCTCGAACTCCTAGGCACAAACGATCCTCCTGCCTTGGCCTCCCCAAATGGGGTGGAATTACAGGCGTGAGCCACTGCGCCTGGCCATTCTGAGTTACTTCTTACAACTGTAGGAGAATCTACAATGATCTCAGAATTTAAAGTTTTCTTAAAAATAGTAATGGTTTATTTAAAATGCCAGACCCTTTCCCAACTTTTAGCCTTTGAACATGCTATTTGCTCTCCTTGGGACAATGTTCCGCAAACTAACCCTGCTCCTCTTTCAGGCCTCAGCTCTGAAGTCTCCTCCTCCAGGAGGCCTTCCTTGATTTCCTAGGCTGGAGCCAGGGCCTCCCACAGTCCTCTGGGTCTTCTCCCATCACAGCTGTCACACTCTGGCCTGTGCTTTCCAAGGTCACTCTGGTTTGTCACTGCCTAGTACCATGTCTGTCTCCCTCACTGTATTATAAGCTCCATGAAGGCAGGACCTCAGCCTGACAGGGCTGGACTCAGAGGAGGCAAAAAGTTACTATCAACAAAAATGAGTGAATGAATGGCAAGCATGACAAAGATACTAACAGCTAAGGCTCATTAAGAGGCTTCCACACACTAGCTTCTACGAAGGCTTTGCATGGATGAAATAACCCTCACACAATTCCATTTTACAAATGGGGAAACTGAGGCCAACAGAGGTGGGGCAGGGGTCAACACATGCCCAGGGCCGTCCAGCTAGAAGGTGGCGGAGCTGGGTGGCAATCCCAGGTCAGCTAGATATAGAGCCTTTGAGAGTAAACTCCCCGCCAGAGGGCCTCTCCAAGAAAGGCTGTGTGAGCCTGGCAAACAGGGCGGGTGAGGGTGGGCAGTGGGCGGGCGCAGGGGGAGGGCAGTATGGGAAGAGAAGAGGCCCTCCTGCCCCAGCTGCTGATCTATGCCCTCCTCCAGAGAAGGCCCCTCCGTGGTGCACACAGGCCCCAGGCGGCACCAGCGCCCCATTACACCTTACATAAGCTCAGGGAGGGCCCCTTCACATCACGGCTGTAACTGGGTCCTATGTGGTGCCCTAGGAAGCCAACGGCGCTCTACCACTTCCACTGGAGGTGGCCGCCTCAAACCCACGTGGAGCAGGGGGCTGCGGGCCTGGGTGAGAGGAGCCCAGAGCGTCCTCCTGGGGCCCCCCCAGGACAGAGCTGCTTTCCTCTGGCCAGGGGTAGGGGTGCCCTGACCCCCGCTGGGAACCATTCCTTCTGGCACAGAGCTTCATTACTCCACCCAGAGAAATCTCAAGAACAAAATATTGAGAGAGTTGCAGCCAAGTGCCGCTGGCCTCGTACCATTTACACGCAGTTTAAAATCCTGCAGAACAATGCGGGACACTGTTTAGGGAAGCAGACGCAGGGCCAGCGACGCCTGGGGCCCTGGGGGAGGCACCTGGGGGCTGCACCCACAGCAAGCATTTCGTCTTTTAGCTGGGCAGCGGGCCTGAGGGTGGTCAGCAGGTGATTCTCTCTTCTCTTGGGGGTGTCTGAAATCTTTCACAATTCACCAAAAAAGAGGAACAATGAAAAGAAAGGGAGGAGAATGTTTTTGTTAGCACTGGGAAGGGCAGGTGAAGGAGAGGGCTTTCAGGGAGCTGGTGATGCCTGTCTTCTTGATCTGGGTGGTAGTTTCATGGCTGTTTGCTTTATAATTATTCATTAAACTGAACATGGAGGTTTTACACACTTTTCTGTACACATGTCAGATTTTACACCACCATGCAGGAAAAACCGGGAGAGCGATCCTGACAACTGAAAGCTTTCTCTGTATTTGCATGTGCCTGCAGTCTCTCCTCATTTCTTTACCGTCTCTCTTTACAATGAGCACAAGTGCACACACACACACACTCACACACATGCACACTTCCCAAAGCTGTTAACTTCCACCATAACCACAGCAGCATCCTCTGGCCCCTTGTAACTCCTGGCCTGTTTCCTGCAAGGAAGACAAAGGCCGGGAAGCAGCCGGCCCCTGAGCCCTCGGACTCATGCCACAACAGCCAGGTCTCTCCACATACCAGGCACTCTCAATCCTGCTCCAATCCCAGTCCCCAGGAAACCCTTCTGGCCTCCAGAACAAACCCAGATCAACAAGTCCCTGCCCTGGGGCACCACAGCTGGTCACCCAGAGTGGAAGGAGTTATTACTGAAGATTTGGGTCAAGCATCCCCCCGGCAGGGACGGCTTCTGGCTGGCTCATCGGTGCCCCGTGCTGGAGACAGGACAGCAGTGAGACCACTACAAAGTGTTACGTGCAGGCTCCATCCTGGTGCAAAAGAAGGCAGCGAGGAGGGTGCCGTTCACACGGTGTGTGAAGCAGGAGAGTGAAGCTCAGAGAGAAGACATGTCAGCCCTCAGTCACACGGCGAGTGTATCAGAACTGGGATTCCGTGGCAAGTCTGACCAGGACCAAAGTCCACTCACTTAACCATATCTATCTATCTATCTATCTATCTATCTAATCTAATCTATCTATCTATCTATCTGTCTGTCTGTCTGTCTGTCTGTCTATCTATCTATCTATCTATCTACCTGAGATAGGGTCTTGCTCGCTCTATCTTATCTATCTATCTATCTATCATCATAGGTTTTGCTCTGTCACCCAGGCTGGAGTGTAGTGGTGCAATCAGAGCTCACTGCAGCCTCCAACTCCTGGGCTCAAGCAATCCTCCCACCTCAGCCTCCTGAGTAGCTAGGACCCCATCATAGCTCACTGCAGCCTCCAACTCCTGGGCTCAAGCAATCCTCCCACCTCAGCCTCCTGAGTAGCTAGGACCACAGGCACATGCCACCACGCCCTTTTACATTTTAAATAATTTTTAAATTATTTTAAAACAATAATTTTAAAAATGTTTTGTAGAGCAGAGGTCTCACTATAGCCCAGGCTGGTCTCAAACTCCTGGGCTCAAGTGATCTGCCCACCTCAGCCTCCCAGAGTGCTGGGATGTGAGCCACTGTGCCCAGTCATTTTCTTTCTTTTATTCATTCATGCACTCAACAATTCTTTTTTTTTTTTTTTTTTTTTTTTTTTTTTTGAGACAGAGTCTTGCTCTGTCACCCAGGCTGGAGTGCATTGGTGTGATCTTGGCTCACTGCAACCTCCGCCTCCTGGGTTCCAGCGATTCTCCTGCCTCAGCCTCCCAAGTAGCTGGGATTACAGGCACCTGCCACCTCGCCAAGCTAATTTTTTTGTATTTTTAGTAGAGACGGGGTTTCACTGTGTTGGCCAGGCTCGTCTCGAACTCCTGACCTCAGGTGATCCACCCACCTTTGCCTCCCAAAGTGCTGGGATTACAGGCGTGAGCCACCACACCCAGCCTTTTTTTTTTTTTTTTTTTAATGCTTCTACCCAGTGAGCAACGACTCCTTAATATGCACTTAGCAGGTGCCAGGCACTGTTCTAGGCACCAGGGACACAGCAGTGAATAAGACAAGAGTCTCTGCTCTCCTGGAGTTGACATTCTAGTGGGAACACAATATACAAGTAAACAAGTGGGAGAAGGGACAGAGAGTGACAAGGTGCTCTTTCAGAGGGCACAGTCAGGGAGGTCTCTAAAGGGGTGGCGTCTGAGCAAAGACGGGATACAGGTGAGGAAGCCATGCAGAGTACCAGGGAACAGCACTGAGGGTGGAGGGCATGGTCAGTGAGGAGGCCCCCAGGACTGGAATCCGAGTGGCTGGAAGGGAGCAGAGAATGGAGCAGCTGAGGTCAAGGAGGTTTATGTTAAAATGCAGAAGTGGAAGGGCAGCTCCCAGAGGCCCAGTCACCACAGCCCAAGGGACGTATGGCCACCATCAGGCTGTCAAGAAGGAAGCAGGTAGAGAGGCTGGGAAAGCCACCCAGGGTGACACAGGCAGCCAAGGGTAGAGCTGGGGTGGGAGACCACTCTGTTCTGAAGGTGTCACCACCACGCGATGCGGAAGGGGTTGCCAGGGTGGGTGGCAGCAGCTCTCAGCTGGAAGCCTGTGGCCCTAGCAAAGCAGGAACCAGAGGCCCACATGTTAATGCCACTGGTTTACTTGAAGCCGGGGCACCCAGCCTATTGCTCCCAGGCCCCGGGGGGTGGGGAAGGGGGGACCCGAGCCTCAGTCCTTTGGTCCCTCCCACCCTACTTCTGCTGGATCTGGGTACCAGCCTTACTAGGAGTGACTTCAGAGTGTTCTTCTCAACCCACTCGCTTTTTTAAAAAAAACTTAATTTTTACTTGAAAACTGAACTTGACAGTCATACAGACATGTAAGTAATTCTGATGCTCATCCAAGCAACCACCTAAGAAAGCGTGCTTGCCAGAAGAAACTGAACCTGCATCAGATCGAGCTTCTAGACCTAAGTCCTAACTTACAGGAAGCACAGAGACAGAGAACACGTGCAATGACACCACAAGGATGTATCAGCTGGCCCCAGACTGCAAAACTCCAGGACAAATGGCCTAGGTCGCCTGTAGAAAAACTACGACAACATGCACGCCAAAGAGCTGATGCCAGTATCTGAGCATGACGGCGCACACCTGTGGTCCCAGCTATTCAGGAGACTGAGGCGGGAGGATTGCTTGAGCAGGGGAGGTCAAGGCTGCACGTGAGCTCTGATCGCTCCACTGCACTTCAGCCTGGGTAACAAAGGGAACAAAACAAAACAAAAAAAAGAGGCCTATCAACCGGATGCAAAGTGTAGACCTTGTCCAGACCCAAATCAAACAAATGGGCCGGGCGCCGTGGCTCACGCCTATAATCCCAACATTTTGGGAGGCCGAGGCGGGTGGATCACTTGAGGTCAGGAGTTCGAGACCAGCCTAGGAAACTCTGTCTCTACTAAAAAATACAAAACTTAGCCAGGCGTGGTGGCGGGCGCCTGTAATCCCAGCTACTCGGGAGGCTGAGGCAGGGAGAAGTGCTTGAACCTGGGAGGCGGAGGTTGCAGTGAGCCGAGATCGTGCCACCGCACTCCAGCCTGGGAGACAGAGTGAGACTCTGTCTCAAACAACAACAACAAAAAACAAATGAAAAAGGATTATGGCAGGGTACGGTGGCTCACGCCTATAATTCCAGCACTTTGGGAGGCTGAGATGGTTATATCACTTGAGGTCAGGACTTCAAGACCAGCCTGATCAATATGGTGAGACTCCATCTCTACTAAAAATACAAAAATTAGCCGGGCATCATGGCACACGCCTGTAGTCCCAGCTACTCGGGAGGCTGAGGCAGGAGAATCACTTGAACCCAGGAGGCGGAGGTTGCAGTGAGCCAAGATCGCACCACTGCACTCCAGCCTGGGTGACAGAGTGAGACTCTGTCTCAAAAAAAAAAAAAGGATTATAAGACAACTGGGGAAGCATGAGGAGACTGAGGCAGGCTTGTTCTGGAAAAGTGTGGAATATTTCTGGCTGTACGACGTTTGGGATTTGCTCTGAAATAAGCAGGGAGGTGAGGAGCAGGCACAGGCGACAAGGCCTGGCCACAGCTGCTACCTGCTGAGCTGCTGACAGGGACCCCAGGAGGGCGCGAGACTATTCTTCTGGGTATGTGTGAACATTTCCATAATACAAAGGTGTTCAACATTTTACCAAAGGAAATGTGACCTCATCGTAATGGCAAAGAATTATGGATCACTCACCCTGTGAATCCTAACTACTAAATCCAAGCACGGATCCTGCCTCTCTAATAAGTGTAATGGTAATAAGAGTACTAGTAACCAGAATGGCATAATGACAGTGGCCCTGTTCTGAGCATCACACAGCAGACTCACTTCATCCTCCCAGCAACCCTGGGAGGCAGCAGGAATCATTATCCTCCTGCTCCAGATGTGGGAACTCAAAAACATCTGAGGCTCAGGGCCTCGCCCAAGGTCAGAGGATGCTGTGCCGGAGCAGGGAGAGGCTGCAGGTGGAGCTGGACTCCTGAGCCCTTCGCTGGAGAGGGGTAGGGGGAGAGGAGGCAAGGGGAGCCCTCATCCCTCAGTGAGTGGGGACATACGGGACCATCAGCTATCAGTCCCCCCTAGTCCCATCAAATAATAAAGGCTCTTGCAATGTAATATTCGCCTTTCTAGCACAAACCTTTGTTGCAATTAAACTACTGACCGACAGGCAGTCCTACCCACAAAAGCTGAAACATTAACTGGCAGTAGAGGACTCCCGGGACCGTAGAGGTGGCTGGTGTCACAGGGCATGTCAGAGTCAACCCGTGGGGACAGTCCTCCCTGCAAACTTGCAGAGCCAGCCCTAGCCACCCTTGGACTGTCAGTCAGATGGTGTGTTGCCCCCAGCCCCAGACTCCACGTGTCAGGAGCTGTTAGGGAGGCCAGCGTGGTGACATCAGCATCCTTCCCCTCAGAAGGATGTCCTGGGCCTGCAGAACCCATCTCCCCTCTGTGGCTTCAGCCAGATCCTGCCTCAAAACACAGAAATCTGGGAAGTTTCTGCCAGGGGAGGAGGGAAGCTGAAATGCAGGAGGGTGGGGTGGGGAAGGGAGATAAGAGGCAGAAAAACAGGGAGAGAGACAGAGGTGAAACAGAGAAGGCCCAGACAGACATCTGGACAGACCAGAAATGGGAAGATAAGACAGTGACAGAGACTGCCATCGCCAAGCTCGAGGCCTTCTCTGGGCCTCAGTTGCCTTATCTGGAACACAGGAATCACAGTCACATGTCCCCGTAGCGTGCCGTGACTTAACCCCTCCATGTCAGAAGCCTAGAAAAGCACCCAGAACATGCCAAAAGCTAAAACACATTTGTTGCCATTCCTGCAGGCCAGCAGCCCTCACTCCAGCTCAGAAGCATGTCAGAGTCGCCAGGGGAGCATTAAAAAACCCCAAGGCCCAGACCCCACAGCTGTACAGTCAGCTTCAAATGGTCCAGCTTGGGCCCCTGCAGTGCCTCCCACCCCGGGTGACCCTAAGGCGCAGCCAAAGGATAAGGAGATTGGGGAGTGGGCAGGAGGATGGATCCAGCCCTGAGACCTGGATGGGGGAGGGTGTAAAGAGAGACTGAGACAGACTGATGGAGTGGGGGGAGGGCAGTACCCAGAAGGCCCTCTCTGGCTCACCTTCCCCCACTTAGGACCATCAGGAGTCTGGGGCCTGCTGAGGAATGCAAGGAATGAAGTCAGGCCTGGCACAGCCATCTCCAGAGTCCCCTCCCCATTCGCAAACTCCCATGAGGTGTTCCTGGTCCAGCCGCCTCCAAGCCATCACTCAGTCCTCCCTGAACACCCCTTCCCAGCCCCCTCCTTGGAGCCCAGGTCCCGAACCCTTTATCCCGCTGGGTACCCCGACACTGGCCCAGCTCAGGCATCCCCCTCAGTGTACTTCTCAGTGTCTGCAGGAGTTGCAGCAGATGAACAACCATGATCCCAAGAACTGGCAAGGGGCCGTGCGGCTGATCACCAGCTCTGACAGGAGGGAGGCCCGAGGAGGCTTCCCAGAGGTGCTGACCTTTAAGCCAAGACCCACAGAATAAATGAAGTCCGAGCACTCCACAAAGGCCAGCGAGGCTGGGGTGCTGCAGGAAAGTGGGGAGGGACGGGCCCTGCCAAAGCTGCTGGAGGGACAGGGCCAGCCCCTCCCCAGCCAGCCATGGGCTGTGGGGGATGATGTGAATCAGGGGAGGAATCGGCTGTAATCTCCATCACACCTGCTGCCCTCCACCTGTCACAGCTCAGTGGGGGATGGAGAACCCCCCACTGACCCACTGGAGGGTGCTGGGGTATCCCCATATCCTGCCAGCCCCCCAGAGTAGGGCTGGGTCCTGGCTCCTTCCTGCCACGCTGTGGGGAGACCCCAGCTGAGCTGCTTCCCGCATCCCAGAGCCTGTTCCCTAATAATTAAACCGTAAGCTGATTAGTCAAGGCAAACCTTTAATTAGCCCTTGAAATCATTCAGGAAAATTACAGCCTCCTTTCTGGGCACCCTGCCCGCCCTCCGCCAGGGTCCAGGGGCGGTACCAGGGAAGAAGCAGAGAATGGGAGAAGTGGCCTCCTGCCACCGCCATGAGGTCCTCAGCCAGCAAGGCTAAACCCAGGGTGCACGGCATCTTGTGGGAGTGGAGGGCACAGACTCCCTGCCACATCATGAACTACCCTGGGAAAAACCCCACAAGAGGTGGGCAAGGCGTCGGCTGGAAAAGTATGAACGAGAAGACATAAACAAATGGAGAGACATACCACGTTCATGGATTGGGAGACTCAGTGTCAGGTGTGTGCGCACGAGCACACGTACATACACTGACAACATGCTTGTCTAATATTTAAAGGGAATTACAAAAAGTCAAGAATGGGCTGGATGCCCATTACAGTGGCTCATGCCTGTAATCCCAGCACTTTGGAAGGCTGAGGCGGGCAGCTGGCTTGAGCTCAGGAGTTTGAGACTAGCCTGGGCAACATGGTGAAATCCCATCTCTATAAAAATACAACAACAAAAAAAAGTTTGAGAACAGGATGGCCAACATAGTGAAACCCCACCTCTACTAAAAATAAAAAAAATTAGCCCATTAGCCCAGGGTGGTGGCGTGTACCTGCAGTCCCAGCTACTGAGGCTGAGGAAAGAGAATTGCTTGAACCCAGGAGGTGGAGGCTGCAGTGAGCCAATCTTGAACCACTGCACTCCAGCTTGGGTGACAGAGCAAGACCCTGTCTCAAAAAAAAAAAAAAAACCTCAGGAATGGCTAAGACACTAGGCACAGTGGCTCCCGCCTGTAATCCCAGCACTTTGGGAGGCCAAGGTGGGCGGATCACAAGGTCAGGAGATCGAGACCATCCTGGCTAACACGGCAAAGCCTCATCTCTATTAAAAACACAAAAAATTAGCCAGGCATGGTGGCGCACGACTGTAGTCCCAGCTACTCCGGAGGCTGAGGCAGGAGAATCGCTTGAACCCGGCAGGCGGAGGTTGTAGTGAGCCAAGATCGTGCCACTGCACTCCAGCCTGGGTGACAGAGTGAGACTCTGTCTCAAAAAAAAAAAAAAAGGAAAGTGACCTGAACTGGCCCTTCCTTCACAGGAGTCTGGAAGAACAAATTGAAAGCTGCCCCACCTGACTGGCTACCAGAAAAACACATCAGACCACAGAGGAAACACCACCAGATCTACTCTAGTTTGCAAAATGGGCGAAGGACTTAGCATTGGTGCCCCCCTCACCTCCCAATCTGTGAAATGGGTCACACGGGTGCAGCTACCTCCTGGGATTTCAGGGAGGCCCAGGCAGCAGCTTGGGAGCACTGGCCGGGACACAGGGCCGGCACGCACAAACCCTCCATTCGTCTTTCCTATTCATCACCCTGAAGAGCTTCCCGGATCTAGAATAAGGACTCCCCGGGCCCAAGGTCACACCAGGCCTTCTCCTGCCTCCAAGCAGGGGTGCCCCAGATGGCTCCAGAGGCCAGGCTCCAAATGGGCGGCAACCGGGTCTGTTTATCCACCACCGCATCCCTGGAGGCCACACGGGTCAGCACTCCACCAAATTTGTTGGAAAAAAATAAACAATCACATTTATATTTATGTATCAGGCACCAGGATAAGTGTGTTAGGAGCAGAACTTCAGGAATGTCCAGGAACACCTGAAGCAGCCACCTTCTAGAGAGGAAGACACTGAGGCAGAGAGAGGCCCAAGCAGCTGTCAAGACTGGAATCCAGACCAACCCAAGAACCGACCTACCTGTCTTCCTTCAATTCCTCAAAGGCCCCCTGCACTCCCCCGCCGGGAGACCTCTGCAATGGCAGCTGCCTCAGCCTCCTCCCTTAGTCGAGGCCAAGTTCATCCTTCAAGTGGCATTTCCTCCTCAGGAAAACCTTCCCGGTGTGCCCCACCCAGGGCGGGTCCCCATTAGACGCTCTGGCAGCCCAGCTTACTACAGTTCAGTCAGTCAGTCAGTCAGTCAGTCAACCAGCATTTACTGAGAGACTACCACACTCCAATCCCTGAGAACATAGCAAGGGGCAGGGCAAGGCCCTGTGGTTCTACCCCTACCCCCATGCCCTGAGGCTACGTTATGCCGGGAGACAAAATAAACCAACAGACCCACATGTCATAATGGAAGTAACCATCATGAGGGTTACCGGGGGAAGGTGCTAGAGGGAGGGTGACAGGGGCTGCTCCTGGGGACCCATGGTCGGGAAGAAACATCTCCCCAAGGGGGCCACTGTCAGCAGAGGCTGACTGAACAGAAGGAAGGAGGGTGCTGCCTGCCCAGGGGGCAGCAAGAACAAAGGCCCCGGGGTAGGACCTGCCTGGAATGTTCCAGGAATGGTGGCAGGAGAAGAGGGAAGCAGGGCAGGCAGGAAAGTGGCCAGGTTGCCTGGGACCTTGCAAGCTTCTCTGCTGGGAGAGGTGGAGCCAGGGGAGGGTTCCTGCCCTGACCAGGTGTGCACGGCTACCTCTGGCTGTGTGCGGACAACTGTGGGGACAGTGGGGGAGAAGGGAGCAGGGAGCACGCCTCAATGGTCCAGGAGGGAGATGAGGGTGGCTTGAACTAGGGGGCCACGAGGAAGAAGGGTAACAAGGAAGGGGGGTAACGAGGAAGGGGGATGATGAGGAAGGGGGGTGACGAGGAAGAGGGGTGACAAGGAAGAAGGGTGACGAGGAAGAGGTGTGACCAGGAAGGGGGTGGCGAGGAAGGGGGGTGACGAAGAAGGGGGATGACGAGGAAGGGGAGTGACAAGGAAGAGGAGCCCGCAGCACCAGGTTACATTGTCATGTAGAGTGACAGGCTTTCCAGACACTTTGGATGTGGCGGGGGGGCAAGAGAGGAGTCAAGGTGATAGGGTGCCAGATTTGGAGAAGCCTAATCCCGAAACAAGACGAGGGATGGGGGTTCCTGTTCCCAAAATGGGGTCACTGTGGGAAGATGGGGGCCGGGAGCCTCCAGCCCGGCTTATCTTTCTGTTGCTCTGCAGTCGAGGTCTGTGTTCCCACTGGACTGAGCTCGGGGAGGGCTGCCTGTTGTTTGGGTTCACCCTTCAGTCGCTGGGCCCCAGCGCAAAGCTGGTCAAAGAATACACGCTTGGGCAGGGCGCAGTGGCTCACGTCTGTAATCCCAGCACCTTGGGAGGCTGAGGCAGGTGGATCCCTTGAAGTCAGGAGTTTGAGACCTGCCTGGCCAACATGGTAAAACCCTGTCTCTACTAAAAATACAAAATTAGCCGTGCGTGGTGGCACATGCCTGTAATCCCAGCTACTTGAGGGGGTGAGGGAGGAGAATGGCTTGGATCTGGGAAGCGGAGGTTGCAGTGAGCTGAGATCGCGCTGCTGCACTCCAGCCCTGGTGACAGAGCAAGGCTCCATCTCAAAAAAAAAAAAAAAAAAAAAAAAAAAAAGAATAAGCACTTGACTCCTGTCCACAGAATGGGTGAGAGTCGGAATGGACAGGAGCAAGGGGAGGACAAAATAACATGAGGGGCTCAGCCCGATGATAACCAGTGGTGTTACTTTTGCAGGAAAAAAGAATAAAAATGTTCCAAGGTCAACCAAAAAGTCTGACGGTACCAAATGTTGGTGAGGAGGTGGAGCAACTAAGATCCTCAGTCACCACCGCTAGGAGGATACACAGATTTGACCACCTTGGGAGGCTGTGTGGCAGCGCCCACTAAATCTGAAGCTACCCCACCCTCTGCCCTGGGCTACGCACTCCTGGGTATATTCCCTGAAGAAACGCAGGCACCGGCACCCCAGGAGATGCTACAAAGAGATGGCTCGCATCAGCGCAGCAGGAGATGGAGGAACAGAATATTATATGGGGCTGGGCACAGTGGCTCACGCCTGTAATGCCGGCACTTTGGGAAGCTGAGGTGGGTGGATCACCTGAGGTCAAGAGTTCAAGACTCGCCTGGCCAACGTGGTGAAACCCCCTCTCTACTAAAAATTAAAAAAAAAAATTAGCCAGGCATAGCGGTGTATGCCTGTAATCCCAGTTACTCGGGAGGCTGAGGCAGGTGAATCGCTTGAACCCAGGAGGCAGAGGCTGCAGTGAGCCAAGATTGCACCACTGCACTCCAGCCTGGGTGACAGAGCGAGACTCTGTGTCAAAGAAAAAAAAAGAATATTATACAGCAACAAAGATGAATGACTACAGATACACTCAGCACACAGATGGATCTCACAGGCCTAAGGGCGAAAGAAAGCACAGACAAGGACATACTGGAAGATTCCATTTATGTCAAGTTCAAAAGCAGGCAAGATGACATTCTGTAATTCAAGGATGCATACCTCATGGTAAAAACTATCAGGAAAAGCAAGGACACAGTGACCACCAAGGTCAGGAGAGCACTCACGACTGTGGTCGTGATGGACAGGGGTTATGGGCAGGCGGCTTTTGGGAGGTTGTGTTCTGTCTTTACCGAGGTGGTGGGGAAGCGTTGTTCACTTTGTAATTCTTTGCTAAACTTACCTGTGCATTTTATGCACTTTTCTATGGGCATATTATAATTGACAATTATTAAAGGTTTTTTAAAAGCAGTGGAGTTAGAAGCGCTGTGTATATATATAGCATTTGAGAGTCAAATAACGTGGGCCCAGGCTGCAGTGGAAGATTTGCGGGGAAGGGACGACAGAACTATGGAGGCCCCTGTGGGCGGCAGGGAAGGAGGGTTCCTCGGGAGAGAAGGACAGGGGCCTCCTGTGGGGAGGGCAGGGAGGGGTCTTCACCTGGGGACGGGTCTGTGGAGGGGCCAGTGGCCCGCAGGGTCCTACTTTCTCCCCATGGCCAGTGCTGACCGGTGACTGTGGGCGCAGTGAGGGAGGGAAGGGAAGGGGAGGGGGGCTGGCACCCCACGCAGCCCAGGAAGACCGGCCGCCTTCCGCCTCTGGGAGTGAAGTGTGGGAGTGGCAAAACCGGGCTGGGAAGTGAACTCAAAACCGCTGCACAATGCTGCTTTATCAGGAGTTCCCAGGACAGGTGGCAGGAGCAGGGAGGGTCTGGGACGGGGAGCTCTCTAGGTGAGGACCCTGCCCACCCGGTGCTCCCAACCCTCAAGGTGTCTGCTCGAAAGCTCCTGGGCAGCCTGCCTGGAATGCAGACAGCAGAAGGTGGGTGGGGGAAGCAGGAGGGAGAGCTTTGTAACCCTCAGGCTTAGCCCCGGGTAGCAGGGGAAGCGGCCACAGCGATTACCAGCCAGGCCTCCAGCATCCAAATCCCAGTTCCTCTTGCTCTGTGACGGGGCCAGGTCCCCCAGGCTCTCAGTCTCCTCCCTAGAAAAGGGAGATCCTAAGAACACGTGTGTCTTGGAGTTGATGGGAGGGTCCAGTAGGTTAGTTCACAGAAAGCACTCAAACAGTGCCTGCTCATATTAATAACATGGCTATTGGTGACATAGCTATAATATTAATAATACGGCTATTAGTAACGCAGCTAACAGTCTTTGAGCACTTACTATACATTTTGCCTGCCGAATATACATTTAGATCCTCAAAACAACTCTAAGAGTAGATATCATTAGCACCCTCATTTTACAGATGAGGACACCCGGGCACAGAGAGGTGATGTGACTTGTCTGGGGTCACACTGCTAGTAAGAGACAAAGCTGGCTCCGGAGGCCAAGCCCTTGACCTCTTCTGTGTCAGATGGGTTAGGAGCTCCAGAACGGAGCCAAGGTTTGAGTGCCACATCTGCCACGTATTTGCTGTGGGACTGCTGGCCTGTGCCTCAGTTTCCCCTTCTCAGAGAAAGTAAAATTATCAGGAATAGACAGCTCCAAGAAAAGGAAGCTCAAGATGGCTTTCAACAACACAAAGCTGTCCCACTTTGCTCTGATTAAAATCAGAACCATGATGAGACTGTTTGTCACCTATCTGACTGGCAAAGGTGAGAATGTCAGGTGACACCCGTCTATTCCAGCAAGGGAGTGAGGAAACCCCGGTGTCATCAGACACTGGGGGGTGGGAGTGTGAGCCAGACAACCTCCCCAGCAGGGTGAAACACTAACACTACCGGCAAAGTTAACGGGGCACCTGTCTCAGACCACGAGGCCACAAGCTCAGACTCACACCTAGAGACATATGCACAGCCACACTCAGGCGGGCGCAGCCCTGTTCACAGCACGGAAAGATGGGAATGGCCTGATGGCCATCAGCACAGAATGGCTGTGCTGTCCGTGGGGGCACGCGTGTGCGTGGGACACGAGGCGGCACTCTGTGTCCTGACAGCGAGCTTCGGAGTGGGAAACGCAAAGCACAGGACAGAATATAAACATGGGAAGTCCGCTCCATTTGAGTAAAAACAAAAGGGAGGGGCGGGCACTTGGGGGAACAAATATTTCAAGAAAGAAAGAAAAGAAACCGGGGGTGATGATGCTATCTCTGGGAAGGGCCTGGCAGGCGGGTGGGAAAGAGATTTGCTCGTCCCTGTACATCCTTTTGTGCTGTGTGCAGTTTTTCAGTGATTATTTAGGGGAATAGGTAATGCATGCACATGGAGGAAAAACGTGCTTTCTGAAAATTGAAACACGGGAAAAGAGAAACGAGGTTAAAAACACCTCCTCCTCAGGGTCTCTGGGTACAGCCACATGACCATGCTCATAGACTCACAGCACACGCGTGCCTGGCACGTGGAGCTGGGACCCCGGGCGGGGGGCTGGGGTTATTACAGCTCACTACGGGATGAGAACCCAGAGGGGGACAGGGTGCAAGGGACGGAAACCATCGAACGCACCAAGTTCAACATTTACCAAGCACTTACTGAGTGCTGAGCATCGGGCTAAGCACGACGCACACACATGATCTTCCGCCCTCCCACAGCCCTGAGAGGTGGCCACCAATACTCCCTGTAACAGGTGAGGAATCAGAGGCCCAGGGAAGTTCTTTGTCTCTTCCCCAGGGGCTCCCAGCTAGTGAAAAAGGCTAAGGGATGTGTGTGGACTGAGCAGCCCTGGCAGGGAAGTTCCACTGCCCCTCGGGAAGGCAGCAGATGGCCTCCCAGCCTGGGAAGGGTCGGGGCAGGACCGGAGGGTCCCAGGAGAGAGGCTTCAGTGAGCGGTGGCTTCTGTCGCATCCGCCAGCGCTGGCTCCCCTGGGATGGGAGAGTGTTCCCCTTCTCACCCTCCTCGGCCCCTCCAACCTTCCTGTGGGCCAAGGCGTCTGGCAGACAAGAAGCCTTGGCCCCGGATGGGTGACTAGGCGGGAAGGGTCCCACTTCCCTGGCCATGACTTGGAAGGAGGTTGCTTCCTGCTGGCAGCATGTGCGGGGCTGGGCTCGGTGATGGGAGAAACAGCTGCTGGGGACACCCCTGACCGGTGTCTGGCCAGGAAGTCTGGCTCACCACGAGCCAGTGGGACGAGGAGTAGATGAGAAAGGAAAGGGAGGCCCTGAGGGAGGTAGGGACCCAGCGCCCAGAAACTACCCAGGGGGAACAGGTCTCCACGGAACTTCTGTCAACAAAGGAGCCTGGGTAAGAACCAGCTGAACAGGAATCAGGCCTGTCTTGTCCGAGCCAGTTCCAAACCACGGGAGGGCAGCCCCAGTAATCAGTGACACTGAAGCCCCAAGGCCTGGGGTTCAATCCTACCTCTGCCACTGCCTGCTGTGTGACCTTAAGCAAGTCCCGTACCTCTCTGGGCCTCCTTTCTCATCTCTAGAGTGAGGATGATACTAGCACCTACTTCACAGGTTGCTGTGAAGATGAAGTGAGGTAACAGGGGTAAAGCGCTGATGACCTCAGCTGGCACGAGGACGCTCCTCCATCACTGTCCCCTCGTCTTCTCCACCCTCTTCTGCTTGGACTGTCACAGCAGCCTCCCCACAGCCTCCCTGTCGCCACCCCCCGCGATCCGTCCCCCACACAGCAGCCTGAGCAATCTTTATAAGGGGAAAACCAGATGTCACTAAAGCCTCTGATGACTTCCCATTATGCACAGAATGGAATCCACACACCCCACCTGGCTCTGCTAGGCCCTGCTGTATCCAACACCGCCTCCAAGCCTCTGACCCCACCCCCTGCTCAGCCACACTGGCTTCTTTTTTTTGCTTTTTTATTTATTTATTTATTTTATATTTTATGTATTTCTTTAACTGCTCTTTGCAGAGCAAGGCTACCACACAGTCAGGGTGCACAGCATAGCCTACACCGGCCTATCTGATGATCCTCGACCATTCCGAGGTCATTCCGACCCTCAGGGCCTTGGCACTTCCGTACCCATGACCTGTTACATTCTTTCCACCTCCTTCCAGCCTCGCTCATATGTTCTCATCAGTCAGATGTCATCTTATCCAGAAAGCCCTCCTCAACTCCCCACGCTGGGCCACATGCCTCCTCGGGCTTCCTACGGTCCCTGCGCCTCCATCCCAGTCCCAATCCCTCTCTGTGCCCCTCCCCACCATCCAGCCCCAACCCCTCTGCCTGGGTTTCCCCATCCCGCCCTGACCCCTCTGCCTGGGTTTCCCCATCCTTCTCTGACCACTCTGCCTGGGTCCCCCCCAGTCCCACCCTGATCCCTCTGCCTGGGTCCCCGCTCCCATCCCGCCATGACCCATCTGCCTGGGTCCCACCACCCCACCCTGACCCCTCTGCCTGGGTCCCCCCCACATCCCGCCCTGACCCTTCTGCCTGGGTCCCCCCCACATCCCGCCCTGACCCTCGCCTAGGCCTCTCCTTCACAGCCCTGGCCTCTCTGGGCTGTCACCGTCTGGGGACAGCAGGTCTGTCTCCTTCACTGTACTATAATCTACAAGGGTAGAGCTGGGCTGTGTTGGTTACCACTGGGACCAACAGTCAGATACACAGAAAGAATGTTACAAGGCCTCACCCATCCTCCAACTTTCACCTCCGTCCTCCCTGCCTCCCTCCTGAGAGGTTCGAATCAGTATAGTTCTCTTTCCCAGCTGTCACCCCTGGCACCTGCCCCCAAGGGCAGTTGGGGCAAAGCTGCAGTCACCGTCCTGGATGCCCAAGGGGGTAAAGGTGAAAGCCCTTCCATCCTTTCTTCTCCTGTGGTTGTAGGGAGTCAGTGGGGACGAGGTCCCAGCTAAGCCAGTTGTGTGAACCATCTCCCCATCTGTTTCCAAACAGCCTGGTGGGTGGGTGGGTGGGCCCATAAACCTCCCATGTCACGGCCGAGGAAATCGTTTCAGTGAGGGCCACAAAGCTGCCCAAAGCAGGACTTGAAATAAAGGGAGCCCCGGAGCCTGCTGGGGAGCACAGTGGTCCAGCCACTGGGGGCATGACTTGGCAACCGCTAGGAAAGCGGGGAGCTCCGGCTTTTCCACTACTAGGCATATGCCAGAGAGACTCTGGCCATGGTCTACAGGAACACGCGTTCCAGAAGGCCCACTGCTGCACGGTTATAGCTCCAACGGACCACCTCAGTGGCCATCAACAGGTGAACAGGCAACTCCTGTGTGACACGATCACAAAAAGAAACACCATCAGGAAAAACAAATGGCCTGTCCCAGGCCTACACACATCCCCACCAAGAGACATCCAGACTCCAATGCTCAGCTCAAAGCGGGGAGCAGGTGTGCGCGCCTGTAATCCCAGCTACTCCAGAGGCTGAGGTGGGAGGATAGCTTGAGCCCAGGAGTTAAGAGTCCAGTCTAGGCAACATAGCAAGATCCCATCTCAAATATACCTATAATGTTGAACAAAAACAGCAACTTGCAGAAAGGCATGTTTATGGTGACACCATTTATCTGAACTGTGAAACAACAGTCGTCAGCCCCTGCTGGCCATAAGAACTGCCCAGGGAGCTTCCAAAAGCCTGAGGCCAGCCCCAGCCCAGACCAAGTAAGTTGGAAGCAGAATTTCCATGGCGGGCCTGGGCCAAGGCATCTTTTCAAAGCTCTCCAGGGAGTTGCAATGTGCAGCCAGGGGCAAGAGCTGTTGCTCTACTGTTGGTGAATACATTCAAGGGCAGTCAAAGTATGAAAGGCTGCAGAGGAATGGTGACTGCCACACCCAGGACAGAGGCTGCCCCTGGAAGGGAGGGAGGAGGGGGGGTGAGGAGGAGACCCTTGGCCTCTAACTGTATCACGGTGTGTTCTGTCCCAGGCCAGACGATGGCCGGATGCATGAGTGTTTCATTATACTGAAAGCCCTTTTTCCCCTAGCCAAACGTGTTGAAGGAATAAAAGTGGCAAATAAATCATTTGTCCCATGGCTGGTAAGTGACAAGGGAGGGACCTGAATATGGGTCTCCAATGCCCAAACCCTATCCTTCTTTATCTGTGCCAAACCCTGAGATGCTGAGTGAGCTGGCACTGCAAGGCTGGGAGGCTGGGCCAGCCTCAGAGGGCTGCCTGGCAGTGTGCCGGCTCCCTGACCCTGCCAGAGCCAGGTAGGGATGGGGTGGCTGCCAGAGAAAGCCAGGAGGCAGGTGGAGCGAGGGCCTCCACTGTCTCTGAGGCCCTCCCCAGGCAGTGGTGGGGTGGCAGCAGCAGCAGCAGCAAGACTAATGCTTACACAGCAACTACTGTATGCCAGGCCTTGGGCCAAGGCTCTCTAGCCTGCATCCTCACAGCAATTCTATGAGGCAGCGCTAACACTATGCCCATCTTGCAGAAGTGGAAACGGAGGTCCTCACATGCTCTGTGAGTGATGGAGAGGGGTGTGTACCAGGCATCTCTGGCCCAGCACTGCTTTCTGAATCACGCTCCATCAAGGCCTCAGGCAGCTCCACACATACAGGTACTCCTCAGCCCTCCCCTGCTCCCACCGTCCCTCCAAAGCTGAGTCCCCTCAGCGTCTTGCCCTGAACCTGCACAGGCTACGTGTTGCCCAGATCCCCAACTGTGCACCCGAGTCCTGACCTCCAGTCATGCCAGGGCCTCTGCACACACTGCTCCTCCTGCCTGGTAAGCCCATTCCCAGCCCTCCTCCCCATCCTTCAGAGCCTTCCCAGGGGAAAGGGACTCAGGCTTCAGCCCAGGGTAGGGGCACTCTCCCGGCTCTCTGAAGATGCCCTCGCAAGCCACATCACCGTTTGCAGAGACGCAGTCTTGTGTCACTGGCTTGGGGGCTGGTTCCACTCTGCTCCCACCAGGGAACTGAGTGCCCTCTGAGGCTAGGGGCTCTGTGGATCTCGTCCCCTGCCACACTCCCAGCACCCGGCACAGTGCCCAACAGTCAACCCCCAGCAATGTCACATCCTCTGCAGGCCAGGCAGGGCTTCAGTGGGGACCGAGGCAAGGAACCCCACAGAGCAATTCCACCATGCACCCTAATAATTAAGGTAAGGAGGGAGGTAAGGGCTGGTCAGATGAGAGAAAAAGAGCCTGCAGCAAGGCGAGCCAGGGTGGTCCCGGGCCAGCTGAGAGTGAGCGACCCGTCAGTGAGAGAGGGCAGGGTGGGGAAAGGATTCCCAGCAGAAGGAACAGGAAGGTCAAAGACCGGGCGGGAGGCATGGGCCTGGAGTTGGAGAACAGTAAAGGGGCTGGGGAGAAATGGGCAGAGCCATAAGAAGTGAGGTGGGAGTGACTAAGGACCACAGTGAGAGCTTAGGGTTTTAAGAACAGTGAACACCCCGCTCTGCCCAGGGTACCACCCAGGGACACTCTCCCCAGTCAGAAGCCCGTCGGACTCCCTTGCTCGGACTCCAGACCACCTACAAACACCCTACTCCCATAGGCTCACAGGAATCTTCCCTGCCAGATCACACCCTTCCAAGGAAACCAAGCAGACAATCCGATCCGCCCAGGGAGTGGCCCAGCCCTGCCCAGCCCCCTGCTTCCAGGAGAGACCTAATGGCTGGCAGCGGACAATGTGGCGACCAGGGGCAGGAGCCCTGGAATCACCCAGGCCCAGCTTCGATTCTAACTCTGCCTTCAGCAGAAGCTTCTGAGCCTCATTTTTCCCGTCTGTAAAGTAGGTTCATCTTGAGCACTCACTTCACAAGATTGCAGCAGGAGTGAAATACGACCGGGCACACAGGGCGTGGAGCACAGTGTGAGCCCTCATTAAACATTAACCGACATTATGATGATTTGAGAGGCGGTCGGCCAGAGCAGGGCTCTGGGCCAGAACTCCGGAGTTAGAATCCCAGCGCACAACTTATGCATCGGGTGACCTTGTGCAAATCACTTAACCTCTTAATACCAGGTTAAGACCCCCTAAGACTATAGTGAGGACTGAATAAGCTCATACAAGTAAAGCGTTAAAAAGAGGGTCTAGCCCATAGTGTTTCATGAGTGTTTGCCATTATTATTTGTGGGAGGGTTCCCCCTTCTCCTGTCACCAGGAAGCATCTCTGACCCGGCCCCCCCCCCCCCCCCCGTCCCCCGCAATACGCCCTCCTTGGGTTTTAATTTTTGACTCTGGGAAACAGCTGCCCCGCTGTCAGATTCTCACCTTTGTACCTTCTAGGCACGCCCCAGCTTTGAACCCCTAAAAGACGCCCCCGAACCTAAAACTCATTCATCTGCTCCGCTAGGGGCAGCTTTAAACCTCCAACCTGGCGCCCCTGGGGCTGTGACCTCTGACCCTCGTGGGGGCAGCCTTCCCTCAAATTATTAACTTTGACCCTGCCTTTTTTGAGACTCGCCCAGAACCCCTCGAACGCGCCCCCACTTCGAATTTCAAACTTTGCACTCCCCTTCGCCACGCCCCCTTCGCTGGTTTGATCTCCGACCTCCACTACAACTCCCTCCAGTCTGCGTTAACCCCCGACCCCTCGGACGCGACCCTTCCCTCCACCAGTGACCTTTGACCCCGGCGGCCCCGCCCCCCTCCTCGCGGAAACGCCGTCCCGCCGCCAGCGCCCGGCCCACCGCAAGCCCCTGGCCGGACCCCTTATCCTACCGGCTCGGCGCCGCAGTCGCTCGCGGCCTAACTGCTCGACCTGGAACTCCGCGCCCTCGCGCCTCCCTCAGCTCTCTTGCACCGCCACCACCGCGGACACTCCCGCCGCCATGTTGAATCCCCAACGAACATCCGGGGCTTTCCCCCCTCACCGCCCACCAGTCCCCATAGCAACGAGGCTGACCGGGCAGTGGGCAGGGCCAGTGCGGGGGCGGAGTCGGGCGCCTCTCAGGGCCCGCTCCAGCCTCCGATTGGTACAGAGCGTCCAATCGGAGACCTTCGGGCAGAAAATGCCAAGCGGGGATTGGAAATTTTGGAAAAGGTGCGGGAAGGCTGGCTCCCGGCCCACTGAGGTCCTTAAAGGGGAAATGACTGTTTTCGTGTGATACCGATTTTCTAACTTCCCCCCCAGAAGGAGTTAGGGGCTGGGAGAAAGTAATGAGTTAATGGGCAGAAACAGTTCTTAAGCACTTACTAGGAGGCAGGCACCGGGATAAGTGTTTTACTTGCATTTTCTCGCTGCATATACAACCCTGTGGTATAATATCATTAATACCCATTTTACAGATAAAGAAACAGAGGTTCAGAGGGTGAAATAGCTGGCTTAGCATCATAGAAAGAAGGTAATGAGTTTTGAACGCTGGTCTGTCTGAGCCCGGGAACCTGAGACTGTTTGCTCTTCAATTTTTAAATAAGTTTTTACGAAGTAATTGGTCAAAATATTGAAAACAAACAGCAGACATCTTCTTTAAAAATTTTTTTAAATTTTATTTTTACTTATTTATTTGTCTTGAGATAGAGTTTCGCTCTTGTTGCCCAGGCTGGAGTGCAATGGCGCGATCTCAGCTCACTGCAACCTCCGCCTCCCGGGTTCAAGAGATTCTCCTGCCTCAGCCTCCTGAGTAGCTGGAATTACAGGCGTCCACCACCACACCCAGCTAATTTTTTGTATTTTTAGTAGAGACAGCGTTTCACCATGTTGGCCAGGTCGAACTCCTGACCTCAGGTGATCTATCCGCCTCGGCCTCCCAGAGTGCTGGGATTACACGTGTGAGCCACCAAGCTGGCCTTTTTCTTTTATTTTTAAAGAGAGAGTTTTGTTGTGTTGGCCAGGCTGGTCTCGAACTCCTGGGCTCAAACTATACTCCTGCCTCGGCCTCCCAAAGTGCTGGGATTGCAGGCGTGAGCCACTGCGCCCGGCCAGACATCTCTCCTCCTGGATCTTATTCACTGGACTCCAGCCTTCATGCTGTTCCTGAACTCTTGTCAGGTGCGCTCTCACCTCACAGTCTTTGCACTGGTTGTTCCTCTGCCTGGAACATACTCTTCCCCCAGGTATCCTTATCTCTCCCTCCCTTTTTTCAGGGCTTTACACAGATGTCACTTTCTCTGTGAACTAATTCCCTCGCTCACCCTAAGGAAAGCAGCAAACATCCCTCTCACATACTACCAAACTCTGTCTGCTTTGTTCTTATTTCTCACTCCTAATTGTAGTTATTGCTTGTTGGTTGTCTCCTCTGCTGGAATGTCAGCCCCATGACAACATGGATTTCTGTCTTTGTTCACTGCTGCATTCCCAGTGCCCCAGCACTGTTGGCATGTAGATGCTCAGTAAACATTGGTGGAAGGGCTGTTTGAATGCGTGGTAATTCCACCCCTTCAGAGATACTCTTAAATGTTTGGTGCTTCTCCTCTGCCCCAGAACAGCCACATAGTAGGCATTTAATTAATTTCTACTAATGTCGGTGGCAACAATGAATGAATGATTGAATGATGAGTTAATTTTTCTTTATGTTTACCTATCTTTTTTCTTTTTATTTGTTCATTCGTTTTTTTTTTTGTTTGTTTTGTTTTTTGTTTTTTTTTTTTTTTTTAGATAGGGGTCTTACTCTGTCGCCCAGGCGGGATTGCAGTCTGAAACTCCTGGGCTCAAGTGATCCTTCCAACCTAGCCTCTCAAGTAGCTGGGACTATAGGCATAAGCCACCACACCGGCTAATTTTCTTTCTTTCTTTCTTTTTCTTTCTTTCTTTCTCTTTCTTTCCTTCCTTCCTTCCTTCCTTCTTTCTTTCCTCTTTCTTTCGACAGAATCTCACTTTGTCACCCAGGCTGGAGTGTAGTAGCATGATCTTGGCTCACTGCAACCTCCGCCTCCAGAGTTCAAACGACTCCTGGGCGCCTACCACCATGCCCGGCTAATTTTTGTATTTTTAGTAGAGACGGGGCTTCCCCATGTTGGCCAGGATGGTCTCGAACTCCTGGTCTCAAGTGATCTGTCCGCCTTGGCCTTCCAAAGTGTTGGATTACAGGCATGAGCCACTGCACCTGGCTTGGCTAATTTTCTTAATTTTTAGTAGAGACGGGGTCTCGCTGTGTTGCCCAGGCTGGTCTTGAACTCCTGGCCTCAAACAATCCTCTCACCTTAGCCTCCCAAAGTGCTGGGATTGCAGGTGTGAGCCACCATGACTGACCCCTTTTTTCTTTTGACAGAATTGGAAACATACGTTTGTAAAGAATGTTGTGTCTTTTTTTTTTTTTTTGAGACGGAATTTTGCTCTCATTGCCCACGCTGGAGTACAATGGCATGATCTCAGCTCACTGCAACTTTTGCTTCCCGGGCTCAAGCGATTCTCCCTCCTCAGCCTCCCCAGTAGCTGAGATTACAGGCATGTGCCACCACGCCCAACTAATTTTGTATTTTCAGTTGAGACGGGGTTTCTCCATGTTGGTCAGGCTGGTCTCGAACTCCTGACCTCAGGTGATCCGCCCCGCCTTGGCCTCCCAAAGTGTTTGAATTATAGGCGTGAGCCACCACACCCAGCCTAGAATGTTGTCTTTTAAACCACAAGATTGTAAATATCACCAGTGTCTTTCCATGTCATTAAATATTCTTCAAGAAGATTAGTTTTAATGGCTGCATAAGATGCCATCCTATCAATGAACTCGAATTTGTTTAATCACTGTCCTTTTGAACATCTATGCTGTAGTACCTTGCCATTATAAATAATCCCCCTCCCTGTCATGCAAAATCCAAGCAGCTAAATATTTGTGACCATCTCTAATTATTTCCTTGTGCCTGTCTCTAATTATTGTTCCTACTACAAATGAAACTTCTGGGTCAAGGAGAAGGTGTATCTTTAAGAATTAAGAATAGTAACAGTGGCCGGGTGTGGTGGCTTCCGCCTGGAATCTCAGCACTTTGGTAGGCCGAGGCAGGCGGATCACTTGAGGTCAGGATTTCGAGACCAGCCTGGCCAACGTGGTGAAACCCCCGTTTCTACTAAGAATACAAAAAATTAGCCGGGCATGGTGGTGCACATCTGTAATCCCAGCTACTCAGGAGGCTGAGGCAGGAAAATCGCTTGAACCTGGGAGTCGGAGGTTGCAGTGAGCCGAGGTGGCAGAGGTGGCATCACTGCACTCCACCCTGGGTGACAGAGTGAGTGAGACTCTCAAAAAAAAAAAAAAGAATAGTAACAGTTCCCATGTTTCAAGCATTTCTGTGCATCAGGAAGCAGGGTGCTAAGCCATGTAATTGTAACAGCTAAAGCTGTGAATATTCATCCCTTTTCCAGAGGAGGAAACTGAGGCTCAGAGAAGTAACTTCACTTGCTCAAACTCAAGGACCAATGGGGCAAACCCAGCTTTGACTCCCGGGCACTGTTCTCATTGACTGCCCTCTGCTGCCTCCTCATGGCCTGGGACACACATTGCCAAATTGTGCTGTAGGGATCCAACTCACGCTCCCACCAGCCTTCAGAGAGAATGCGCCCTTTAAAGAATCCTTGTCAGCACTGGGGGCCAGGCGTGGTGGCTCACGCCTGTAATCCCAGCACTTTGGGAGGCCGAGGTGGGCGGATCACAAGGTCAAGAGATCGAGACCATCCTGGCCAACTTGGTGAAACCCTGTCTCTACTAAAAATACAAAAATGAGCCAGGCGTGGTGGTAGGCGTCTGTAATCCCAGCTACTTAGGAGCCTGAGGCAGGAGAATCGCTGGAATCCGGAGGTGGAGGTTGCAGTGAGCCAAGATTGCACCACTTGGCTGGGCGCGGTGGCTCACGCCTGTAATCCCAGCACTTTGGGAGGCCGAGGCGGGAGGATCATGAGGTCAGGAGTTCAAGACCAGCCTGGCTAACATGGTGAAACCCCATCTCTACTAAAAATACAAAAATTAGCCGGGCGTGGTGGCACGTGCCTGTAATCCCCGCTACTTGGGAGGCTGAGGCAGGTGAATCGCTTGAACCCAGGAGGCAGAGGTTGCAGTGAGCCGAGACCAAGCCACTGTACTCCAGCCTGGTAACAGAGCGAGACTCTGTCTCAAAAAAAAAAAAAAAAAAAAAGATTGCACCACTGCACTCCAGCCTGGTGACAGAGCAAGACCCTGTCTCAAAAATAAATAAATAAATAAATAAATAAATAAATAAATAAATAAAAATAATCCTTGTCAGCATGAAACATTCTTGTTTTTGCACTCTTTTGAAATGCTTGTGTGTCTTGCAGAATCTTCATTAAAAAAAAAAAACAAAAAACCAAGACCAGGAGCTGAGATGACAACACCTTATTCAGGTCATAGTAACGGGAGGAGGGGCAGGTGCAGCCTTTGCCTCTTTAACGCCCTGCACAAACTTCAGAGCCTTAGGTTCTAGAACTCATTTTTGGGGAAGTCCCCTTGTAACTTAGTTGGGGATTGCATCAATAGTCAGACCCCTGGAACAATCCCAGGGACAGATCTACCCCAAGGGCTTACTCAGGGTGAGCAATCAGGCCCTGCTACTCCAGGACCCTGGGAGAGGAAAATCAGACTCCAAAGAGCCTCCTACAGAAGGCTTCCCAGTGGGGATGTTGAGGAGGTGACTCTTGAGGGATGGAAAAAGGCGAGGAGGGTGAAGAGGATTTGGCTTCATAAAAATGATACATTTCAGTACATCAAGGAAAAAGATAAGTTGTGACATATGGATGGCAAGAAAAGCTTTCTGTCTTTCATATGTAAAGAACATCTGCAGATCAATAAGAGAAAAAGGTAAACATACAACAGAAAAAAACAGGCAAAGGACCTAAAATAAATAAATAAATAAATAACAGTGAATACAAAAAAATTGAATTGGTGAACAAGCAATTAATGAAATAAGTATTAAACTGAGATTTGCTTTTGGTCTCTCAGAAAAATGTTTTTAAATATTAATATATTATAATATATAATTAGTGCTGATGAGAGTACACGCCATCAGCACTCTCATACCCCACTGTGGACTGGATCTGGGCAGCTTTTTGGTGATATTTATTAAGAGACTTAATATTCCTATCTACCTCTTGATACAGCAATTCTACTTCTAGGAACTGATCTTAAAGGGAAAGAAAGACTAGTGTTGCTTTCTTTAGGAAAAAAACATAGATAAAGGTGTATATATGCAAATATTCATCATTAGTAAGTACTATTTTAATGTTTATTATAACTATTGCTTTTTATATGTAATATTATTGATGTATCATAATGTACTTGGGCCGGGCACAGTGCCTCATGCCTATAATTCCAGCACTTTGGGAGGCCAAGGCAGGCAGATCATTTGAGATGAGGAGTTCAAGACCAGCCTGGCCAATATAGCGAAACCCCAGCTCTACTAAAATACAAAAATTAGCTGGGCATGGTGGCACATGCCTGTAATCCCAGCTACTCTGGGCACTCAGGCTGGGCATGGTGGTTCATGCCTATAGCCCAGCACTTTGGGAGGCTGAGGTGGGAGGATCACTTGAGCCAGTTGGGGAGGGGGTGTGTGTGGAGGTTGCAGTGAGCTGAGATCGGCCACTGCCCTCCAGCCTGGGTGACAGAGCAAAACCCTGTCTCAAAAAAAAAAAAAAAAAAAGTACTTGAATCCCCTATTATTGGACATTTGGGTTGCTTCCAAGTTTTTCCCTACCCTCTATGCCAGACCTTCTCTAAATCCACTTTACCTACATATCTTTTGTTTTGTTTTAAAAATAGGGTCTCTCTGTCACCCAGGCTGGAGTACAATGGCTGGATCATAAAGCTCACTATAACCTCTTATTCTTGGGTTCAAGTGATTCTTCTGCCTCAGCCTCCTGAGTAGCTGGGACTCAGGCATGCGCCACCACACCCAGCTCATTTTTAAATTTTGTGTAGAGACAGGGTCTCGATATGTTGGCCAGGCTGGTCTCCAACTCCTGGCTTCATGTGATCCTCCCACTTTCACCTCCCAAAGTGCTGGGCTATAGGCATGAACCACCATGCCCTGCCTAACTACTTGATCTTATCTAATTGTCACTATTTATATTTAAAGTGGGATCTTTAGCTCCACTTAACAGATGAGGAAATTGAGGCACAGAAATAGAGTGGAAAGTAGAACAAAGTCCCACCACCTGGAAGCAACTCTGCTGGGCTTGTAACCAGGAAATCTTGATTTCAAAACTGATGCTTAAGCCGGGCGTGGTGGTCACGCCTATAATCCCAGCACTTTGGGAGGCTGAGGCAGGTGAATCACTTGAGGCCAGAAGTTCAAGACCAGCCTGGTCAACATAGTGAAACCCCATCTCTACTAAAAATACAAAAAATTTACCAGGCGCAGTGGCTCACGCCTGTAATCCCAGCACTTTGGGAGACCGAGGCGGGCTGATCACGAGGTCAGGAGATTGAGACCATCCTGGCTAACACAGTGAAACCCCGTCTCTACTAAAAATACAAAAAATTAGTCTGGCGTGGTGGCGGGCACCTGTAGTCCCAGCTACTAGGGAAGCGGAGGCAGGAGAATCACTTGAACCTGGGAGGCAGAGGTTACAGTGAGCCGAGATCGCGCCACTGCTCTCCAGCCTGGGAAACAGAGCGAGACTCTGTCTCAAAAAAAAAAAAAAAATTAGCTGGGCATGGTGGCACACTCCTGTAATCCCAGCTACTCGGGAGACTGAGGCAGGAGAATCACTTGAACCCGGGAGGCAGAGGTTGCAGTGAGCTAGATTACACCACTGCACTCCAGCCTGGGTGACAGAGTGAGACCCTGTCTCAAAAAAAAAAAAAAAAAAAAGGCCGGGCGCAGTGGCTCACGCCTATAATCCCAGCACTTTGGGAGAACGAGGCAGACGGATCACGAGGTGAGGAGATTGAGACCATCCTGGCTAGCACGGTGAAACCCCATCTCTACTAAAAATACAAAAAATTAGCTGGGTGTGGTGGCGGGTGCCTGTAGTCCCAGCTACTCAGGAGGCTGAGGCAGGAGAATGGCATGAATCAAGAGGTGGAGCTTGCAATGAGCCGAGATCTCGCCACTGCACTCCAGCCTGGGCAACAGAGCGAGACTCCGTCTCAAAAAAAAAAAATTATATCTCAATAGAGTTATATTAAAATGTTTTTAAAATGCAGTAGAATAAAATTTAGATTTTAGTTAATAATAATATATCAATATTGGTTTATCAATTTTAACAAAAGGCCATATAAATATGTTGTGTTTTTTTTTTTTTTTTGGAGACGGACTCTCTCTCTCATCAGGCTAGAGTGCAGTGGCGCAATCTAGGCTCACTGCAACCTCCACCACCCGGGTTCAAGTGATTCTTCTGCCTCAGCTTCCAGAGCAGCTGGGATTACAGGTGCACACCACCATGCCTGGCTAATTTCTTTTTGTATTTTTAGTAGAGACGGGATTTTACCATGTTGGCCAGACTGATCTCGAACTTGTAACTTCAGGTGATCTGCCCTTGTCAGCCTCCCAAAGTGCTGGGATTACAGGAGTGAGCCACCGCGCCTGGCCTACATTCTTTTTATTTTATTTTATTATTTCTTTTTTATTTAGCTAGCTAGGTAGCAAGGACGGGGAGAGTGTCTCACTTTGTTGCCTATGCTGGTCTTGAACTCCTGGCCTCAAGCGATCCTCCTGCCTTGGTCTCCCAAAGTGGTGGGATTTCAGCCCTCTTTTTAAAAATTAACAGATAAAAGTGTATGTATTTAACGTGTACAACACGATGTTTGAAGTATATATACATTTTGGGATGACTAACTCTAGCTAATTAACATATGCATTACCTCACATAACTATCATGTTTGTGTCTGCTTTATTCTTTTTTGCATGGTTTGAGTTTATATATTTTTAGCAATGAGTGTGTTGCTTTCTCACCTGAAATAAAATAAAACTATTACCATTTTTAAAATTTGCTGAAAAGAAGCACTGAAGATCTGGAGGGAGGAAGGGGCTGGGAGGAGGGACTCCTGTCCAAGGAGGGAGCCCATATAACAGAAGCCCTTGCAAAAAACTTCCAAGAGGTTTGTCTCTTTGGCTGTGTTTGTAGGATCTGCGAGTCTCCTTCTCAACTTTTTGCCCACTCCACATGCTCTATTCTCATCTCCCTCCATGTCCCCCTTGCTCAATCTTAGGATGGCCAAATTTAGCCAATAAAAATATAAGATGCAGGCCGGGCGTGGTGGCTCACGCCTGGAATCCCAGCACTTTGGGAGGCAGGAGGGTCACCTGAGCCCAGGAGTTCAAGACCAGCCTGGGAAACACAGCAAGACCCGTCCCCTACCCCTCGCCCCACACCGCTGTCTCTACAAAAAAAAAAAAAATTTAGAAAATTAACCGGGCATGGTGGAACTCACCTGTGGTCCCAGTTACTTGGGAGGCTGAGGCAGGAGGATTGCTTGAGCCCTGGACGTTGAGGCTGCAGTGAGCTGTAATTGCACCACTGCACTCCAGCCTGGGCAACAGAGCAAGACGCTGTCTCAAAAAATAAAATAAAAATAGGCCAGGTGCAGTCGGTCACACCTATAATCCCAGCACTTTGGGAGGCCAAGTTGGGTGGATTACCTGAGGTCAGGAGTTCAAGACCAGCCTAGCCAACATGGTGAAACCCCGTCTCTACTGAAAATACAAAAATTAGCCAGGTGTGGTGGCAGGTACCTGTGATCCCAGCTACTTGGGAGGCTGAGGCAGGAGAATCGCTTGAACCCAGGAAGCAGAGGTTGCAGTGAGCCAAAATTGCACCACTGCACTCTAGCCTGGACAACAAGAGTGAAACACTCCATCTCAAAAAATAAGAATAAAAGAAGAACTCATCCAGGTGCTGGGAGGGTGGTGCGCCCCAACTCCATGGGGACAGAAGCTGCTATGCTCACCCTATGCATCTCTTCATTAAAATATCCTTAGTCATAAACCTGCAAATGTAACTGTTTCCCTGAGTTCTGTGAGCCGCTCTAGCAAATAAATCGAACCCCAAGAGGGGGTCGTGGAAACCCTAACTTGAAGCTGGCCAGTCAGAAGTTCCGGAGACCCAGACATGCGGCTGGGGAGGGAGGGAGCAGTGTGTGGGACTGAACCCTCAACCTGTGGGATCTGAGGCCGTCTTTGGGTAGATGGTGTCAGAAATGAGTTGGAGGACACCCAGCTGGTGTCTGCTGCCTGGTCTGTGGAAGAACCCGCCCCCTGCGTTTGATCACAGTCTATGTTGATGATTGTTGTTGTGGTGTTTCGTTTTGTTTTGTTTTTTGAGATAGAGTCTTGCTCTGTTGCCCAGGCTGGAGTGCAGTGGTGCGATCTCGGCTCACAGCAACCTCTGCCTCCCGGGTTCAAGGGATTCTCCTGCCTCAGCCTCCCGAGTACCTGGGATTACAGGCACCTGCCACCACACCTGGCTAATTTTTGTATTTTTAGAAGAGATGGGTTTTCACCATGTTGGCCAGGCTGGTCTCCAACTCCTGGCCTCAAGTGATCCGCCTGCCTCGGCCTCCCAAAGTGCTGGGATTACAGGTGTGAGCCACCGCACCTGGCCGTTGTGGTGTGAGAGCAGAGAAAAAACACAGTTTCAAAGGTTTTCCCTTCACAGGGGGTCAATGTTTCTTTCATGGTTCTCAGTTGCCATCAACAGAAACCACTTCTGGCTGATTTGAGCAACAAAGGAGTTTAATAAATAAATACTTATTGATGAATGAATCCAGAGCCCCATGGATCCCCCAGCCTTCCCATGAGCTCTCCCCGTGGCCCTGCTTCCCTTTCTGGGACCACCCGCTACCTCCCAACCCCAGCCTGCAGCGTAGGCATCTGTGCGGCCTTTGAAAGCCTTGTGGCGGGGGACGTGGTGGCTCACGCCTATAATCCCAACACTTTGGAAGGTCAAGGCTGGCTGATTGCTTGAGTCCAGGAGTTGGAGGCCAGCCTGGGCACCATAACAAGACCCCATCTCTACAAAAAATACAAAAATTAGCTGGGTATGGTGGCACGCCTAGTAGTTCCAGAAACTCGGGAGGCTGAAGTGGGAGGATCATTTGAGCCTGGGGAGGCCAAGGCTGCAGTGAGCCATGATTGCACCACTGCACTCCAACCTGGGCGGCACAGTGAGACCCTGTCTCAAAAAAAAAAAAAAAAAAAAAGACCTTGCTCAGCTTCGCCTCTCAGAAGCTTCAGGGTCTCTGGCCCTGCAACCTGCAACTTCCTGTGCACGTCACACAGGGCAGGTGTTGCAACCAGTCCTGCGTGCCTGTCTGCTGCGCACCCAGCCACGGGGAGCTCCCGAGGGCTGAGCCTTTATCTGAGTCACCTAAGTCACTGTCATTCCTACTGATAAGCATCCCTCAGTGCCAGGCCCTGTGCTAAGCTTACCTTTATTTCTCATTCCTTCTTTCTTCCACGTAAACCATGTTTATTGAGCACCTACTATATACCAGTGACCAAGGTAACAGCAGGGGACAGAACTGGCAAAAAACAAACAAACAAAAAAACCCTGTTGTCCAGGGAGCTCACATTCTCTTGGGGGAGAAAAGGAAAAAAATAATCAAACATGTATGTATATAGTGGGTCACAAGATCTAAATGCTTTTTTTTTTTTTTTTTGAGATGGAATCTTGCTCTGTCACCCAGGCTGGAGTGCAGGTGGTGCTATCTTGAATCACTGCAACCTCTGCCTCCCAGGTTCAAGCAATTCTCCTGCCTCAGCTTCCCAAGTAGCTGGGATTACAGGTGTGCATGACCACACCCAGCTAAATTTGTATTTTTACTAGAGACGGGGTTTCACCATGTTGGCCAGCCCGATGACCTCCGGTTGGTCTTGATCTCCTTGACCTCAGGTGACCCGCCCACCTTGGCCTCCCAAAGTGCTGGGATTATAGGCATGAACCATCGCTCCCAGCCCTCAGTGTCTTGAAGGAATATAAAGCAGAGAAGGGAGATGGGAGGTGTATGGAGGGTAAAGCTGTTTTATTTTATTATTAATTATTACTTTTTTAAGAATTTATTTAATTTTTTTTTTACTTTTGAGACAGGATATCACTCTGTCATCCAGGCTGGCGTGCAGTGGTGCGATCTTGGCTCATTGCAGCCTCAACTTCCCGGACTCCAGCGATTTTCCCACCTCAGCCTCCTGAGTAGCTGGACCACAGGTGCACATCACCACGCCCAGCTAATTGTATTTTTGCTAGAGACGGAGTTTCACCATGTTGGCCAGGCTGGTCTCAAACTCCTGACTTCAAGTGATCCTCCCACCTCGGCCTCCCAAAGTGCTGGGGTTGCAGGTATAAGCCACAGTGCCCAGCCTTAGGTTTTAATTTTTGTTGGGTCCATAGTAAGTGTATGTATTTATGGGGTACATGAGATATTTTGATACAGGCATGGGGTATCCATCCCCTCAAGCATTTATCCTTTGTGTTACAACCCAATTACACTCTTTTGGTTATTTAAAAATGTACAATTATTATTGAGAATAGTCATCTTGTTGTGTGATCAAATAGTAGGTCTTATTCATTCTTTTTTTTTTAGCCCATTAACAAAACCGAGGCTGGGTGCAGTGGCTCACGCCTGTAATCCCAGCATTTTGGAAGGCCGAGGCGGGCGGATCATTTGAGATCAGGAGTTCGAGACCAGCATGGCCAACATGGTGAAACCCTGTCTCTGCTAAAAATATAAAAATTAGTCAGGTGTGGTGGCGGGTGCCTGTAATCCCAGATACTCAGGAGGCTGAGGCAGGAGAATTGCTTGAACCCAGGAGGCAGAGTTTGCAGTGAGCCGGTATCTCACCCTTACATTCCAGCATGGGCGAAAAAGCAAGACTCCGTCTCAAAAAACAAAAACAAAAACAAAAAAAGCCCATCCCCTGCAGCCTCCCAGCACCCTTCCCAGCCTCTGGTCACCATCCTTCTAACTCGCCGTGTCCATGACATCGTTTTGATTTTTAGCTCCCACAAATGAGTGAGACCATGCGAGGTTTGTCTTTCTGTGCCTGGCTTATTTCACCGAACCTGATGACCTCCGGTTAGGTGGAGCTGTTTTAAACAAGAGGGTCAGGGAGGGTGGCACTGAGCAAAGGCCTGAGGGGGGGATAAAGGGAGTCATACAGATCCCTGGGGGAACAGTGTCCCCGGCAGAGGGAACTGCCAGTGCAAAAGTGGGTGGGGAGTCCAATGCAGAGGCCAGTGTGGCTGCAGCAGAGTGGGCGAGGGGGGTGATTGGAGGGGGTGAGGACACAGGGGTGACAGGGGCAGATCGTCTGGGGCCTCGTGGACCTGAGACGGAGCCACAGGAGGGCTCTGAGCAGGGGCGGATGTGATCTGATGCAGGTGTTCACAGGTGCCTTTGGTTGTGTGTGGGGAACAGACTCCCGGGAAAAGGAGGGAGCAGGAAGTCCAAGGAGTCTGTAGGAAATGAGTGTAGACAGGACCAGGGTGGGGGCTTTGGGGGTGCCAAAAGCGTAGAGAGTCTAGATCGAGCTGGGCGCAGTGGCTCACACCTGTAATTCTAGCACTTTGAGAGACCAAGGCAGGTGGATCACCTGAAGTCATGAGTTTGAGACCAGCCTGGCCAACACTGTGAAACCCCATGTTTACTAAAAATACAAAAATTAGCCAGGTGTGGTGGCAGGCTCCTGTAATCCCAGCTACTTGGGAGGCTGAGGCAGGAGAATTGCTTGAACCCAGGAGGCAGAGTTTGCAGTGAGCCGAGATCACACCACTGCACTCCAGCCTGGGCGAGAAGAGTGAAACTCCATGTCAAAAAAAAAAAGAGTCTAGATCGATTTCGAAGGCAAGGCAAACAGGATTTTCCAGATACTTGGATGTGGAGCATGAGAAAAAGAGGAATCAATATCGATCCCAAGGCTTTCAATCTCATTTAACCCCAAGGCAGCCTCACAGAGTATTATCATTCTTGGGTTATAGATGAAGAAACAGAGATTCAGAGAGGGTTGCCGACTTGCCCATGGTCACACAGGAATTGGTGGGGCTGGGATTTGAACCAGTTTCTGTTTGACTCCAGTGTCTGACCTCTGCCCTCTGTGGAGGTTGCCACCTCCCGGCATGTCCACAGCCTCACCCAGCCCGGGACAGGGCATGCCAGACCCACACAGGGCACCAGTTCAGTCGGCGGCCACAGCACTCCATGACCGTCCAGCTTGTGACCTCACCGTCTTGGCCCGGCCCGCCACGGGATTCTCTTACTGCTCATCACCTGTGTTGAGTAACCGTGTTTCCCTGCCTGCCTGCGAGCTCCCAGAGGGCATGACTGTAGCTGATTCATCGCTGTCCCTGGCATTGCCCGGCTGGAGCCTGGCATGTGGTGGCCTTCATTAAGGCAATCAATATTTATTAAGTATCTATCTTGTGCTGGGCAATGCTGGGACGCAGCTCTGGGCCCCATCCCTCTGAGGTTGAAGTCCAGTGGGGGAGTCAGAGAGACCCATCCCCAAACGGTGATGGCCTAGAATGCGCAGGACTGGAACTAGCGGGGAGCCCAGAGTCCCCAATCCAGCCCAAGAAGGGGCCTGGGAGGATTTGGCAGAGGCGTTGAACTCATGGTCACCACCCTCACAGACTTAGCTTTACGGGTGTAAACAGCCAATGAACAAGTTAACCAATCAAGGAAAGAATTGCAGATCGAAGTAAAACGGGGGTGGGGCAGGCAGCAACACAGGCTACTTTAGCTGGGGTCAGCAGGGAAGGCCTCTGAGGAGGGGACACCGAGTCTGAGACCTGAGGTTGAGAAGGCGCCAGCCTGGGATGAGCTGGGGAGAGGGCACACAGGGGGCAGACAGCCAGCGCCCAGGCCCCGCAGTGAGAAAGAGCTGGCTGTGTTCCAGGAACGGCAAGGAGTCCTGCGTGCCTTGGGCCAAGTGAGGGGCGGGTGGGAGGGAATGAAATCTGTGGAGGCAGAAACCGCGCCCCATGACGGGGGAATAGATAGATCTCAGGTCATCTGGCAGGGCTGGGAGCCCGCAGGCCCTGGGGCAGCTGTCAGCCCTGGGGCCTTTGCCTGTGACTCGTGGAGTCCGATCACTTCCTTCACCTGCTCAGAGCCTCCCCTGGCTCCACCCAAAGTCCTCACCGTGGCCTGTAAGGCTCCATACAAGCCATCCCCACCACTGCCCTGTCCTCAAGCTTGGTCTCCCTCTCACTCTCCCTGCTCCAGCCACAGTGGCCTCCTCGTGGACACTCCAACAGGGCAGGCACGTTTCTTTGTTTATTTTTCTCTTTTTAAAACTTTTTTATTTATATATATTTTTTGAGACAGGGTCTTGCTCTGTTGCCCAGGCTGGGGTGCAGTGGCGCAATCATGGCTCACTGCAGCCTCAACCTCCTGGGCTCAAGCCATCCTCCCGCCTCAGCCTCCTGAGCAGCTGGGACTACAGGCACACACCACCATGCCCAGCTAAATTTCATATTTTTGGTAGAGAAAGGGTTTCGCTGTGTTGCCCAGGCTGGTCTCAAACTCCTGGGCTCAAGTGATCTGCCCGCCTCGGCCTCCCAAAGTGCTGGGACTACAGATGTGAGTTACTGTACCCAGCCGGCCAGGCACATTTCTGTCTCAGGGCCTTTGCACTGGCTGTTCCTCTGCCTGGAATGCTCTTCCCCCAGATGTCTGCCCACTTGGCTCCTTCCCCACCTCCTTCAGATCAAATGTTGCCCTCTCAGTGAGATCCCCCTGAAAATTGAAACTGCTCTCTCACCGTCCCTGCGTTTTCTACTCACAAATCGCTATTTAACCAACTCATTTATCGTGATTTTTGTCCAACTCTCTGGTTAGGATGTCAGCTCTGTGAGGGCCGAGATCTCTGTCTCATTCACAGCTGTCTCTCCAGCACTGAGAACAGAGCCTGGCACATGGTAGATGCTCAATAAATTATGATTCAATAAATAAAAGAAGGGAAAGAAAGGAAGGAAAGAGGGAAGGAACTGGCAAGTCTGTGGCTCTTGCGGTTTGTCATCTGTCCTAGCTAGGAGGCAAGAGTGTTAACACGTCTCCTCTTCCCGAATAAGATGGTGCCAGGCTGGGAAACTGAGGCATGAAGGGACTCTTCATAGCAGTCCTGGAGCAGTGAAGAAGGAGCCAGGCTTCAGACCAACTCTCAGTGCCGGGCTCAGAAGAAAAAGCCCCTGACGCCACCTGCTGGTGAGTAGTGTCATGACGGTTGTGCCCACCTGGCGATGCCCTTGCCAGGTGGGCAGGAGAGGAGGAAGCCCAGCGGCATCCCCCGCAGATGTGCAGAATCCATGGAGCCAGAGCTTAAGCCTCTTCATTCCTGAAGCCCCGTGGGCACCTCGCCCGATCAGAGCTATGCAGGAGGGTGGGGCCCTGCCAGCAGAAACCTGCCGTGTGTCACTCTGTGCCCGCACACCTGCCCTCCCTCCACAGCCAGCCAGGACTCCCACCTCTCCAGGAGGGAACAGCTGCCCCAGCTCCATAGGGCTGCATGTACCCTACATGGGGCCTCTGGAGGGCAGGGGAGTCAGGGCCCACCCAACTCCCCACCCAGGCCTGGGCAGTTTCTGGTCACAGCAGCCAAGGCGGCAAAACCTAGGCTTCTGGAGGAGAGCTGCCGCCATCCCTAGAGGTACATCCTCCGGCCAAACAGGGGTCTCACCACCCAGACATCATCTACGATCTTCCCATCCTGTGAGGGACAAAAACAGGGACAGTAGTTAGAGCTGAAAGCCTGAACTCTGGGGCCACATGGCCTGGGTTCCAGTCCCCTCTCTGCCCTCTGATGGGCTGTACAACCCTGAGCAAGTGGCTAGGCCTCTCTGGGCCTCAGTTTTCCTCATCTGAAAAGTGATAGGAAGAGTAACAGTACCCACATCATAGATGTTGTGGGAGTTAAATGAGATAGTATTTGTAAACAGAGCCCAGCATATGGAAAGGGCTATGTAAGTGTAGGCTATTATTAGAGCACAAACTCTGGAGTCAGACAGACCTTGCTTTATATTCCAGCACATCCACTCTTTCTCTCTCTCTCCTTTTTTTTTTTTTTTTTTTTTTTTAGACAGAGTCTTGCTCTGTCACCCAGGCTGGAGTGCAGTGGCAACCTCCGCTTCCCAGGTTCAAGCCATTCTCCTGCCCCAGCCTCCCAAGTAGCTGGGATTACAGGCATGCACCACCATGCCTGGCTAATTTTTGTATTTTTACTAGAGACAAGGTTTCACCATGTTGGCCAGGCTGGTCTCGAACTCCTGACCTCAAGTGATCCGCCTGCCTCAGCCTCCCAAAGGCATGAGCTGCTGCACCTGGCCAGCGCATCCACCCTCTAGGTGGCCTTAAGCATGTTGCTGGACTCTCTGAGCAAAACTTCCATGTTCTATGCAATGCACAAAGTAATAGATGCCCAGAGTCATCATGAGAACAGAGTGAGATCATGCACACAAAAGTCTGCGCCCGGTGCATGTGCCACTCGATAAATGGTAGCTATCAGATCCCAGCTTGGCCGTCCTCCAACTGTGTGACCCTGGGAAAATTACTTCCCCTCTCTGAGCCTCAGTTCCCTCACCTATAAAATGGAGAGGAAATCCACTCCTGTGGGATTGTTTTGGTGTATAAAGTGCTACTGGGGCCGCATGCGGTGGCTCATGCCTGTAATCCCAGCACTTTGGGAGGCCCAGGTGGGTGGATCACCTGAGGTCAGGAGTTCAAGACCAGCCTGGCTAACATGGTGAAACCCCATCTCTACTAAAAATACAAAAAATTAGCCGGGTGTGGTGGCATGTGCCTGTAATCCCAGCTACTCGGGAGGCTGAGGCAGGAGAATTGCTTGAACCTGGGAGGTGGAGGTTGCAGTGAGCTTAGATTGCACCACTGCACTCTAGCCTGGGCGACAGGGTGAAACTCTGTCTCAAAAACAAATAAATAAATAAAGTGCTACTAAATGCAGAGCATCTAGGCAGTGCCTGGTATGCAGTAGGTGCTCAATAAATCATAAATATTGTCATTATTTTAAAACTACAATGGCAAAAATAAAGAAAGGTGAGCCATTATTATTTGGATCCACCTAACCTTAAGCCACCTGTACCACATACTCATCTTATTGTTTTCCCCTACCTGTGTCCCACCCCCCATCTTTATCTTCCCCTGCCTCACAATGGTAAATACCTACAGAATTTACCAAGTTCCGCACTCTTCTAAGCATTTTATATATAATAAGTCCTTCAACCCCCATGTAGTCCTGTGAGGTGGAAACTATGATTATCCCCTCTCACAGATGGGAAAACTGAGGCAAAGAAGTTAGATAAGTGGGCCCAGCACAGTGGCTCACACCTGTAATCCCAGCACTTTGGGAGGTTGAGGCAGGCAGATCACCTGATGTCAGGAGTTCGAGACCATTCTGGCCAACACAGTGAAACCCTGTCTCTACTAAAAATACAAAAAATTAGCCGGGTGTGGTGGTGGGCGCCTGTGATCCCAGCTACTCGGGAGGCTGAGGTAGGAGAATTGCCTGAACCTGGGAGGTGGCGGTTGCAGTAAACCAAGACTGCACCACTGCATTCCAGCCTGGGTGACAGAGCGAGACTCCATCTCAAAAAAAAAAAAAAAAAATTAGATGAGTGACTCAAGGTCACTCAGCTGGTAAGCAGCAGGAGCAGGTTTCTAGTTCTACAGTCCACATTTGTTCGTTTTTTTGTTTTGAGTTAGGGTCTCACTCTGTTGCCAAGGCTGGAGTACAGAGGCGAGATCATAGCTCACTGCAAACTCTAACTCCTGCACTCAAGTGATCCTCCTGCCTCAGCCTCCCAAGTAGCTGGGACTACAGACATCTGCCACCACACTTGACTAATTTTCCTTTTTTTTCCAAGACAGAGTCTCACTCTGTCTCCCAGGCTGGAGGGCAGTGGTGCCATCTTGGGTCACTGCAAACTTCACCTCCCAGATTTAAGTGATTCTCCTGCCTCAACCTCCCTTGTAGCTGGGATTACAGGCACCCGCCACCATGGCCAGCTCATTTTTGTATTTTTAGTAGAGACGGGGTTTCACCATGTTGGCCAGGCTGGTCTCTAACTCCTGACTTCAAGTGATCTGCCCACCTCAGCCTCCCAAAGTGCTGGGATTTCAGGTATGAACCACCGCACCTGGCCTAATTTTTTTTTTTTTTTTTTTTTTGAGACAGAGTCTTGCTCAGTCGCCCAGGCTGGAGTGGTGCGATCTCGGCTCACTGCAAGCTCTGCCTCCCGGGTTCACGCCATTCTCCTGCCTCAGCCTCCCGAGTAGCTGGGACTATAGGCACCTGCCACCACGCCTGGCTAATTTTTTTTGTATTTTTAGTAGAGAAGGGGTTTCACCATGTTAGCCAGGATGGTCTCGATCTCCTGACCTTGTGATCCGCCTGCCTCGGCTTCCCAAAGTGCTGGAATTACAGGCATGAGCCACCGTGCCTGGCCATTTTTTGTATTTTTTGTAGAGACTAGGTCTCACCATGGTACCCAGGCTGGTCTTGAACTCCTGGACTCAAGCGATCCTCATACCTTAGCCCCACCAAATTGCAGGTGTTGCAGGCATGAGCCACTGCGCCCGGCCGAGCCCACGTTTTTAACAGCTCATTTGCTTGGAGGGGCCTGGCTGTACAGTCAGGTGACTTCGGCCTGCCCCTCACTGACCTGGTCGTCCGACACCTGCTGGATGTGGATGTGGGTCCCGTTGAGGATGTGCAGCCGCGTATACCCGTACTCCTTCACACGCACGGCACTCCAGGGCCTCGGGAAGACAGCAAAGGGCGTCAGCCGCTCCTCACAGCCCTGGGGCGGGGAGAACTGATCAGACCCAGAGCAGGTGGAGGACCCGCGGGGAAGCAGAAATGACCTGCTAGCCCAGGACCCTGCTGCCCTCAAGGAAGACAGTGAAGACTTGACCACCATAGAGGCCGGGCGCAGTGGCTCATGCCTGTAATTCCAGCACTTTGGGAGGCCAAGAAGGGCGGATCACTTGAGGTCAGGAGTCAGAGACCAGCCTGGCCAACATGGTGAAACCCTGTCTCTACTAAAAATACAAAAATTAGCCTGGTGTGGTGGTGGGCACCTGTACTCCCACCTACTTGGGAAGCTGAGGCAGGATAATTGCTTGAACCCAGGAGGTGGAGGTTGCAGTGAGCCGAGATTGTGCCACTGCATTCCAGCCTGGGAGACGGAGTGACACTGTCTCAAACAAAAACAAAAACAAAAAGACTTGGCCACAATAATACTCACAATTGAACAATTTGTCCCAGGCAGGCTTCCCTTGCTCCGGGTCTCTGACTTCTAGAAAAGTACACGGCTGTGTAAGGCTGCCCACTACAGCATTACAGTGAAAGCCCTGAACTGGAAGCCATCCCAACGCCCATCAGGGAGTCAGTTAAATACATTATAGCACAGCCATCGCAAAGCAGGGAAGCGGGGTGATACAGAAAGATGGCCAAGATGTGTGTGAAGGAGAAAAAGCAATTTGAAGAACAGAGAAATCACTGGATCTGAAGCCTGGCTGCACAGTAGACCCTCCAAGAAAGCTTTTTAAAACAACAGCGCCTGGGGAAACAGAATGCTCGTGCTTGCAGCAGAAAAGCCAGGCATGAGGAGCAGAGAGGATGCCAGGGTGAGGAAAATCACCATTTTGCACCCAGCATTATAGTACTGGATTGAAGCAAGGATCATGAATGGATGATAAAACTAGCAGGGAAAGTTTGAGGCATAACAGGATGTTTGCATAGTCTCAAAGTATCTCTCCAGGAGATGCTTGTTAATTACAAAGGAAAAAAGAGAGTCACTTTATGGTGGAGATGGCTGGCTGATACCTCCCTAACCAAGTGATCAAAGTAAGCATCATCAGTAATGAGACCCATCCGTACCACACTTTCAGCTGAGAAATCAGAGGCTCAAAGAGGTTAAAAAGACATCGTGCAGCCGAGCACAGTGGCTCACGCCTGTAATTCCAGCACTCTGGGAGGCCGAGGCGGGCAGATTGCTTGAGCCCAGGAGTTCAAGACCAGCCTGGGCAACATGGCGAAACCCTGTCAATACAAAAATTAGCTGGGCGTGGTGGTGCATGCCTGTAATCCCAGCTACTCAGGAGGCTGAGGTGGGAGAATTGCTTAAGCCTGGGAGGTCCAGGCTGTAGTGAGCCGAGATTGTAACACTGTACTCCAGCCTTGGGGACAGAGTGAGATCCTAACTCAAAAAAGACACCATGCGCCTCCTTGCAGGATGTATTGGGAAGAACACAGTATCTGTTTTGTGTATTCTTAGCAAAGATGCACAACTTCTATCTAATCATGAGCAGACATCAAACAAACCCAAAGGAAATTCCACAAAACAACTCGCTGTGCTTTTCAAAATTGTCAAGGTCATGAAAAATGAAGAAAGAGTAGAGAATGTTTCTGATGAAAGGAATGAAAGAGACGCCGGGCACAGTGGCTCATGGCTGTAATCCTAGCACTTTGGGAGGCCGAGGCGGGCAGATCACGAGGTCAGGAGTTCGAGACCAGCCTGGCCAACACGGTGAAACCCCCGTCTCTACTAAAAATACAATAATTAGCCGGGCGTGGTGACGTAAGCCTGTAATCCCAGCTACTCAGGAGGCTGAGGTGGGAGAATCGCTTGAGCCTGGGAGGCAGAGGTTGTGGTGAGCCGAGATCACGCCAATTGCACTCCAGCCTGGGCAACAATAGTGAAACTGTGTCTCAAAATAAATAAATAAATAAATAAAAGTGGTTAAATGTTCATATTTGGGAAATATTGGTGAAGTGGATATGGAAAGTCCTTGTATTGTTAGCGCAACTTTTCTGTTGGTCTGAAATAATTTCAATTTATTTTTTCTTTTTTATTTTTGAGACAGAGTTTTGCTCTTGTTGCCCAGGCTGGAGTGCAATGGCACGATCTCGGCTCACTGCAACCTCCGCCTCCTGGGTTCAAGCGATTCTCCTGCCTCACCCTCCTGAGTAGCTGGGATTACAGGTGCCCACCACCATGCCCGGCTAATTTTTTGTGTTTTAAGTAGAGACGGGGTTTTGCCATGTTGGGCAGGCTGATCTCAAACTCCTAACCTTGGGTGATCTGCCCGCCTCAGCTTCCCAAAGTGTTGAGATTACAGGCGTAAGCCACCGCGCCCGGCCTCAAATTTCTTAATTAAAGAAAAAAACCAATTTGTGCTGATAAAATCAGAATAGCAATCACCCATGGGCAGAGCCTGGCTGCCAAGGGCCGTGAGAAGCCATCTGGTGCTCACAGCATTCTATTTCATGCTCCGTGTGGCAGCTACTCTGGGAGATCAATGCCAGGGATTCTGGTATTTTGTCCGGGGTCAGGCCCAAGCACTGGACTTTTGAAAGCTCCATAGGTAATTCTGATGTGCACCAAGTTTGAGAACCACTAGGGCATGACCCACGATCTAAGTGCTTTTTTTTTTAAGTAAGCAATACAGTAACATGTCTCTATCTAAACAATTACTCCTTTGTATATGCAGAGAACATTGTAAAATGCCTAAAAAGAGTCAACAACCGAGAGTGGGGCAATGTGTGGTGTGAGTGGCTTCTGTTCACCTCCTGCCCTCTGTAACTGTTTGAATTTTTATTACAAGTGATTCTTACTTTTATATATATGTATACATATATATAATGATAATAATAATTATTATTTTACCAGAAACAGGGTTTTGTCATGTTGCCCAGGCTGGTCTCGAACTCCTAGACTCAAGCGATCCACCCACCTCAGCCTCCCAAAGTGCTGGCATTACAGGCATGAGCCACCGCACCCAGCCTCACTTTGCTCTTAATCATTTGTAAGAAGCAGCTTTGGAAGGCCGAGCTGGGGGATCACTTAAGCCCAGGAATTCGAGACCAGCCTGGGCAACATAGTGAGACTGTCTCTATTAAAAACATTTTTGTTTTTGAGATGGGGTCTCGCTCTGTCCCCAGGTTAGAGTGCAGTAGCACAGTCTCAGCTCATTGCAGCTTTGACTTCTTGGGCTCAAATGATCCTCCCATTTTGGCCTCCCAAGTAGCTGGGACTACAGGTGTGCACCACCACGCATGGCTAAATTTTGTATTTTTTGATAGCGATGGGGTTTCACCATGTTGCCCAGACTGGTCTGAAACTCCTGACCTCAAGTGACCTGCCTGCCTCAGCCTCCCAAAGTGTTGGGATTATAGGCGTGAGCCACTGCATGTGGCCAAAATTTTTAAAATTAAATTAAAAAATTAAAAAACTAAGCCTCGCTCCATGGAGAAGGGGTAGATTCTAAGGCTGAGCAAAAAAAAAAAAAAAAAAAAAAAAACACATGATGATCCTGGAATGTTTTGAAGTGCCAGAGAATAAGGAGGGGATGAGTGGAAAGGAGACAGGAGCCCACTGATGGCCAAAGCTGGCACAACTTAAACATCCAGATAAATAACACTCATGTTGGATAATAACCCGCAGAGTAAAATAAATTACCCATGAGTTCACACGGACATAAATAAACAATTAACCAACTGAACAAATGTGGCAGAAGACACAAGTCAGCCTTGCAAGAGGATCTCAATTCGTAAATCTTGGAAGAGTGAGGGCGACAGAAAATCCCCATTAGAATGGCACTGTAAGGCCGGGCACAGTGGCTCTTGTCTGTAATCCCAGCACTTTGGGAGGCCGAGGTGGGCTGATCACCCGAGGTCCGGAGTTTGAGACCAGCCTCGCCAGCATGGTGAAACCTCATCTCTACTAAAAATATAAAACTTAACCGGGCATGGGGGTGGGCACCTGTAATCCCAGCTACTTGAGAGGCTGAGGCAAGACAATTGCTTGATCCCGGGATGTGGAGGTTGCATTGAGCCGAGATCGTGCCACTGCACTCCAGCCTGGGTGACAAGAGTGAAACTCCGTCTCAAAAAAAAAGAAAGAAAGAAGGAAGGAAGGAAGGGAGGGAGGAAGAAAAGAAAGAAAGAAAGAGAGAGAGAGAAAGAGAGAGAGAGAGAAAGAAAGAAAGAAAGAAAGAAAGAAAGAAAGAAAGAAAGAAAGAAAGAAAAGTCTTCATTGGAACAGCTTAGTAATAACTGTTAACAGGCAGCGTCCACTAATGGGTTTGAAAATAAGAGGGTGAAAGTTTGAGGAGAAACAGGACATTTGGGCCAGGCAAACCTGTAATCCCAGCACTTTGGGAGGCCGAGGCAGGCAGATCACTTGAGGTGAGGAGTTTGAGACCAGCCTGGCCAACGTGGTGAAATCCCATCTCTACCAAAAGTACAAAAATTAGCCGGAAATCTCTTGAACCAGGAGGCGGAGGTTGCAGTGAGCTGAGATCATGCCACTGAACTCCAGCCTGGGCAACAGAGCAAGACTCCGTCTCGAAAAAAAAAAAAGAAACATGACATTTGCATGGTCTAACAGGATCTCCCCCAAGATAGTTTTTTTGTTGTTGTTTAGATATGGGATCTTGCTTTGTCACCCAGGCTAGAGTGCATTGGTGCGATCATAACTCATTGTAGCCTCAAACTCCTAGGATCAAGCAATCCTCCTGCCTCAACCTCCCAAAGTACTGGGATTACAGGAATGAGCCACTGCACCTAGCCACCCAGTATCTTTTGTGTGTGTGTGTGTGTGTGTGTGTGTGTGTGTGTGTGAGAGAAAGGGTCTCATTTTGTTGCCCAGGCTGGAGTGCAATGGTGAGATCTCAGCTCACTACAGCCTTGACCTCCTGCACTCAAGCAATCCTCCTGACTCATCTTTTTGAATAGCTAAAATTACAAGCAAGCACCACCTCGCCCAGCTAATTTCTTTTTTAATTTTTTTTTTTTTTTTGTATAGACAAGGTTTTGCTGTATTTGCCAGGCTGGTCTCCAACTCCTGGCCTCAAGTGATCCTCCAGACTCGGCCTCCCAAAGTGCTAGGATGACAGGCATGAGTCATTGTGCCTGGACCTCCATGGTAGTTATTAATTAAAAAGGGAACTAGAGTAACTTTATGGTGGGGGAGCTCCCAACCTCTGCCACTTATTTGACCTGCGACTTTGAGCAAGTATTTTCCTGTCTGTGCCTCTGTTCCTACATCCGTCCAATGAACATACCGCTAGGAGTTCCCGACCTTAGGGCTGAGGGTTAAGTGATATCCACTATATAAAGCACCCAGCACTCAGTCTGGAACAAAGTTAGCCCTCCATAGATAGGAATAGAGAGAGAAGGCAAAGCCACCCTTCCCCCTGCTCACAGCAGATCCTGTGATGATGTGGACAGGCCCTCGCGGGTTGGTGTAGGGCATCTCTCGGCTGCCGTTAAATACCTGGGGAAGGGAACAACGTTGGGTGGCAGGCAGTCACTCGAGGCCATGCCTGGGCCTTCTGACCACCCTGACCCCAGCTGTGTGGGCGCTCAGCCCTTCACGTGCCTCACCTGGTAGTTGTAAATTGGCCACAGTCGTTCATACGAGTGCTCATGAGCCCACAGCTGCAGATCCACTCCTGAGATAGAGCAAGCGGGGATCAGACCTCTGAATTGGGGAGAGGTGGGGTGTGGGGCATGGGTCCTGAGGGTCGCTCACCATATTTGTAGAAAAGATCCTCCAACCCGTACAGCTTGCCTTGGAGGCCTTTGCGGACCTGGGCAGGGTGAATGAGCGGGTGAGGGTGACGCAGACTGACGCCCACCTGGCTTTCAGCATGTCCCCACTGTCTCCCAGGGAGGGACCTCACCTTGCTTTCATGTCGTGTGCAGTCGTCCAGATCTGCGTTGGAGCAGTACATGGGCCGGTGCCCCATAGTGATGATCCACGGCCGGGCTGCCCGGTTCTTATTGGCTTTCTAGGGAGAAGGGCCCAGGGTGAGGGGCTAGGAGTCAGGGGTGGAGGGGGAGGTGGGGCTGGCCAGGGGACTATAGGGGCCTCCACCCAGGTTACCTGGAGGTCGCTCTCCAGCCAGCGAAACTGCCTCTGTACCAAGTGGCGGCCATAATGGAGAAAGAAATAGACCTCGGTGGAGAAGGAGATGATGTGGGCGGGACCCAGATCCCAGCTGGAGGAGTCAAAGGGCAGGGGTCAGGGACCAGGGCTCCCCTGCATCTCCCATCCTTCAGGGGAGAGGGCCAGTCCCCCAGCACCCCCACATTACCTGTACCACAGGCCCTCATTATCCCCCGGCATGCTGAAGCGAGCCTTGTAGTTAGAGAAGTTGCTGGAATAAAGGAAGTACAAGGGATGGAGGTGAAGGACTGAATTTCATAGCCCTACTCCTATACCCCGCCACTGTCAGGCCCTGAGTCCAGCTTCCAGCCCACCCCCATCTCCTCTTGCTACCACAATTGAAATGTTGCAGCATGAGAGACTCAAGGGAGACACTAAGAAGAACGAGACCATTTCCATTGATCCAGCCCTCGCCCACCGCCACCACCCTCAGTCCTCACTAGCGTTCTTCATGATTCCCAGGGCATGTCATGTACGGCAGGCTGGCAGCCACGGGTTCAATGAGCCGCATGAACCTATCCCCAACACGGGCGTTGTCCTGATCCAGGTTGTAGGCAAAGTCTCCTGGGGGAGGGGGCGGAAGGAGGGTGAGGACCCAGGCCCAGCTCTGCTTTCACTGGAATTGAGAGAGCCAGGTATGGTGACTCACACCTGTTAATCCCAGCGCTTCGGGAGGCCAAGGCAAGAGTATCACTTGAGCCCAGGAATTCAAAACCAGCTTCCCAAAGTGCTGGAATTACAGGTGTGAGCCACTGTGCCGGGCCAAGATGGGCACTTTTTTTTTTTTTTTTTTTTTTTGAGACAGAGTCTCCCTCTGCTGCCCAGGCTGGACTGCAGTGGTGCCATCTTGGCTCACTGCAACCTCTGCCTCCTGGGTTCAAGCGGTTCTCCTGCCTCAGCCTCCCAAGCAGCTGGGATTACAGACACTTGCCACCACACCTGGCTAATTTTTGTAGTTTTAGTAGAGATGGAGTTTCACCATGTTGGCTGGGCTGGTCTCGAACTCCTGACCTCAAGTGATCCACCCACCTTGGCCTCACAAAGTGCTGGAATTACAGGCATGAGCCACTGCGCCTGGCCCAAGATGAGTATTATTATTATTATTCCCATTTCAGATGGGGAAACTGAGGCCCCAGGTCACACAGCTGGCTAGTGAAGATGTAGAAATAAAACCTAGGGAGCCTGATTCCAGAGTCTGCACTTTGAAGCACACAATCCCCAATCCCCATTACCCATCTAATTCCCTTCCCCCTCTTAAATAACAACAGCAGCAATAATAATAATAACCAGCACAAGGACACCGAAGTGCACCTGCACCCTGCGAGGCAAAGCGAACTAACGTAGTCATCACAACAGTCCTGCGAACTCGGAACCAGCTTTCTCTCTAATCAAAATATACGGGGGAAAACCCCTGCTCCTGGCAAGAGCGCCAGAGTTGGGATTTTAACCTAGGCAGGCTGGTTGGCCACAGACACCGTCTCCGTAGCCAGTCTCATCCCCTGTCCCTTCAGAGACACACTGGCCCCAGCCCTGTCCCCTCCACGGTCCTAGCACCGCCCCCGACCCGCGCGCCCCCGACCCGCGCGCCCCCCACCATCCCTGCGCGCGCCCCCCACCGTCCCTGCGCGCGCCCCTGCGGATGCCTCACCCACATGGAGAACGGCGTCATACATGCCCTGCTGGGTGTCCCTGCGCAGCCGGGGGACGGCCTTCGGGTTGTCAGCCCCCAGGTCTCCAAACACAGCCAGACGGGGACTCCAGTGGGCCCCATTCTTGAGGGCCCTGAAGCGGAACCGACGGCTCCAGCCCTGCGCACTGCCACAGCGATAAACTGAATGGGAGAGGAAAAGGTCGCAGTCAGCTGGGGCGCCCCGGGACCCTCCCTCCAACCCCATCCTTCCCCGACTGGTGGAGGGGAGGAGATGGGGGGACTGGTGGGGGCTGGCCCATGCCCCTTCGGTCTGCCTTCCCCGGCACCTTCCGTTTTCATCCTGGGGTCTCATACAACAGGCTTGCAGATAGGCAGTGGAGTTACCAGCCCAGCCTGAGCCACCGGCCAGTGGTAGCTTCTAGTCTGCATCCCACTCCTCTTCCCACTCCTCCTCAACAGCTCAGCCTGGGGCCCCTCTCACCATACTGAACCCCTGGCAGCAGCTTGCGAAGCGTGACTCGGTGTATGTAGAGCTTCCGCCGGAGAATGCCCCCGTCCACAAAGGGGACGAAGGTGCCCTGGGCGCGGAGGGGCAGGGGCCCCGACGGCTGCAACCCGAATTGCACTTCAGAGCGGGTTGGGACCCATGTGGTCCAAGTTACAGTCATGGAGCCTGGCTCACCTGGGGAGAAAGGGACAGAGGGTAGACCGGGAGTGAAGCCTGGGCAGGGTGGGAGGGATATGCAGAAAAAGTGAGGGGCGTTGACCACTGTTGAACAGTTAGTGGTTAAGGACACAGGTTCTGGAACTGCCCAAGTTCAATCCCAGCCCCGCCATTTCTTTTCTTTTCTTTTCTTTTCTTTTTTTTTTTTTTTTTTTTTTTTTTGAGTCAGGGTCTTACTCTGCCTCCTAGGCTGGAGTACAGTGGTGCAATCTCAGCTTACTGCAATCTCTGCCGCCTCGCAGGTTCAAGCGATTCTCCTGCCTCAGCCTCCCGAGTAGCTGGGATTACAAGCATGTGCCACCATGCCTGGCTAATTTTTGCATTTTTAGTAGAGATGTAGTTTTGCCATGTTGGCCAGGCTGGTCTTGAACTACTGACCTCAGGTGATCCACCCACCTTGGCCTCCCAAAGTTCTGGGATTACAGGCATGAGCCAGCTCTGCCATTTCTAAGCTGAGCTTTCCTGGGGCACATCACTTCACCTCTCTGAGCCTCAGTTTTCCTGTCTGTAAAATGGAAAAATAATAGTCTCTGCCCTATATGGTTGTTATGAGGCTTAGATGAATAAATATAAATAAAGCACGTGAAACAGTACCTAGTACACTTAGGGTTATATGCGGGAATGAGTATTATTATTAATATCATTATTTACTGTGTGCAGGTCTTGTGCCAACTATTGTACACACATGATATCATTTAAGGGTTGCCAGCTTGGGTGTCTGGAGGCCAAGACTGTAGACCCTGCCCTATCTCAAAGGGGCAGCCATCACTCAGATCTGGCAATAGCCACAAAGCAAGCAGGAAACGGGCCCAGTACCAGCAAAGCTATTGACTTTTTTTTTTTTTTTCTTAGAGATAGGGTCTCACTCTATTGCCCAGGCTGGAGGTGCAGTGGTGCCATCTTAGCTCACTGCAGCCTTGGCCTCCTGGGCTCAAGCGATCCTCCTGCCTCAGCCTCCCAAGTAGCTGGGACCACAGGCACATGTCACCATGCCCAGCTAATTTTTTTTTTTTTTTGAGGAGTCTTGCCCTGTTGCCTAGGCTGGAGTGCAATGGCGCATTCTCGGCTCACTGCAACCTCGGTGAGATGGTTTGGCTCTGTGTCCCCACCCAAATCTCATCTTGAATTGTACTCCCGTAATCCCCACGTGTTGTGGGAGGGACCAGTGGGAGACTGAATCAAGGTGGTGGTTTCCCCCATACTGTTCTCATGGTAGTGAATAAGTCTCACGAGATCTGATGAGTTTATCAGGGGTTTCCACTTTTGCTTCTTTCTCATTTTCTCTTGCCACCGCCATGTCAGAAATGCTTTTCACTAGCCAGGTGTATTGGCTCATGCCTGTAAACCCAGCACTTTGGGAGGCCAAGGTGGGCAGATCACGAGGTCAGGAGATCGAGACCATCCTGGCCAACATGGTGAAACCCCATCTCTACTAAAAATACAAAAATTAGCTGGGCGTGGTGGCATGTGCCTGTAGTCCCAGCTACTTGGAAGGCTGAGGCAGGAGAATCACTTGAACCCGGGAGATGGAGGTTGCCGTGAGCCAAGAGCACGCCACTGCATTCCAGCCTGGCAACAGAGCAAGACTCTGTCTGTCTCAAAAAAAGAAAGAAAGAAAGAAAAAAGAAATGGCTTTCACCTTCTGCCATGATTCTGAGGCCTCCCCAGCCATATGGAACTGTAAGTCCAATTAAACCTCTTTTTCTTCCCAGTCTTGGGTATGTCTTTATCAGCAGCATGAAAATGGACTAATATAGTAAGCTGGTACCAGTAGAGTGGGGTGTTGCTGAAAAGATACCTGAAAATGTGGAAGCAGCTTTGGAACTGGGTAACAGACAGAGGTCGGAAAGTTTAGAGGGCTCAGAAGAAGACAGGAAAATGTGGGAAAATTTGGAACTTCCTAGAGACTTGTTGAATGGCTTTGACAAAAATACTGATAATGATATGGACAATGAAATCCAGGCAGAGGTGCTCTCAGGTGGAGATGAGGAACTTGTTGGGAACTGGAGCAAAGGTGACTCTTGTTATCTTTTAGCAAAGAGACTGGTGGATTTTGCCCCTGCCCTGGAGATTATTGGAACTTTGAACTTGAGAGAGATGATTTAGGGTATCTGGTGGAAGAAATTTCTAAGCAGCAAAGCATTCAAGATGTCCTGTTAAAGGCATTCAGTTTTAAAAGGGAAGCAGAGCATAAAAGTTCAGAAAATTTGCAGCCTGATGATGGGATAGAAAATAAAACCCCATTTTCTGAGGAGAAATTCAAACTGGCTGCAGATATTTGCATAAGTAACGAGGAGATGAACGTTCATCCCCAAGACAATGGGGAAAATATCTCCAGGGCATGTCAGAGACCTTTGCGGCAGCCCCTCCCATCTCAGACCCAGAGGTCTAGGAGGAAAAAATGGTTTCATGGGCAGGGCCCAGGGTCCCTGTGCTGTGTGCAGTCTAGGGACTTGGTGTCTTGCATTCTAGCTGCTCCAGCTGTGGCTGTAAGGGGACAACATAGAGCTTGGGCCGTGGCTTCAGAGGGTGCAATCCCCAAGCCTTGGCAGCTTCCACATGGTTTTGAGCCTGCAGGTGCGCAGAAGTCAAGAATTGGGGTTTGGGAACCTCTGCCTAGATTTCAGAAGATGTATGGAAACGCCTGAATGCCCAGGCAGAAGTAGGGGTGGGGCTCTCATGGAGAACCTCTGCTAGGGCAGTGCAGAAGGGAAATGTGGGGCTGGAGCCCCCACACAGAGTCCCTACTGGGTTACCACCTAGTGGAGCTGTGAAAAGAGGGCCACTGTCCTCCAGACTCCAGAATTGTAGATCCACCAACAGCTTGCACTGTGTTCCTGGAAAAGCTGCAGAAACTCAATGCCAGCCTGTGAAAGCAGCCAGGAGGGAGGCTATACCCTGCAAAGCCACAGGGGCAGAGCTGCCCACAACCATGGGAACCCACCTCTTGCATCAGTGAGACCTGCATGTGAGGCCTGAAGTCAAAGGAAATCATTTTGGAGCTTTAAAATTTGACTGCCCTGCTGGATTTTGGACTTGCATGGGCCCTGTAATGCCTTTGTTTTAGCCAATTTCTCCCATTTGGAATGGCTGTATTTACCCAATACCTGTACCCCCATTGTATCTAGGAAGTAACTAGCTTGCTTTTGATTTTACAGGCTCATAGGTGGAAGGGTCTTGACTTGCCTCAGATGAGACTTTGGACTGTGGACTTTTGGGTTAATGCTGAAATGAGTTAAGACCTTGGGAGACTGTTGGGAAGGCATGATTGGTTTTGAAATGTGAGGACATGAGATTTGGAGGGGCCAGAGGCAAAATGATATGGTTTGGCTCTGTGTCCCCACCCAAATCTCATCTTGAATTGTACACCCATAATTCCCACATGTTGTGAGAGGTACGTGGAGGGAGATCATTTGAATCATGGGGGCAGTTCTTGTGGTAGTGAATAAGTCTCATGAGATCTGAGGGTTTTATCAAGGATTTCTGCTTCTGCTTTTCCTCATTTTCTCTTGCCACCACCATGTAAGAAGTGCCTTTCACCTCCTGTCATGATTCTCAGGCCTCCCCAGCCATGTGGAACTGTAAGTCCAATTAAACCTGTTTTTCTTCTCAGTCTCAGGTATGTCTTTATCAACAGCATCAAAACTAATATACCCTGCCTCCTGGGTTCAAGTGATCCTCCCGCCTCAGCCTCCTGAGTAGCTCGGACCACAGGCATGAACCAGCATGCCCAGTTGATTTTTAATTTTTTTTTTCATAGAGATGGGATCTTGCCATGTTGCCCAGGCTGGTCTTGAACTCCTGGACTTGAGCAACCCTCCCTCCTCGGTCTCCCAAAGTGCTGGGATTACAGGCGTGAACATGTGCCCGGCTTTTCTATTGACTTCTAGAACACATCTTTTTTTTTTTTTTTGAGACTAAGTCTCACTCTGTCGCCCAAGCTGGAGTGTAGTGATGCAATCTTGGCTCACTGCAACCTCCACCTCCTGGGTTGAAGTGATTCTCCTGCCTCAGCCTCCTGAGTAGCTGGGATTACAGGTGCGTGCCACCATGCCCGGCTAATTTTTGTATTTTTAGTAGAGACAGGGTTTCACCGTGTTGGCCAGGCTAGCCTCGAACTCCTGACCTCATGATCCACCCACCTGGGCCTCCCAAAGTGCTGGGATCAGCACTTTGGGTGAGCCACCACGCCCAGCCTACAACATATCTTTACACAGTGGTTTTTATATCCCAGGAGCATATACAGATAGATACGAAAATCCAGATTTTGAAGTGATAGCTTCAAATTCTTAAACGTTAGCACCCAAGTCAAGGTTTTAAAAATACCGTGTGGTGTAGTGTAATGTTAAGAGTTCTTCCTCCAGCCATACAAAAATGCATGTGCTCAGGGTTATTTATGGCAGTACTCTTTGTAATTGCAAAATACGGGAAACAACCTAAATGCCCATATTTAGGAGAGTGACTCAATAACATCCACACAATGGTGTAAAAAAGAATGAGGACAAGTTCCAAGAACTGCTATGAAATGTTTCCAGGACATATTGTTAAACCAAAAAAAGCAAAGTGCATAAGAGTATAGTTAGCTGCCCTTAATGTAAGGGGGTATAGAAAATATGCAGGTGTCTCTGTTCATTTGTACAAAAGAAATAAAGAAAGGGTACACCAGGTACTAAAGAGATGAATTACTTACAGGGGATGAGTGGAAAATGAGGTAGAAGAAAAGAGGAGGCCAGACATGGTGGCTCAGCCTGTAATCCCAGCACTTTGGGAGGCCAAGGTGGGTAGATCACTTTGAGGCCAGGAGTTTGAGACCAGCCTGGCCAACATGGTGAAACCCCATCTCTACTAAAAATGCAAAAATTAGCTGGGCGCGATGGCTCATGCCTGCAATCCCAGCACTTTGGGAGGCTCAGGAAGGTGGGTCACTTGAGGTCAGGAGTTCGAGACCAGCCTGGCCCATATGGCAAAACCCGGTCTCTACTAAAACTATAAAAATTAGCTGGGCAGGGTGGCGCGTGCCTGTAATCCAGCTACTCAGGAGGCTGAGGCAGGAGAATCACTTGAACCCAGGAGGCGGAGGTTGCAGTGAGCTGAGATTGTGCCACTCACTGCACTCCAGCCTGGGTGACAGAGCAAGACCCCGTCTCGAAAAAAAGAAAGAGAAAGAAAGAAAGAGAGAGAGAGAGAAAGAGAGAGAGAGGGAGAGAAAGAAAGAAACAAAGAAAGAAGGAAGGAAGGAAGGAGAGAAAGAAAGAAAGAGAAAGAAAGAAAGGAGTGAGGGAAGAAGGAAAGAAAGAAAGAAAGAAAAAGAAAAAAAGAAAGAAAAGAAAGAAACGGGGGCCAGGCGCGGTGGCTCACGCCTGTAATCCCAGCACTTTGGGAGGCCAAGGCAGGTGGATCACCTGAGGTCAGAAGTTCAAGACCAACCTGGCCAACATAGTGAAACCCCATCTCTACCAAAACTACAAAAATTAGCTGGGTGTAGTGGCACACACCTGTAGTCCCAGCTACTCAGGAGGCTGAGACAGGAGAATCGCTTGAATCTGGGAGGCGAAGGTTGCAGTGAGCCGAGATCACACCACAGCACTCCAGCCTGGGTGACAGAGCGAGACTCCATCTCAAAAAAAAAAAAAAAAAAAAAAAAGAGGAATGGGAAAGAGTAGTAGGGATGAAGAAACAGAGACACTGGTCTGAGTCAGGCTTTTCGTATAATTTTGACTCCTGGAACTATAGTCATGTTTCACATTTCCCTCACACACCCACAAAATAAATAATTAAAACTATCAGGGTGTGGGGGGAACCCAATATGGAATAGAAACACTAATAAGTGGACCTAACCAGATTAAAAAAAAGCATAACATAACCACATGGAAGGGGGTGAGGAAGAATAATAACCGCAAGAAACAGTGTCCTAACTGGGTATTATTACAAGACAAAAGACAAAAAGGACTGTGCATAAAGGCTGTCACCTTGGCATCGTGTGCTTCCCACAGGCACACCTGTAAATGATTCTGCAACTGCTATATATATATATATATATATATACAGAGTTTCGCACTTGTTGCCAAGGCTGGAGTGCAATAGCACAATTTCGGCTCACTGCAACCTCTGCCTCCCGGGTTGAAGCGATTCTTCTGCCTCAGCCTCCAAAGTAGCTGGGATTACAGGCATCTGCCAACACACATGGCTAATTTTTTGTATTTTTAGTAGAGACCGGGTTTTACCATGTTGGCCAAGCTGGTCTTGAACTCCTGACCTCAGGTGATCCACCTGCCTCTGCCTCCCAAAGTGCTGAGATTACAGGTGTGAGCCACCGCATGCTTTATGTATACACTAGGATTAAACAAATAAATATATCGTAGACAGAGTGAAGTTTCTGAGTGTTAGAGAAAGAAGTTACAAATAAGGAAAGATAAGGCTAAAATAAACCCATGGTGCTGGGCTGAAATCAGGGATATCAGTATGATCTCATGGTAATTCAATTTTTTTATTTTTTTATTTTTTTAGTTGTTGTCTTGCTCTGTTACCCAGGCTGGAGGGACAGTGGTGTGATCTTGGTTCACTGCAACCTCCGCCTCCCAGGTTCAAGTGATTCTCCTGCCCCAGCCTCCTGAGTAGCTGGGATTACAGGCACACACCACCACGCCTGGCTAATTTTTTGTAGTTTTGGTAGAGATGGGGTTTCACTATGTTGGCCAGGCTGGTCTTGAACTCCTGACCTCAAGTGATCCACCCACCTCAGCCTCCCAAAGTGCTGAGCCACTGTGGCCAACCAGGTAATTAATTTTTATACAGATTCAAACATAGATGTGTGAATATGCAGCTTCGTGTACATGCATGTATTGCCTCGCTGTGTTTGTTGAGAGGAACTAGAAGCAATGACATCCCAGTGGCAATGAGCACACCTAGTGCCCAGATCTTAGTTTCTAAATACTCCAATAAAAAGGAACTGGAGGGCTGGGCACAGTGGCTCATGCCTGTAATCCCAGCACTTTGGGAGGCTGAGGCAGGCAGATCATGAGGTCAGGAGTTCGAGACCAGCCTGACCGGCATGGTGAAACCCCGTCTCTACTAAAAATACAAAAATCAGCTGGGCTTGGTGGTGCACGCCTGTAGTCCCAGCTACTTGGGAGGCTGAGGCAGGAGAATCGCTTGAACCCAGGAGGCGGAGGTTGCTGTGAGCTGAGATCACGCCACTGTACTCCAGCCTGGGTGACAAGAGCAAAATTCCATCTCAAAAAAAAAAAAAAAGAAAGAAAAGAAACTGGAACTTATTGTGGGAAATAGGTGCTTCCCAGGATGGAACAGGAAATACACAAGAGGAGCCTGGAATCATTTGTGATGTCATCAAGTGAGGAAGTGCTCACAAATGATGGAGGCTTGTTGTAAGAACACAGAACGCAATCTGAAGGAATTCTGAGAGACCAAATCTGGGACAATCATAACATCAGATTTTTCACCCATGGAATAAAATGGATATCCATGAGTCCATGATGTAAATAAATCATTGAATAAAGTAATAAAGGGAGCAGGGAGGGACAGCTCTTTCTTATAATAAAATTTCAATTAGATGGAAGGAGCTACTATATTGAATAGGAACAATAGACCAAAAAAAAAAAAAAAAAGAAGTGGGAAGGCTGGGCGAGTAGTTCACATCTATAATCCCAACACTTTGGGAGGCTGAGGCAGGTGGATTGCTTGAGCCCAGGAGTTCCAGACCAGCCTGGGCAACATGGTGAAACTCTGTCTCTACAAAAATACAAAAATTGCCAGGCATAGTGGTGCATCCCTGTAGTCCCAGCTACTCAAGAGGCAGAAGTGATGAGGGTCACTTGAGCCCGGGAGGTAGGGGTTGCAATGAGCTGAGATCGCGCCACTGCAATCCAGCCTGGGTGACAGAGCAAGACTCTGTCTCAAAATTAATTAATTAATTAATTAAAAGTTATTGGCCGGGCACAGTGGCTCATGCCTGTAATCCTAGCACTTTGGGAGGATGAGGCAGGCAGATTGCCTGAGCTCAGGAATTCAAGACCAGCCTGGGCAACACAGTGAAACCCCGTCTCTACTAAATTACAAAAACTTGGCCAGGCATGGCAGCGTGCGCCTGTAATCCCCGCTACTCAGGAGGCTGAGGCAGAAGAATTGCTTGAACCTGGGAGGTGGAGGTTCCAGTGAGCCGAGATTGCGCCACTGCACTCCAGCTTGGGCAACAGAGCAAGACTCCGTCTCAAAAACAAAACAAAACAAAGGTTATAAAATTTAAAAAGAAAAAAAAAGAAGGAGGGCATTAGAAAATTAGAAAATCACCATTAGGCAAATACCACACTAATTGTTGCCGATAAGATCCACTTATCAGCAGGATCTTTTAACAAGATGCTAAAATTAGTGAGCAAACATTGAGGAGAAATGGGATTTGCATTGTCTTGAGCCATCTCCCTCAAGATATTTATTAACTACAAAGGGAAGAATAATTACTTTATAGTGGAGAAACCCAGCAGGCACCTCCTTAATGAAACAATCAGGGTCAACATCAATAAGTCACAGCAATAAGTCACAGCCACATCTTGATTCTTCGTATCATGCGCCAAGAAGGGCACAACATCATATCTATGATAGTCTTGCCAAAAATACATAACTTAATTCCAGTGGTGAGAAAGTATCAGACAAATCCCAAACGAGAGATACTGTACAAAATAGCTGATCGGTACTCGGCAATACCAAGAGCATGAAAGACAAGGGAAGACTGAGAAACTAATAGATGGGAGGAGACTAGGGAGGCACAACAGCTAAATGCAATGTGAGATCCTGGATCGGATTCTGGAAGGGGAAATGGACATTAGTAGAAAAACGGGTGAAATTCAAATGAGATCTGTAGTTTAGTTAACAGGATTGTACCAATCTTGATTTCTCAGTTTTAATCATTGTTCATGGTTACGTAAAATGTTAACATCAGGGGAAACTGAGTGAGGGGAGACAGGAACTCTGTAATATTTTTGGAATGTTTCTGCTAAATCCAAAAGTAGTACAAAATTTAAAAGTTTTAAAATAGGCCGGGCATGGTGGCTCACACCTGTAATCCCAGCAGTTTGGGAGGCCGAGGCGGGTGGATCACTTGAGGCCAGGAGTTCAAGATCAACCTGCCCAACATGGTGAAACCCCATCTCTACTGAAAAATACAAAAATTAGGGGCCGGGTACAGTGGCTCATGCCTGTAATCCCAGCACTTTGGGAGGCCGAGGTGGGTAGATTACTTGAGGTCAGGAGTTCGAGACCAGCCTGGGCAACACGGTGAAACCCCGTCCCTACTAAAATACAAAAATTAGCTGGGTGTGGTGGCATGCACCTGTAGTCCAAGCTACTTGAGAGACTGAGGCAGGAGAATCGCTTGAACCTGGGAGGCAGAGGTTGCAGTGAGCCAAGATCTCACCACTACACTCTAGCCTGGGCAACAGAGTGAGACTACGACTCAAAAAAAAAAAAATGCAAAAATACAAATACAAAAATCAGCCAGGCATGGTGATGCGCGCTGGTAGTCCCAGCTACTCGGGAGGCTGAGGCAGGAGAATCCCTTGAACCTGAGAGGCAGAGGTTGCAGTGAACCAAGACCACACCACTGCACTCCAGCCTGGGCGACGGAGTGAGACTCTGTCTCAAAACAAACAAACAAACAAACAAACAAACAAACAAACCCACAAAGATCGTGGGCTTCTGAGCTAGCCTGCCGGCATTCAGATTCCCAGGCTGTGTGAACTGGGGTCAGACTCTTCCCCTGCTGTGAGTCTCTCTTGTCAAATGGGAGTAGCAATGGTACCTACAGCTTAAGGTTGATACCAGGTTAAATGAGTTATCCGTCTAAAGCACTTATAAGAGTGTATTTGCCATTGTTACTGTGTAGGCTGAAAAAGGACAGCCATGATCTCACTGGATTGTCACAGCAGCACTACGAGATGGGTTTTTACTGCCTTTCCCATTTTTACAGAGGCCTCCAGGCAAAGCGCTTTGTCCAAGGTCACTAGGCTGGCAAATGCCAAGCCAGTTCATTCATGTGGTTTCTGATTCCACATTGCAACTAACCTTTAAGAAACCCTCTCTCTGCTGGGCATGGTGGCTCACCCCTGTCATCCCAGCACTTTGGGGTGCTGAGGTGGGAGGATCACTTGAGCCCAGGAGTTTGAGACCAGCCTGGACAACATAGTGAGACCTTGTCTCTACAAAAAATAAAAAGAATTAGCCAGGCATGGTAGTGCACGTCTGTAGTCCCAGCTACTCAGGAGGCTGAGTCAGGAGGATCACTTGTGCCCAGAAGTTAGAGGCTGCAGTAAGCTATGATTGCGCCATTGCATTCCAGCGTGGGTGACAGAGTGAGACCCTATCTAAAAAAAAAGAAGAAACTATCTTCTTTGAAGATGTAAAAGACATGAAAAACAAGGAAAGATAAGGAATGACTGAGGAACTGGCACAGATAGAAAAGAGTAGGACTAGAGCCAGGCACGGTGGCTCACGCCTGTAATCCCAGCATTTTGGGAGGCAGAGGTGGGTGGATCACTTGAGGTCAGGAGTTCGAGGCCAGCCTGGCCAACATGGTGAAACCCCGTCTCTACTAAAAATACAAAAATTAGCCAGGTGTGGTGGTGCATGCCTGTAATCCCAGATACTTGGGAGGCTGAAGCAGGAGAATCGCTTGAAACCAGGAGGTGGAGCTTGCAGTGAGCCAAGATCATGCCATTGCACTACAGCCTGGCCAACAGAGTGAGGCTCCATCTCAAAAAAAAAAAAAAAAAAACAAAATTAGCTGGGCATGGTGTCATGCCCCTGTGGTCCCAGCTATTCAAGAGACTGAGGTGGGAGGATCGCTTGAGTCTCGGAGTTGAGGTTGCAGTGAGCCATGTTTGTGCTACTGCACTCCAGTGCCAAACCCTGACAGAGCCAAACCCTGTGTCAAAAAACAAGCAACTTTTCTCCCTGTTTCAACCACATGTCTGTGCAAGAACAGATTTTCTTCACAGGCAAAATCCAAAACAACAAATCACAACAGACTAAAATGAAAACAGATCTGAGGAGAATCCAGTTGTCAGTTACCAAACCAGATACTAAAGAGATTTTAGGCGGGGCGCGGTGGCTCATGTCTGTAATCCCAGCACTTTGGGAGGCCGAGACTGGAGGATCGCTTGAGCTTAGGAATTCAAGACCAGCCTGGGCAACATGGTGAAATTCCATCTGTATAAAAAATACAAAAATTAGCCAAGTATGGGGTGGTGGGTGCCTGTAATCCCAGCTACTCGGGAGGCTGAGGTGGGAGAATCACTTGAACCCTGCGGGGCAGAGGCTGCAGTGAGCCAAGACTGTGCCACTGCACTCCAGCCTGGTTGACAGAGCGAGACCCTGTCTCAAAAATAAATAAATAAATAAAAGATTTTTAAAAGATGCAAGTCAATGCCACTTTCCTCACTCAATTTCTTCTTTTGCAAAATACAGTTTGTTCCTTAAAAATATCATATACATTAATACTGAAGGTGTTTGTTATTGTTAATTTTAAATGACAATAAAAAATTTTAAATGCCTCAGTTTTAATACCTTATTTAGTAAATATTGCTAGCTGTAATGCACATAAACTAAAGCTCTTTGAACTTCTCCATAAATTTTAGTTCTCCATAAAATTTAGTGATGTAAAATGGTCCTGAGATTAACAGTTTAAAACAAACAGTCCTGAGATTTAAAGTGTATGGAAATTGCTGCTACATGCCAAGCTCCGTTCTATCCCCCTCCCCCCCCCCTTTTTTTTTTTTGAGACAGGGCCTCATTCTGTCAGCCAGGTTGGAGTGTAATGGCATGATCTTGGCTCATTGCAACCTTTGCCTCCTGGGCTCAAGCGATCCTCTTGCCTCAGCTCCCCAAGCAGCTGAGACCAGGCGTGAGCCACCATGCCCAGCTAATTTTTTAATTTTTTTGTAGAGACCGGGTTTCACCCATGTTACCCAGGCTGGTCTTGAACCCCTGAGGTCAAGTGATCCACCCACCTCAGTGTCCCAAATTGCTGAGATTACAGGCATGCACCACTGTGCCTGGCCTCCTCCACATTTTTTTTTTTAAAGACAGGGTCTCTCTCTGTTGCCCAGGCTGGAGTGTAGTGGCCAATCATGGCTCACTGCAGCCTTGAACTCCTGGGCTCAAGCGATCCTCCCACCTCAGTCTCCCAAGTAGCTGGGACTATAGGTGCATGCCACCACACCTGTCTAAGATTTTTTCTTTTTCCCTAAGAGGCAGAGGTCTCACTATGTTTCCTAGGCTGGTCCCAAACTCATGAGCTCAAGTGATCCTTCCGCCTCAGCCTCCCAAACTGCTAAGACTACAGGTGTGAGCCCCCACACTCAGCCTCAGTTCTGCCCCTTTACAGGTAGCAACTCATTTACACCTCACCATGAGGTTGTACTAATATTACCCCATTATCCAGATGAGGAGACTGAGGACAGAGAGGTTAAGCCACTTGCCCAAGATTAGGCAGCAGGTACATAGCAAAGCTGGGATTCTAACCCACGTGGTCTGGGTGCCAATGGTCCAGAGTCCAAGCTCTTACTCCCACAGTGGAAGGATCCTAATCAAAGATCGGGAGGCAGTCAGCCTCGTGGGGAAGAGGAGAAGAGGGATGGAGAAGGGGCTGGGTAACCCAGCTCTGTTATCATTCATCCACTGGTTCCTTCCACAACTGGCTCTGAGGCCTACCGTGCATGAACGAACAAACGTGCCAGGTCCCGGAAACACAACAGAGATGCAATGAACAAGGACAGCAGCGGTCCCCTTTTGAGAGCAGGGGAGCACTCTCTGTGGGCTGAGCACCATGATCATTCCCCACACTTCCAGGTGTTCCACAGCCTGTACTTCCTATTCCACAGAGGTGGATGATGGAGGCTCAGGAGGAATGAGCCACCCGCCTAGGGGCTCACAGTGTGGGATTCCTGAGCCCTCAAACAACGAAGCACCGCTGGGCCTCTCTGGTAGAGGCATAGAAATGAGTCAGGGACACTTACCTGGGTAAGACAGATGGACTTGCTCTGGGGCAGCGCTGGGAGCCCCCAGGGACCCCTGGACTCCCAAGGAGAATAGCAGGAGTAGACAGTAACAGGACCAGTAGCCAGGAAGGGGGTGCATGGTGGTGGGGTGGTGATGGCAGACCGGGGAAAAGCAGGGGGACTGAGGAGATCAGCTCCCCACAGGTACAGCAGGAAGGGCTGGGAGGATGGGGAACAGAGGATGATCAGGCAGTGCTCTGGGGGACAACAGAGGCAGGGCAGGGAGGTCTCCTTCAAGATGGGTGGTTATCCAGGTGCTGGAGAGAGAAACCAAAAATAAGAATCGCTAAGGAACAGCAGCAGAGCTCTCTGAGCCTCACTCACAGTGTGCCAACCGCTTGACATAGATTAATTCACGGAAGCCTCACGACATTGCTATGAAGTGGTGGCTGTGAGCATTGTCATCCCCATATCACAGATGAGGAAACCGAGCAGCTGAGTGATTCAGCTGCACAGCTAGGATGGGATGGAGCCAGGATTTGAACCCAGGAGGGCCTGATTCCAGAGCCTTGCTCCTAACCAGAGCTCACTCTCAGTGCTGGGGGTCTGGGAGCGGGGTGGAGGCTGTGTAGGAGGTTGCATTCCGCAGCCCCATCCCCAGCTTTCCATCCTGCTGTTAGAAACCCCAGTTCTCCTACCTACTCCCGAGATTCCAAGCATTCCCGCCTGCCCCCGGGACCTCGCCTCCCTACTCCATCCTTAGCCTTCTATTTTGCTCCTAGTGACCCCAATCCTCCCACACCACCCCCAGATCCTTTAGAGCCCATCATGGCCAGAGCGGCCGCATCCTCTCTCCCCATCCCCAGCGTCCCTGCCCTTCCCCCATCTGTACCCACCCCCCTTCTCTCCAGCGCTTTCCCGCCTGCTCCAGCTCCGTCTCCAGCTGCCAGGATGGAGCCGGGTCGGGACCATCCGGGAAAGGGGACGCCCTCCCGGACCCCGGCTCACCCTCGGGGGCGCCGGCTGCCCGCACGCGCCTCTCCCGCCACCAGCGCCGCCCCGGTATTTATGAGTTCGCGGGTGCCGAGGCCTCTTGCCGCCTACAGCCGTCCCAGCCCCGGAAGAGCCGGTCGCCTCGGGGTGACAGCCTCCCTAGACAGCCAGGGCCCCGGGTCCCACAGGTCCGGCCGGTCCTGCCTGGGCGCCCCACACCCACCCGCCCACCCCACCAGGGCGTGGCGCGGGAAGGGGGACCCAGGAAGGTTATGATACGTCTCCGGCGCGCCACCTCTGAGCCGGCCACCAGGTGAGAGCCCAGGCAGGTAACCCTGCGCTCGTCCCTCAGGCGCCCACTCATCAGCTGGGGAGCCCCAGGGCACGGACACCGGCCCCTATCCTGGCCCTGCCCGATCCCCAGGTACCCAGGTGTGCAGGACCGGGGGATCCCCAACCTTTCCAGCCTCGCTGCATCTTCCTCCAGCCTTCCGGCTTCCTTCCTTTCCATGCTGAGCCCACTGACCCCTCCTCAGAAGCCCGGGGCAACCTCAAAACAAAACCAGAATCCCGGAATTGCAGTGGGCTTTCTGAGCTGTGCGACCTAGGTGAGTTATTCAACCTCGCTGGACCTTGGGTTTTTTCACCTGTAAAAAGGAGGTGATGCTCGTATATACCCCGTGGGCTGTTGTGAGGAGTAAACGAGTTGCTGCATGAAATTTCATGCCGATAACAGGGCCCGGCCCAGAGTAAGGGCTGGATAAGAATCAGCTGTTCTTTTTAATCGTATTAATGCAGGAACTCCAGAAACTGACGTCTAGGGAACAAGTTAGGGTTCTCCCCTGTAAACCTTTGCAATCTGTTTGAACGTGAGGAGCGGCTGCCACAAAAAGAGAAGCAGGGAAGAACTGGGGGGGCCCGGATTTCCAGTCGTTTCCCCTTCCTGACTGCAGATACAATGACCCGCCACCACTTGGCTTTGTAAATTCAGAGCACATAGGCTTCTACTGATTGTGGACACCAATTTCAGAAATTGGCACTAGGAGTGTGGGAAAATCAAAACGAGCCCTTTGCACTGTTTGAGTTTTTTTTTTTTTCTTCCCACTTCCAGAGTCTCCATTACAGCCTAAAATATAATGAAAGTAGCTCTCATAACCAAACTTGAGTACCTGCCACTCCTGTGGCCCCCAATTATAACCTCCCCGTATTCTTAGTTCGTCCAGAATGGGAGGTTCCTAAGCTTTTTTGTGCTAAAGATGCCTATGGCAAGCTGGTCAAGCCCTTCTCAGGATCATGTCGTTACATGCATAATATAAATACACAGAAATACAAAGGAAACCAGTGCTATTGTGATACAAGGTGTTGGGGGGTTTTTTTGTTGTTGTTGTTTTGTTTTTGTGTTTGTTTTTTGGTTTTGTGTGTGTGTGTGTTTTGTTTTTGTTTTGAGACAGAGTTTCACTCTGTTGCCCAGGCTGGAGCACAGTAACACGATCTTGGCTCATTACAACCTCTGCCTCCTGGGTTCATGCGATTTTCGAGCCTCAGCCTCCCGAGTAGCTGGGACTACAGGCATGAACCTGGCTGAAAACGAGAAGTTTTAAAAACACACGAATATACATGCATATATTTCTATTAGCCATCAGAGTGATGACATTATCACAGGTCAGGTAGTCTCTGGAGAATGAAAAGGACAAACGTCTTAATATCATTATGAAAATACTTTTGACCTCACTAGCCCCTGAGAAAGGTCTTGCGGACCCACAGGTGCCCCCAGACCACATTTTGAGAACTGCTAGATTAAAGTGTAGTAAAAGGAGAGGTAAAAAAAGTTTCCCCTATCCAAGTTCACGTAGCTCCTGAATTCCCAACCACCAGCCCAGGTGAAAAGAGCCCACTGGAGTTGCCTCTGGTTGGACCCTGACTGGCGGATGAGGGCTTATAGCTCAGGTATAAGCTTGCGGTGGGGAATGGAGCATCGACTCTGGGGCTAGATGGCCTGGTTATAAATCTATCTTCAGCACTGACTAACTTAGACAAGTGATTTAACCGCACGGTGCCTCGGTTTCCCCATCTGTGAAATGGGAACAATAGTAGCACCTTATAGGGTTGTTGCAAGGATTAAATAATAAACCCCTTAGAACAGTGCCTAGCACAGAGCAAGTGCCCCCGTATAATCTTCTAATTATCATTATAATAATTAGAAGATTATTGATAATAATCTTCTAATTATTACCAAGACATCTAGTCTGCCCAGTTTGTAAGGCAGAGTTTTAATAAGCCTAGTTTTCTAAGTCACTTTACTCTGTCCCCCAGGCTGGAGTGCAGTGGTGTGATCTCGGCTCACCGCAAACTCCACCTCCCGGGTTCTAGCCATTCTCCTGCCTCAGCCTCCCAAGTAGCTGGGACTACAGGCACGTGCCGCCACACCCAGCTAATTTTTTGTATTTTTAGTAGAGACAGGGTTTCACCTTGTTAGCCAGGATGGTCTTGATCTTCTGACGGCGTGATCCGCCCGCCTCGGCCTCCCAAAGTGCTGGGACTGCAGGCGTGAGCCACCGCGCCCGGCCTTGTATTTTTAGTAGAGACGGGGTTTCACTGTGTTGGCCAGGCTGGTCTCGAACTCCTAGACTCAAGTGATCTGCCCACCTCGGCCTCCCAAAGTGCCGGGATTACAGGTGTGAGCTGCTGTGCCCAGTCAATTTAAACCTTTTAAATTATGAAATGTGATATACATGCAGAAAAGTAATGAGACATAAATGTCCCACTGAATAAATATGACAAAGTGAACACAACTGTGTAACCACCAACCGGGTGCAAGAAAAATAATCTTATCGCCTTCCCCCAAGCCCCCTCCTGCTTCCTCTCCAGCACAGCTTTCTTCCTTCCCATGAAGAAATCCACTTAACTTTTACCTGACTTTGGTTTCCCCACCTAAGTACACCTCCCTACACACAGTGGTTTCATTTTGCCTATTTTTGCACATGGCGTAAATAGAAATATACAGGTTTAACTCTTTCACTCAACTTTATGATTGGGAAATGTATCTGAGTTGGGCGCATAATTGCAACCCATTTTCTTTCTCATTGCCAAGCAGCCCTCCACTGTGTGAATACACCCCAATTTATGTATCACTGGTGGTTTTTTGTTTGTTTGTTTTTGTTTTTGTTTTGTTCTTTTGAGACGGAGTTTCGTTCTTGTTGCCCAGGCTGGAGTGCAATGGGGTGATCTTGGCTCACTGCAACCTCCGCCTCCCAGGTTCAAGCGATTCTCCTGCCTCAGCCTCCTGAGTAGCTGGGATCACAGGCATGCACCACCACACCTAGCTAATTTTGTATTTTTTAGTAGAGATAAGGTTTCACCATGTTGGCCAGGCTGATTTCGAACTCCCGACCTCAGGTGATCCGCCTGCCTCAGCCTCCCAAAGTGCTGGGATTACAGGCGTGAGCCACCGTGCCCAGCCATCAGTGGTTTATTTATCAATTTATTTATCAGTTGGTTTATCTATCAAAACCAATTGTCAATGGAATTTTGAGTTACTTCCTTTTTTTTCGGCTTTTGCAAATAGTGCTGTGATCAACATTCTAGTACATATTTTGTTAAACATATATACACATTTCTCTTGGATGTAAACTAGAAGTATAAGATGGCTGGGTCATAAGGTGCATGTATCTTTATCTTTGGTAGATACAGCCAAAGAGGTTTCCAAAGTGGTATTTCTTCTCCTCCCACCAGCCACGTTAGAACACTTCCATTGTTCCACATCGCTGCCAACACTTGGAACCAATAAAGCATTGTCAGGTGCTTTATTTTTAGTCATTCTGGTGGGTGTGTAGAGGTAGCTCATTGTAGCTTTAATTTGCATTTCCCTGCTGAGTAATGAAATTGAACATCTCTTCATTTGCATATCAGCCTTTTGGATATCCTTTTTGTGATGTGCTTGTTCAAGTGTCTTGTCCGGTTTTCTACTGGGTTGTCCATTTTTATTGGTTTATTTATTTTTATTTTATTTTATTTTTTAGATAAAGGGTCTTGCTCTGTCACCTAGGCTGTAGTGCAGTGGCATCATAGCTCACTGCAGCCTCTACCTCCCTGGCTCAAGCAATCCTCCCACCTCAGCCTCCCAGTAGCTGGGACCACAGGCATGCACCACCACCATGCCTGGCTAATTTTGTTTATTTCTATTTTTATTTATTTATTTATTTGAGACAGAGTCTCACTCTGTTGCCCAGGCTGGAGTGCAATGGCATGATCTCGGCTCACTGCAACCTCTGCCTCCCGGGTTCAGGCTATTCTGCCTCAGCCTCCCGAGTAGCTGTGATTACAGGCGCCTGCCACCATGCCCGGCTAATTTTTGTATTTTAGGCAGAGACGGGGGTTTCACCATGTTGGCCAGGCTGGTCTCGAACCCCTGACCTCAGGTGATCCACCCGCCTCGACCTCCCAAAGTGCTGGGATTACAGGTGCGTGCACCACGCCCAGCTAATTTTGTTAATTTTTTTGTAGGGACAAGGTCTTGCCATATTCCCCAGGCTGGTCTTGAACTCCTGGACTCAAGTGATCCTCCTGCTTTGACCTCCCAAACTGTTGGCATTACAGGAGTGAGCCACCGCATCTGGCCTCTTCTGTTATTTTCCAATAGCTTTCTCATGTGAGTTACCCTTAGGTTGGCAATCTATCTGGAACTGATTTTTGTGTACGGTGTAAGTTAGGGTTTTAAATTTTATCAAAGTAATGCACATAGCTAATAAAATAAAAATAAATGAGTCTACTTTCTTAAGGAGACTTCTTTAAAAACTATTTCTCCATTATGAAAATAGTAGCATCATTGGCCAGCCTGTAATCCCAGCACTTTGGGAGGCCAAGGTGGGCAGATCACGGGGGCAGGAGTTCGAGACCAGCCTGGCCAACGTGGTGAAACCCCATCTCTACCAAAAATACAAAAATTTGCCAGGCATGGTAGTGAGCGCCTGTAATCCTAGCTACTCAGGAGGCTGAGGCAGGAGAATCGCTTGAACCCGGGAGGCGGAGATTGCAGTGAGCTGAGATCACACTATTGCACTCCAGCCTGGGCGACAGAGTCAGACTCCGTCTCAAAAAATAAAAAGAAAAAAGAAAATATTCACATCTCATTACTGAAAACTTAGAAAGAGCCAGGGAGGTTTCATGGCTCAAGGAACTAACAAACCTGGGTTTTGTTTTTGTTTTTGGAGACAGGGTCTCACTCTGTCACCCAGGCTGGAGTGCATTGGTGTAATCATGCAATCATAGCTCACTGTGACCTCAAACTCCTGTCCTCAAGCAATCCTCCCACCTCAGCCTCCCAAAATGCTGGGATTATAGGCGTGAGTCACTGTGCATAGCCACAAACCTGGGTTTGAATTCTGGTTCTGCCACTTTGTGACTGGGTAACCTTGGGTGAGTGTCTGCTCTTGTGTTAGCCTCAGTGACCTAATATCTAAAACTGATACAACAGTGCCTACTTTGCAAATGCTTGGAAAGATACAGCAAGTAAAACGTGTAACACGGGGTGGGGCTGATCAAGAAAGAGCTCCATAGATAATAGCCACAATTATTTACAAAAGATTTCATTCAATCACTCAGTGGCCATTGAGAATGCTTGGAGCATTTTTTCTTGTACACAGGAATTGGGCTGAATCACGGTCATACCACAGTCTGACGTTATTTTTACTGGACTCTTCTAAGCATTCTTTGATACTGGCTCATAATATTCCATTGTGTGGTTTACTTTACCCAATCTGAGAGATGCCATCCATGGAAAAAAGCCAGGGCTTTGGAGACAGACAGCTTGCGTTTAAACCCAGCTCCAGCATTGAGTAGCTGTGAGCCATTTGCCTCTCTGTGCCTCAATTTCCACATCTGCAAAATGGGGATAATAAACCATGCTGTATATTTGACGTATTTTAGAGAGTTGTGAGAATTAGATGAGTGAATGAATGGATGTAATGAACTAAGACCTGTGGTAAAAACAGCACTTGTTATAAACCGAGTCCTTAAAAATCTTAATAGAAATATTTCAAGGTTTTAGCTGGGTGCGGTGGTACATACCTGCAGTCTTAGCTACTTGGGAGGCTGAGGCAGGAGGGTTATGTGAGCCTAGGGGTTCAAGACCAGCCTGGGCAACATAGTGAGACCCCCATCTCTAATTTATATATGTATAGTTATATATGTACATATATAAAGAATAGTAAGATGTAGGCTTTTTGGGTTTGGTTTTTTCTTTTTCTTTTTTTTTTTTTAAAGTCAGGATCTTGCTCTGTTCCCCAGGCTGGAGTACAGCGGTGCGATCTCAGCTCACTACATCCTCAACTTCTCGGGCTCAAGCAATCCTCCCACCTCAGCCTCCTGAGTAGCTAGGACTACAGGCTCACACTGCTACGCCCGGCTAATTTTTGTATTTTTTGTAGAGACGAAGACTTGCGATGTTGCCCAGGCTGGTCTCAAACTCCTAGGCTCAAGGGATCCTTCCACCTTGGCCTCCCAGAGTGCTGAAATTACAGGCGTGACCCACTGTGCCTGGCCAAGAATAGTAAGATGTTAATGATAGAATCCAGTTGGATATATGGCGGATATATGTGTGTTCCTTGTAAAGGTCTTTCAGTTTTCCTGTGCATTTGAAAATGTTCATAATAAGATGTTGGGGAAAATGCTTGGGGACATCCACGTAGTTGCTGTTGTCGACCTTTATGGTGAAGCCACAGCAGCAACTGATTCCCGAGTGATTGACACGCTGTGTGTTCATTTAATGACCCTGACAATCTTTAATGCAGACTTTAGAAATTTTACAGATGGACCCATTTTACAGACGAGGAAACTGAGGCTCAGCAAGGCTAAGCACCTTGTCGTGTGACCTACAGGTCACCGACTGGGTGGGGGGCAGACAAGGTGAATGGTAGAGGGACAGCTCCCTTCCAGAAAGAACGGTAGCATGCACCTGGGGACAGGGACCAGGGCTAACAGGTCTTGGGGTCCCCCCGGGAATGATCCCCGTTATCGCAGCTTCCCTGTATGGAGTGCTTGGCTGTGTGCCGAATGCTCTGCATGAGTAATCCCATTGATACTGCATGCTGCTTATTAAGCCCATTTTATAGATGGAGAAACTGAGGCTAGAGACATTGAGCAGTTTACCTAAAATCACACAACTGGTGTGTGGCAGAGAAGCCAGGACTAGAACCCTGGTGTGTCTGATTTCAAAGCCTGGTGTGTGAAAACTTTTTTTTTTTTTTTTTTGAGACAGAGTTTCGCTCTTGTTGCCCAGGCTGGAGTGAAATGGCATGATCTCGGCTCAATGCAACCTCCGCCTCCCGGGTTCAAGCGATTCTCCTGCCTCAGCCTATGGAGTAGCTGGGATTACAGGTGCGCACCACCATGGCTGGTCAATTTTTTGTATTTTTAGTACAGATGGGGTTTCGGCATGTTGGCCAGGCTGGTCTCGAACTCCTGATCTCAGGTGATCCACCCGCCTTGGCCTCCCAAACTGCTGGGATTACAGGTGTGTGAATACGTTTAGGAGTGACTCTTCCCTGCTTAGAATATTATCCAGTGTGAAATGCTGTCAGCTCCACCTTCCAATCTATCCAGAACCTGCCCAATTCTGCAGCCCCTACCCATCCTCTCCTTCCTGGGCTGTCTCAGCAGGTCCCTCCCTGGTCTTCCCGCTCCCATCCTGTCCCCCTCCTCACCCCCTGCAGTCTGTCCCTCACATGTAACCAGAGGGGTCCTGTGAACACCTGAGTCAGATCACGTCTCTCACCTGCTCAAAGCCCTCCTGATCCTCTCACTCAGGGGAAAGCCAGAGACCTCCTTATGGCCCACGAGACCCCACGTGACCTCCCCGTCACTTCTCTTTCCTTATCTCTTACTACTTGCCCCTCACCCACACTGGTTCAGGCACCAGGCTTCTACGCTGTTTTTTGTTTTGTTTTGTTTTTTTGAGATGGAGTCTTGCTCTGTTGTTCAGGCTGGAGTGCAGTGGTGCAATCTCAGCTCACTGCAACCTCTGCTTCCTGGGTTCAAGCGATTCTTCTGCCTCAGCCTCCCGAGCAACTGGGACTGCAGGTGCATGCCACCATGCCGGGCTAATTTTTGTATTTTTAGTAGAGGCAGGGTTTCACCATGTTGCCAAGGCTGGTCTTGAACTGCTGACCTCAAGTGATCCGCCCACGCCGGCCTCCCAAAGTGCTGGGATTACAGGTGTGAGCCACTGCACCTGGCCTCTACACTGTTCTTTGAACATATTAGTCATGTCCCCACTTCTCAGGGCCTTCTTATTGCCTGTTCCCTCGACCTAGAACATTCTTCCCCAGGTGCCCATGTAGCCCCTTCTCTCCTTCCTTCAGGCCTTACCCAGATGACACTTTCTCAGGCAGCCCTCCCCTTGACTAATTTAAAATTACAATCCACCTCCACACACTACTCCCCACCCCACAAGCCAGGGGTCTGCAAAAGTTTTTTGGTAAAGGGCGAGATATTAAATATTTTAAGATTTGCAGGCCACGTAGCCTCCGTCACAGCTACTGGACTCTGTCATCAAACAAAAGCACCTACAGACATTACAGGACCCAATGAGTGTGGGTGTATTCCAGTAAAACTTTATGGAGGCCAGGCGCAGTGGCTCATGCCTGTAATCCTAGCACTTTGGTAGGTCGAGGCAGGAGGATTGCTTGAGGCCAAGAGTTCAAGACCAACATGGCCAACATAGTGAGACCTCATCTCCAAAAAACAAACAAACTTACAGACACTGAAATTGGAAATTCATATAATTTTCTTTTCTTTTCTTTTCTTTTTTTTTTGAGATGGAGTTTCTTTCTTGTTGCCCAGGCTGGAGTGCAATGGCGCGATCTCAGCTCACTGCAACCTCTGCCTCCCGGGTTCAAGCGATTCTCCTGCCTCAGCCTCCCGAGTAGCTGGGATTACAGGTGCCCACCATCACATCAGGCTAATTTTTGCATTTTTAGTAGAGATGGGGTTTCACCATGTTGGCCAAGCTGGTTTCAAACTCCTGACCTCAGGTGATCCGCCCGCCTCAGCCTCCCAAAGTGCTGGGATTACAGGCATGAGCCACCACGCCCAGCCAAAATTCATATAATTTTCATACACCAGAAAATATTATTTTTCTTTTGTTTTTGTTTTCCAACCATTAAAAAACATAAAAATCAACCGGGCATGGTTGCTTATGCCTGTAATCCCAGTGCTCTGGGAAGCTGAGGCAGAAGGATCACTTAAGTCCAGAAGTTTGAGACCAGCTGGGGCAATACAGCAAGACCCCATCTCTTAGAAAAATACTAAAATTAGCAGGGTGTGGTGGTGCACGCGTGTAGTCCCAGCTACTTGGGAGGCTGAGGTGGGAGGATTATCTGAGCCCGGGATGTTGAAGCTGTGGTGAGCCATGATCGCACCACTGTACTCCAGCCTGAGTGACAGAGGTGAGAACCTGTCTCAAAAAAAAGTTTTTTTAAGTTAAAACTAGGCCAAGCATGGTGGCTCATGCCTATAATCCCAGCACTTTGGGAGGCCAAGACAGGCAGATCACCTGAGTTCAGGAGTTTGAGACCAGCCTGGCCAACATGGTGAAACCCCGTCTCTACTCAAAATACAAAAATTAGCTGGGCATGGAGGTGTTTGCCTGTAATCCCAGCTACTCGGGAGGCTGAGGCAGGAGAATCACTTGAAATCAGGAGGCAGAGGTTGCAGTGAGAAGTGATCACACCACTGCACTCCAGCCTGGGTGACAGGGAGAGACTTCGTCTTTAAAAAAAAAAAAAAAGTAAAAACCATTCTTAGGTTGTAGGCTGTATAAAAACAAATGACAGGCTGGATTTGGCCACCCGACTGTAGTTTGCTGACCCCTGCCCTAAGCTTACCCTGGCTAATATTTGTTTCATAGCATTCATCACCTTCTAACAGACTGTAATATTTACTTGTTTATTATGTTTATTTTCTAGCATCTCCCCTGGAGCTATCAGCCCCAGCTTCCTAACAGCTCCAGGAAGGCAGGGATGTTGGCTGTCTGGCACATAGCAGGTGTGCAGTAAGGATTTATTAAATGATCAAATACATGGATGAATCCTAATGACTGTTGGGATCATGAACCCATTCTTGCTGCCCGGCTAAGTGCTGGACCCTAGAATTTGAGATTGAGAGGAGGAGGAGAGCACAGAATCATTTTCTTTCTCTCTCTCTCTTTCTTTCTCTCTCTCTCTTTTCTTTCTTTCTTTCTCTTTCTTTCTTTCTCCTTCCTTCCTTCCTCTCTCTCTCCTTCCTTCCTTCTTTCGTTTCTCTCTCTCTCTCCTTCCTTCCTTCCCTCCTTCTTTCCTTCTTTTTTTCTTTCCTTTTTCTTTTCTATTTTTCCGAGTCTTACTCTGTCGCCCAGGCTGGAGTGCAATGGTGCAATCTTGGCTCACTGCAATCTCCGCCTCCCAGCAGAACCATTTCCTTTCATCCCAAACTTTGAGCTCCATGATTTCATCCTGACTGCATATGATGTCACATGTCAGGGGACCTGTGAGCCACCGGAGGTGAGCAGCATGCCCAGGGCACAGCTCACCTCCCGAGAGATGCCACCCTGCTTCAAATTACAGCAGGAAGGAAGAGTGACTCACCCTCTCAGATGTGGAGGCTTCCTGTGACGGACCCAGGACAGCCCACCCCACACTTCACCTCATAATCACAGCCACAGCCAGTTCACTGGAGGCTTCCTGTGAACCGTGTATGATTGCATGGATTCCTCACCACTTCACATGGTCCCATTTTGTATTACAGAAGAGGAAACTGAGGTTCAGAGGAGTGAGCTCACTTACCTGACATCACACTGTCAGTAAGAAGAATAGCTAAGCCAGGTGCGGTGGCTCATGCCTGTAATCCCAGCACTTTGGGAGGCCAAGGCGGGTGGATCGCCTGAGGTCAGGAGTTCGAGACCAGCCTGGCCAACATGGTGAAACTCTGTCTCTACTAAAAATACAAAAATTAGCCAGGCATAGTGATGGACGCCTGTGTTCCCAGCTACTCAGGAAGCTGAGACAAGAGAATCTCTTGAACCTGGGATGTGGAAGTTGCAGTAAGCTGAGATTGCACCATTGCACTCCAGCCTGGGCAACAGAGCAAGACTCTGTGTCAAAAAACAAACAAACAAACAAACAAAAAACCTGAGATTCATTCCTTTCTGCACACTTGGCCTTAACCACCAGGCCCCACTGTCTCCGATTCATCCCTCTGCCATCTCATCCTGGATTTCAGGCCTCAGGTCCTGTGTCATCTCCCAGCATGGTTTTGTTTTTGTCTTTTTTTCTTTTCTTTTTTTTTTTTTTAAGATGAAGTTTTGCTCTTGTTGCCCAGGCTGGAGTGCAATGGCGCAATGTTGGCTCACTGCAATCTCCGCCTCCGGGGTTCAAGCAATTCTCCTGCCTCAGCCTCCTGAGTAGCTGGGATTACAGGCATGCACCACCACGCCCAGCTAATTTTGCATTTTTAGTCAAGACGGAGTTTCTCCATGTTGGTCAGGCTGGTCTCGAAGTCCCGACCTCAGGTGATCCACCTGTCTTGGCCTCTCAAAGTGCTAGGATTACAGGCGTTAGCCACCCTTCCTGGCCATGTATTTTGTTTTTTAAGACAGGGTCTCATTCTGTTGCCTAGGCTGCAGTGCAGTGTCATGATCATAGCTCACTGCAGCCTCGAACTCCTGGACTCAAGTGATCTTCCCACTTCAACCTCCCTAGTAGCTGAGACTACAGTTTCACACCACCTCACCCACCTGATTTTTAAAAATTTTTTGTAGACACAGTCTCGCCTTGCTGACCAGGCTGGTCTCAAACTCCTGGGCTGAAGCGATCCACCTGCCTTGGACTCCCAGCGTGCTGGGATTATAGGCGTGAGCCACTGCACGTGGCCTCCAAGCATCACTGTATCATCAGGTGGACATAACAGTTCCATAAAATCCGGAATTGAGGCCAGGGACAGACTAAACCCTCAAACAAACATGAGCTCTTATAAATATTGGCCCAACTATTTATTTATTTTTATTTTATTATTATTTTTTTTTTTTTGACAGAGTCTTGCTCTGTCGCCTAGGCTGGAGCACAGTGGTGTGATCTTGGCTCACTGCAACCTCTGCTACTTGGGTTCAAGTGATTCTCCTGCCTCAGCCTTCCAAGTAGCTGGGAATACAGGCACATGACACCATGCCTGGATAATTTTTGTTTTTTGTTTTTTGAGACGGAGTCTCACTCTGTTGCCCAGGCTGGAGTGCAGTGGCGCGATTACGGCTCACTGCAAGCTCCACCTCCCGGGTTCATGCCATTCTGCTGCCTCAGCCTCCCAAGTAGCTGGGCCTACAGGTGCCCGCCACCATGCCCGGCTAATTTTTTTTTGTATTTTTTAGTAGAGACGGGGTTTCACCTTGTTAGCCAGGATGGTCTCGATCTCCTGACCTCGTGAACCACCTGCCTCGGCCTCCCAAAGTGCTGGGATTACAGGCGTGAGCCACTGCACCCGGACTTTTTTTTTTTTTTTTTTTAGTAGAGACAGGGTTTTACCATGTTGGCCAGGCTGCTCTTGAACTCCTGACCTCAAATGATCTGCCCACCTCGGCCTCCCAAAGTGCTGGGATTACAGGTGTGAGCCACCATGCCTGGCCCCAACTATTTATTGTACCATTGTTGGGTACACCATTTTCCACTGTAGTCACATTGAGGAGTGTTGGAAGATTTTAAAGTCCTACGGGGGTGTGCTCGGGAGGCTGAGGTGAGAGGATCACTTGATCCCAGGAGACTGCAGTGAGCTGTGATCATGCCACTGCACTCCAGCCTGGGCAACGGAGCAAGACCCTGTCCCCCCCAAAAAATTGCCTTAAAAAATATCTTATTAGGCTGGACGCAGTGGCTCACGCCTGTAATCCCAGCACTTTGGGAGGCCGAGGCGGGCCGATCGCTTGAGCCCAGGAGTTTGAGACCAGCCTGGCCAACATGGCTAAACCTCGTCTCTACAAAAAATACAAAAATTAGCCAGGTGTGGTGGTGTGTGCCCGTGGTCCCAGCTATTCAGAAAGCTGAGATGGGAGGATCACTTGAGCCTGGGAGGGAGGCAGAGGTTGCAGTGAGCCAAGATCTCACCACTGCACTCCAGCCTTGGTAGATCCTGTCTGTAAATAAATAAATAAAAACCCACTGGAGAGCAAGGCTCATCCTTCTGTGTGAGGAAAGGGCAGCCTGGCCCCTGCTGTGTGAAGGATGAGCTGGGTCATATCAAGATCAAATCTGGTGTGATCTTCCCTGAGGGTCTACACTAATCCTTCCTCGTGAGTTCAGTGGGTGAGAACAGGAGTTGAGTCCTAGAGGGCACATGACTCACCACCAACTGGGGGATCTGTCAGGGCTGAAGCGTGGGTCACGCTGTGCATGGTCAGCAGGAGTGTGGTCAGCTCTGTGTATCCTACCTCCAGGAACACCCCAGCCCTCCACAGGCTCTCAGGCGTGGGCCCAGCAGCACAGTTACTAGAGGGAAACGAGTATACCCCTGGGTCCATGGCAGGTCACTCAGGGAGAACAGGCTCTCTGCCATGGTCCATGGCAGGTCTCGCAGGGAGAACAGGCTCTCTGCCATGGTCAAGGCAAGTCAAGTATAGACAGGAATGTGAGCCGGGTGTGGTGGCTCCCAGCACTTTGGGAGGCTGAGGTGGGAGGATCTCTTGAGCCCAGGAGTTCAAGAGCAGCTTGGGTGATGTAGTGAGACCCTGTCTCTGGTTAAAAAGAAAGGAAGAATGTGGTTCATGTTCACCCAGCCATACTCTCCTCAACTTAAAAAACAAAACAAAGGCCGGGTGCAGTGGCTCAAGCTGCAATCTCAGCACTTTGGGAGGCCACAGTGCAAGGTGGGCAGATTGCTTGAGCTCAGGAGTTCGAGATCAGCCTGGGTGACACGGTGAAACCCCGTCTCTACAAAAAAATACAAAAACTAGCCAGGTGTGGTGGTGTGCACCTGTCATCCCAGCTACTTGGGAGGCTGAGGTGGGACGATCATTTGAGCCCAGGAGGTCAAGGCTGCAGTGAGCTGAGATCATTATACCACTGCACTCCAGCGTGGGCAACAGAGTGAGACACTGTCTCAAAAAAAACCAAAAAACAAAAAAAACAGTACAATGGCAGTTGGCATGCTGGCGATGATTGCCCCCACATTGGCCTCATGAGTCACACGGTCCTATCTGGACTTGTTGCCCTCTAACCTTTTCTATTTTATTTTTATATAATATAAATAAATAAATAATTTGTATATTATATAATTATAGAAATATGTAGAAATAATTTTTATATAATAGAAATATTATATATTTATTTTTATATAATATTTTTATGTCTATATTAGAGAAAGGGTCTCTGTCTGTCACCCAGGCTAGAGTGCAGTGGCATGATCATGGCTCACTGCAGCCTCGAGCTCCTGGGTTGAAGTGATCCTCTTGCCACGGCCTCCCCAGTAGCTGGGATCACAGGCACACAACACCATACCCGGCCTGCCCTCAGACTGTGGTGCCCTGCTGCCATGCTGGGACCTCCTTTACTGCCATCCTGAGGTGCCTCTTCACTTCTCTCCTATGTCAGGTCCCCTGTGTCCTGGATCTCAGTGCTCCCCTTTTTCTTGGTGGTGCTCTCATTTCAGTTGAGTGCATCCTGAAGCTTTTCTTCTTTTTTTTTTTGTGAGATGGAGTCTTGCTCTGTCGCCCAGGCTGGAGTGCAGTGGCGCGATCTCGGCTCACTGCAACCTCCGCCTCCCAGGTTTAAGCGATTCTCCTGCCTCAGCCTCCCGAGTAGCTGGTATCACAGGCACACACCACCATGCCCAAATAATTTTTGTATTTTTAGGAGAGATGGGGTTTCACCATGTCGGTCAGGCTGGTCTCGAACTTCTGACCTCGTGATCCACGCGCCTCAGCCTCCCAAAGTGCTGGGATTACAGGCGTGAGCCACCGTGCCTGGCCATCCTGGAGCTTCTTGAGCAAGGTCATGGGAGGTAAACGTTTCAGACTTTACACGTCTGAAAATGTCTTCAAACTCTCCTCTGACTTGATTGATAGTTGACTGGCCACAGAATTCAGGGACCAAACTCCATTTGTTTCAGAATTTTAAAGGCATTTTTCTCTCATCTTGTTTGCAGTATTGTTCTTGAGAAGTCTGAGGTTTTTGTTGTTGTTGTTTGTTTGTTTGTTGATGATAGTGGCAAAGGAGAGAGTTGTGAGGCCAGGGTTGGTGACAGAGAAGGTGGTACACGGAGGGGGAGGCACAAAAGAGGTTGATGGGAGGGGAGGAAAGGTGCAGCAGGGTCCACTGGCTGTTCACAGTGGCCATTTGCACATTTGCACCTTCTATAACAGCACCCTCAGGTTTTTTTCTCTCTTTTTTTTTTTTTTTTTTTTTGAGACAGAGTCTCGCTCTGTTGCCCAGGCTGGAGTGCAGTGGTGCCATCTTGGCTCACTGTAACCTCTGCCTCCTGGGTTCAAGTGATTCTCCTGCCTCAGCCTCCCAAGTAGCTGGGATTACTGGTGCCCAAAAAAAAGAAACAGAGGCTGGGGGTGGTGGCTCATGTCTGTAATCCCAGTACTTTGGGAGGCTGAGGTGGGTGGATCACCTGAGGTCGGGAGTTTGAGACCAGCCTGACCAACATGGAGAAACTCCATCTCTACTAAAAATACAAAATTAGCTGGGTGTGGTGGCACATGCCTGTAATCCCAGTGAGAGGTGAAGCCAGCTGGACTTCCTGGGTCGAGTGGGGACTTGGAGTACTTTTCTGTCTAGCTAAACGATTGTAAACGCACCAATCAGCGCTCTGTGTCTAGTTAAAGGATTGTAAATGCACCAATCAGCACTCTGTAAAAACACACCAATCAGCACTCTGTGTCTAGCTAAAGGATTGTAAACGCACCAATCAGCACTCTATAAAATGGACCAATCAGCACTCTGCAAAATGGACCAATCAGCACTCTGTAAAATGGACAAATCAGCAGGATGTGGGCGGGGCCAAATAAGGGAATAAAAGCTGGCCACTGGAGCCAGCAGTGGCAACCTGCTCTGGTCCTTTTCCACACAGTGGAGGCTTTGTTCTCTGGCTCTTCACAATAAATCTTGCTGCTGCTCATTCTTTGGGTCCACACTACCTTTAAGAGCTGTAACACTCACTGTGAAGGCCTGCGGTTTTACTCCTGAAGTCAGTGAGACCATGAGCCCACCGGAAGGAACTCCAGACACATGTGAACATCTGAAGGAACAAACTTCAGACACACCGTCTTAAAGAGCTGTAACACTCACCCCGAAGGAAGGTCCATGGCTTCATTCTTGAAGTCAGCAAGACCAAGAACCCATCAGAAGGAATAAATTGCGGACATGCCAGCTACTCAGGAGGCTGAGGCAGGAGAATCACTTGAACCCTGGAGGCAGAGGTTGCAGTGAGCTGAGATCGTGTCATTGCACTCTAGCCTGGGCAACAAGAGCGAAACTCCATCTCAAAAAAAAAAGAATATTAAAATGGGAAGATGATCCTGGATAATCCATGTAGGCTCCAAATGCAATCACAAATATTCTTATAATACGAGGCCCTCAGCCGGGAGTGGTGGCGGGTGCCTGTAATCCCAGCTACCTGGGAGGCTGAGGCAGGAGAATCTTTTTAACCCAGGAGGTGGAAGTTGCAGTGAGCCGAGATTGGCCACTGCACTCCAGCCTGGGTGACAAGAGTAAGACTGTCTCAAAAAAAAAAAAAGAAAGAAAAGAAAATAAGAATTGAGGCTGGGTGCGGTGGCTCATGCCTGTAATCCCAGCAGTTTGAGAGGCTGAGGTGGGCGGATCACTTGAGGTCAGGAGTTTGAGACCAGCCTGGCCAACACGGTGAAACCCCATCTCTACTAAAAATACAAAAATTAGCCAGGTGTGGTGGCACATGCCTGTAGTCCCAGCTACAGAGGAGACTGAGGCAGCAGAATCGCTTGAACCCAGGAGGCCAAGGTTGCAGTGAGCTGAGATTGTACCACTGCACTCCAGCCTGGACAGAGAGGGTGACAGAGAGGGACTTCATCTCAAAAAAAAAAAAAAAAAAGAATTGAACTTTGGATTTGGCACCATGGAAGTCACTGATGACCTTGACAAGCTGTTGGATTTGTTTTTCATCACTGCACGTTATGCTCTAGGTACCGTGGCCGATATAGTCTAGGTGCTATCACCACCAATCTCATGTTGAATTGCAATTTCCAACATTGGAGGTGGAGCCTGGTGGGAGGTGATTGGATCATGGGGTGGATCCTTCATGAATGGGTGAGCACCATCCCCTTGGTAGTGAGTGAGTTCTCAAGAGATCTGGTCATTTAAAAGTGTGTGGCAGCCGGGCATGGTGGCTCACACCTGTAATCCCAGCACTTTGGGAGGCCGAGGCGGGTGAATCACGAGGTCAGGAGATCGAGACCATCCTGGCTAACATGGTGAAACCCCGTCTCTACTAAAAATACAAAAAATTAGCCAGGCGCGGTGGCAGGCGCCTGTAGTCCCAGCTACTCGGGAGGCTGAGGCAGGAGAATGGCGTGAACCCGGGAGGTGGAGCTTGCAGTGAGCTGAGATCGCACCACTGCACTCCAGCTTGGGTGACAGAGCGAGACTCCGTCTCAGAAAAAAAAAAAAAAAAAAAGACGGTCTCGCTCTGTTGCCCAGGCTGGAATGCAGTGGTGCGATCTCGGCTCACTGCAACCTCTGCCTCCTGAGTTCAAGCGATTCTCCTGTCTCAGCCTCCCGAGTAGCTGGGATTACAGACCCCCACCACCACGCCCGACTAATTTTTGTATTTTTAGTGGAGACAGGGTTTCATTATGTTGGCCAGGCTGGTCTCGAACTCCTGACCTCAAGTGATCCACTCACCTCAGCCTCCCAAAGTGCTGGAGTTACAGGCGTGAGCCACGGCGCCCGGACTTAAGAGCCATTCTTATTTCCTTTTCTATGAACTATTTGTTCACATTCTCTGTGTATTTTTTCCCCTGATGAGATTGTTCCTTTTCTTATTCATTTGTGGGAAATCTATTAAAATTAGCCCTTTGCATGTGATGCAATTTGGAAGTATTTTTCCAGGTTTGTCATGTTAATTCTGGATTGATCAAATATAGACATCATTATGAACGATGAGCATTCAGCTCTCACCCCAACACTCTTTTTATTCCCCATCCCTGTGATTTCTGTTATTAGAACTCACTCTACCACGTTTAATCCTCTTTCAAACACAAGCTTCTGACTGTCAGTCTTCTCGGATAAAATCATGATGATCTAATCATATCTCAGACATTGCTGCAAAAGAGGTAAGAGATCTATGTTTGAAAGTCTGGCAAGTACCATTTTAGTTTTTTCAATGTTTTTGACTACAGTTCAAAATAAGACATGTACTTATATCACAACCTAGCACACATGCATATATGTATATCTATTACATAATTAAAGTTTACAAAACTTGGCCAGTTGCGGTGGCTCACGCCTGTAATCCCAGGACTTTGGGAGGCCAAGGCAGGTGGATCACTTGAGGTCAGGGGTTCAAGACCTGCCTGGCCAACATGGTGAAACCCCGTCTCTACTAAAAGTACAAAAAAATTTAGCCGGGCATGGTGGCACGCATCTGTAATCCCAGCTACTCGGGAGGGTGAGGTGGGAGAATTGCTTGAACCCAGGAGGCGGAGGTTGCAGTGAGCTGAGATCATGCCACTGCACTCCAGCCTGGGTGACAGAGTGAGACTCTGTCTCAAAAAAAAAAAAGTTTTATATAACTTGTGCAAGACTCACAATGTGGGCAGTGCCAGCCTCTAATCTCTTCTGTTTTTGCTTTTGTTTTTAAATGCTGGTCTAAATCCACTTAATTGATTTCAAGGCCTTAGCAGATCTCTATCTGCTTTCTAGAACAAGTCTATGTTTTTTGTTAATTTTGAGACAGGGTCTTGCTCTGTTGCCCAGGCTGGAGTGCAGTGGCAAGATCTTGGCTCACTGCAACCTCTGCTTCCCGAGTTCAAGCGCTTCTTGTGTCTTAGCTTCCCAGACAGCTGGGATTACAGGCACCCGCCACCACGCCTGGCTAATTTTGTATTTTTAGTACAGGTGGGGTTTCTCCATGTTGGCCAGGCTGGTCTGGTCTTGAACTCCTGACCTCAGGTGATCCACCCACCTTGCCCTCCCAAAGTGCTGGGATTACAGGCCTGAGCCACCATGCTTGGCCAAATCTATACTTTTAAAGTTTCTATGCAGATATTTTAAAATTTGTTTTATTCCACTCGAGTGAGGTATAATTTACATTATAATTACGGTAAAACGCGCCCACTTTAAGTGTGCAGTTGGATGAGTTTTGACAATTGTACACCACCTCAATCAAGGCAGAGAACATTTCTCTCCAGAACATTCCTTTGTGCCCTTTTGCAGTCAATCCTCTTACCGCCCGCCCCCCACCCCCAGGGGTAACGGCTGTTTTGATTTTTAGCATAGATTAGTGTTATAATAAATATTTTATATGCTCCCTTTACCACCCTGAAATAAAGTTTATGGATAATATAACCCACCCACATACAAAATAAAATTTTTAATCAAGATAATGTCCTTATTATAATGAAGAAAGAATAAGCGGAAAGTAATTTATAGTAAAATGTTCAAAAAGCTCAGACTTAACTAAGCTATAAAACATAATAAAGGGTTAGGGGTGTGCCAGGGGCAGAAGCTTTGTGAATGCCAGCTGGAGAGCCACAAATAAAGACAGACACAGCTTTGTGACTCTGGCACCAAATGGTGAACAATGAACACACATTCCTGGTTCTACCCAGTAGTTGCATTCCTGAAAAATTTAAAACTGTTTACGGGCCCGGTGCGGTGGCTCATGCCTGTAATCACAACAGTTTGGGAGGCTGAGTTGGGAGGATCGCTTGAGCCCAGGAGTTTGAGATTACAGTGAGCCATGATCACACCACTGCACTCCAGCCTGGGTGATGGAGCGAGACCCTGTCTCTAACAACGACGACAACAAACCTGGTTATGAGTATAATGGAGTTCCATGTTGGGCTTAGGTAATTTTGTTTTTTTGTTTTGAGACAGGGTCTCGCCCTGTCACCCAGGCTGGAGTGCAGTGGCATGATCATGGCTCACTGTAATCTCAAACTCCTGGGCTCAAGTGATCCTCCCACCGTGGCCTCCCAAAGTGCTGGGATTACAGTCATGAGTCACTGCGTCCGCCCCAGGGCATATTTATTTATTTATTTATTCTTTCTTTCTTTTCTTTTCTTTTTTTTTGACAGAGTCTCACTCTGTTGCCCAGGCTGGAGTACAGTGGCTCGATCTCAGCTCACTGCAACCTCAATCTCCCTGGATCAAGAGATTCTCCTGCCTCAGCCTCCCAAAATGCTGGGATTACACATGTGAGCCACCACGCCTGGCCTGGGCACATTTCTTCCTTTTTTTTTTTGAAACAGAGTCACTCTGCCACCCAGGCTGGAGTGCAGTGGTGCGATCTCGGCTCACTGCAACCTCCACCTCCTGGGTTCAAGTGATTCTCCTGCCTCAGCCTTCCAAGTAGCTGGGAGTGCAGGCGCCCGCTACCATGCCTGGCTAATTTTTTTTTTTTTTTTTTTTGTATTTTTAGTAGAGACGGGGTTTCACTATGTTGGTCAGGCTGGTCTCAAACTCATGTCCTCAAATGATCTGCCCACCTCGGCCTCAAAAGTGCTGGGATTACAAGCGTGAGCCACCACGCTGGGCCTCTCAGGTATTTCTTTATAGCAATACGAGAACAGACAAATACAGGTAGCTTGTCTGATATTACACAGCTTGTAACTGGTCCAGGTCTCTCCCAGTCCGCAGTTTCACCGAAGGCTCCGTACTCTGCCCAAGGCTCCATACTCCGCCCATCCTCAGCATTAAAACACACAGGTGTTTCTGCTGAAGCAGGAGCCGCTTCAGCAGAGATTTCCTAAAAGCCTCAGTTTATTTTAAATCACTGCAAGTGTAGCCTTTTTAAAATTTTTTTAGACGGAGTTTTGCTCTTCCCAGGCTAGAGTGCAATGGCGCGATCTGGGCTCACTGCAACCTCCGCCTCCCAGGTTCAAGCGATTCTCCTGCCTCAGCCTCCCGAGTAGCTGGGATTACAGGCATGCGCCTCCATGCCCGGCTAATTTTGTATTTTTAGTGACGGGGTTTCTCCATGTTGGTCAGGCTGGTCTCGAACTCCTGACCTCAGGTGATCTGCCCCCTTCAGCCTCCCAAAGTGCTGGGATTACAGGCGTGAGCCACCACGCCGGGCCAAGTGTAGCCTTTTTAAAGGCTCCCAGTGGAGAGACATCGCTGCTTGGTGACAACCGTCAGCCCTCATGTTGTCGGCTGAGTGCCCTGCTCTGTGCATTTGAAAAGCAAACCCAAGAAAGAAGAGCGAGTCTCACCCCCAGGCCAGACAAACTGGGGACCGTCGCCAGGGGGAAAAAAAATAGTGCAGGGTTTCTCTAAAACCAAGCTACCCAAACTTCAGTGGCTCACATACCACTTGAGATTTTTTTGTCCTATTCAAGGACTACTTAAACTCTTATTTACTTAATTTCTTTAAATAATGTTTAGGCTTAATTCATTTTGAAGGCAACATTGTATCACTACTATAAAGAGAAAACCAAAATCATTTAATACTTTTTCAAAGAAAATACAGGGCTGGGCGTGGTGGCTCACGACTGTAATCCCAGCACTTTGGGAGGTTGAGGCGAGTGGATCACCTGAGGTCTGGAGTTCGAGACCAGCCTGGCCAACATGGTGAAAGCCCATCTCTACTAAAAATACAAAAAATTAGCCGGCATGGTGGCGGGCGCCTGTAATCCCAGCTATTCAGGAGGCTGAGGCAGGAGAATCTCTTGAACCCAGAGGCAGAGGTTGCAGTGAGCTGAGATCGAGCTATTGCTCTCCAGCCTGGGCAACAAGAGTGAAACTCTGTCTCAAAAAAAAAAAAAAAAAAAAAAAACACCCAGGCGCCTGTACACCCAGAGCTGGGCTGGGTGTAGTGGCTCATGCCTGTAATTCCAGCATGTTGGAAGGCCAAGGCAGGAGGATTGATGGAAGCCAGGAGTTCAAGACCAGCCTGGGTAACATAGCAAGACCCCATCACTACAAAAAAAAAAAATGTTTTTTAATTAGCTGGGCACTGTGGCGTGTGCCTGTAGTCCAAGCTACTTGGGAGGCTGAGGTGGGAGGATCACTTGAGCCCAGGAGGCCGAGGCTACAGTGAGCCAAGATTGCACCACTGCACTCAAGCTTGGGTGACAGTGTGAGACCCTATCTCTAAAAAAGAAAAAAAGAAAACACAGAGCTATTCACATAACAAATGTTTTGTGTACCACCTAAATGTGTCAAATCTCACTAGCATATTCCACTCTTTGGGAAATGCTGTCCTAAGTGGAAATTAGTGACAATTTCCAGAGAGATCTCAGCATCTTTGAACAAGCAACATCTTGGAGTCACCTGTCAATCAGACCACTGGGCTCAGCTTCCCAGAGATCTGTAGCATGGGGTAGGGAAAGAGGCCTTGTTGGAGAGAATACTGGCTTAGGGGGCTCAGGAGTGGGAGACAGGCCTGAAAAAACACTAGTAAAGATAGCCCATGTTCAGAAGTCTCAGAAACCCCCCAGTGCTTTCAGGAGAACATTTCACACACACACACACACACACACACACACACACACACACACACTCCACATATGAATGCTTTGGGCTGCAAGTAACAGGAAACCCACAGAAGATGTGTAGTCTGTCCAGATGCTCACTGATGTCATTGGCATCCTGGGTTCCCGTTTCTCTGCTCTGCAATCTCTATCTAGTTTTATCTTCATCCTGAAGATAAGGTTGTAAGTGAAAGGCTGCCAACACCACTGCAACACGCTTTCTTGTTTGAGTTCAGCAGAGGCAAGGGAGAGAGAAAGACAGAATGAGAGAGAGAGAGAAGCTGTCTTTCTGCGGGACTCCCTCAAGAGAGCGGAGGGAGCTGTGGGGTGTTTGAGGGGAATTAACAGTAATGATACTGATCAACAGTCACATGCTACTTTCTGTGCTACAAGCACTGCTCTTAGCCTTCCCATGTGCCCTATTACACCAACTCTAAGGTGCTCTGTGCATAAGAGCCATCTTAGAAAGAAAAAAATAAAGCAGCCAGGTGCAGTGGCTCACACCTGCAATCCCAACACTTTGGGAGGCCGAGGCAGGTGGATCACCTGAGGCCAGGAGTTTGAGACCACCCTGACCAACATGGTGAAACCCTGTCTCTACTAAAAAGACAAAAATTAGCTGGGCATGGTGGCAGACACCTGTAATCTCAGCTACTCAGGAGACTGAGGCGGGAGGATTACTTGAACCCGGAAGGCGGAGGTTGCAGTGAGCCGAGATCGTGCCACTGCACTCTAGCCTGGGCGACAGAGGAAGACTCTATCTAAAAAAAAAATAAAAATAAAAATAAAAAAGGCCAGGCGCAGTGGCTCACGCCTGTAATCCCAACACTTTGAGAGGCGGAGGCAGGTGGATCACCTGAGGTCAGGAGTTCGAGACCAGCCTGACCAACATGGAGAAACCCCATCTTTACTAAAAATACAAAATTAGCCGGGCGTGGTGGCACATGCCTGTAATCCCAGCTACTCAGGAGGCTGAGGCAGGAAAATTGCTTGAACCCAGGAGGCAGAGGCTGCAGTGAGCCAAGATTGCGCCACTGTACTGCAGCCTGGGCAACAAGAGTGAGACTCCATCTCAAAAAAAAAAAAAAAAAAGGAAGCAAAAAAGACCACTGTTGATTAAACCACAACAGATCATCTATTTTAACACCCATCCCAATTCCGTGGATCCATGAAATACCCCATACTAGCTCATTTGGTCCTCTCCACAACCCTATGAGATAGGTAGCATTATCATCCCCATTTTATACAGGGGGAAACTGAGGTCAGAAAGACTGAGTGGCATGCTCAAAGTCCCCCCAGTGAGCCAGAGGTGGAGCCAGGATTTGAACTCGGGCAGTCTGGCAGCAGAGCCCTGACTCTTATCTGCTCTCCACACTGCCTCTCTGCTTCCAGTCTGATTTTGGAGAAGTAGACCCAGGAATCACACAGACAGCTAGAAATATCCGCCTATTGGCATATGAAAAGGGGCTCAACATCGCTGATCATTAGAGAGATGCAAATCAAAACTACAGTGAGATATATCATCTCACCCCAATTAAAGTGCCTTATATCCAAAAGACAGGCAATAACAAATGCTGGCAATGATGTGAAGAAAAGGGAACCCTCGTACATTGTTGGTGGGAATGTAAATTAGTACAACCACCGTGGAGAACAGTTTGGAGGTTCCTCAAAAAACTAAAAATTGAGGCTGGGCGCAGTGGCGCACACCTGTAATCCCAACACTTTGGGAGGCCAAAGCAGGTGGATCCCTTGAGGTCAGGAGTTCAAGACCAGCCTGGCCAATGTGGTGAAACCCCGTCTCTACTAAAAATACAAAAATTAGCCAGGCGTCATGGTGCATGCCTGTCATCCCAGCTACTCAGGAGGCTGAGGCAGAAGAATCAGTTGAACCTGGGAGGCAGAGGTTGCAGTGAGCAAGATCACACCACTGCACTTGAGCCTGAGGGACAGAGCTAGACTCTGTCTCAAAAAAAAAAAAAAAAACAAAACACCTAAAAATTTGAGCTACCATATGATCCAGCAATCCCACTGCTGGGTATATACCCCATAGAATGGAAATCAGTGTATCTGTTAAGGAAATATCTACACTGACATGTGTATTGCAGCACTGCTCACAGTAGCCAAAATTTGGAAGCAACCTAAGTGTCCATCAGCAGATGAATGGATAAGGAAAATGTACATATGCACAGTGGAGTACTATTTAGCCATAAAAAAGAATGAGATCTAGTCATTTGTAACAACATGAATGGAACTGGAGACCATTATGTTAAGTGAAATAAACCAGGTTCAGAAAGACAAACATCACATGTTCTCACTTATTTGTGGGAGTTAAAAATCAAAACAATTGAACTCATGGACATAGAGAGGCTGGGAAGGATAGTGGAGGTTGGGGGGAGGAGAGGATGGTTAGTGGGTATAAAAAAATAGAAATAATGAATAAGACCTACTATTTGATCACACAACAGGGCGCCTATAGTCAATAATAACTCGCCTATTTAAAGATAACTGAAAGAGTATAATTGGATTGTTTGTAACACAAAGGATAAATGCTTGAGGGGATGGATGCCCCATTCTCCAGGATGTGATTATTATACATTCCATGCTTGTATCAAAACATTTCATTTACCCCATAAATAAGTACACCTACAAAAATTAAAAATTAAAAAAATA